>NC_000014.9:51732925-52035955 GCF_000001405.40 Homo sapiens
AGAGATCAGGGTGTTACATATGACTGGCTAAGTATGAGGGTGGGGATAATGTGAGTATGGTAAAATATTTAAAAATCTCCTCCCTATCATTCTTGTATTTGCCTTGTCATTTCTCTAGTGCTTTATACAAGCTGATCCCCACACAGAGGAATAATGAAAATAAGTAAGCTAAATTCCACCCAGCCCTTAGGTTCTGAAGACATGTATTTTGAATTAATGGAGAAGTCTGACCTCTGAGAAGTCCTGCTCAGATGCTATGAGCCATTGTAGGGGATAAAGTTATATATTCTCAAGAGACTAATTGAAGGTCTATGAACATGGCACAGCTATAATTAACCAACTCATTACTTAGGATGGGTGTTTACCCATCTGGTGTCAACTGTAGTCAGCTGAGGGATCCTCAATTTATTACTGTCATTACTGCAAGATGGATTTCATAAGAACAGATAGTTCCCAACTTAGGAAGGAAGACTCAGTTCCAAATTTGCTTCTAAATTGGTTGTTTGACATTTAGAACACACGTCCCCAGCCTCCCTAACTAGCTCATAAATGCCTGTTCAACACAGAGATATTATTAGAGATGACTTTTTTTTCTGTGTATTAGTAATCATCTGTCAAAGAGGCAGGCCCACAACATAAATAAGGTAGGTGGAGTGACCCCACAACCAGATAGAGATGATATACCCCCTGTAGACCAGTAGTTCAATCTTCCGGTTTTACTTCTCATAGTACATTCATGCCCTACTATGGATAACAGTAGAAGAAAGCTTCAGGCAAGCCATGCCAAGATGAAGCAGCTCTTAGCCAGTTTTCCCTTGGAGTTCCATGAGGGATGCATCCACTGTTTTCTCATCCACACCCTCTAGTCCAGAGCTGCTCAGGCTGCTCTGCCATCATGAAAGAGTAGGCTAGAACAGGCCCTTTTCTCCTGACCTGCAGAGGTGGAAGAGGATAGGTCTAGGAGCTACTCTAAGGAGCAGAGGCCCCAGGGTCTTCTTTAGACTCTACTGCTGAATTGCTAGAGTAGGAATAACAGGCTTTAAGAGAGAAGGTAACGAGCCTGTATTGGGGCCTTTAAATGCAACATCAATAGGAATGTGTAAGACCATAAAGTCCATGGGAGGATTTCAAAGAAGACTGAAACAAATTGATATACCCTATTCCTAAAAGGAAAGAATGATATAAGTGTCAAGTTTTCCCATCAATTCCAATCAAAATCCCAAATAAAACATTTCAGCCATGACGGAAAGATGGGTATTACTTTTACCCTCCCACCTTAAATAATTAAAAATAGAAAAAATATGAATAAAAAATGTTTTTTAGACATTTGACAATAGGTAGAGCAGTAGAGTAGCCCCCAGAGAAGGAAACTAAACAAGGTGAGCATGATCAATGCCTCATCTGACAGCCTGAGTGTTCCCAGGCCACAGCACAGACAGGAGGAAATTAAATGGATCCCAGAAGTCTCCCTGAATTGAGAAGGCAGAGTTGAGAATTTAGGTAGGCCAAGGTGGCCAGAGTTCACAGGGCAGAGTACCAGAGAAAGAGCTGTGCAGAGTGAAGGGGAAGGCCATGAAGATCCGCAGAAGGTTCCCCTCCAGCCTTCAGCTCAGTGCTGATCTGCAAGTACCTGTGAGGAAAGCACCGAGGCAGGGAGTGAGCCAGGAGAAAAGAACAAAACCATCCCTGGAGCTCATGTAAGGCCAAGAACAGTTTCAGTCCCCACCAAGTAGAATGAAAAAGCCTTGTAATACATGGGACACCTCATAAAGGACTCAAGGGTGTTGCTCCGGTCCTGCCTAACAAAGCTTAAAAAGCAACCAGCCTTTTTAAATATTGAAAGAAAAATGCTATCCACTTAGAATTTTATACCTAGCAAAAATCTCTTTCAAAAACAAAGATGAAATAAAACCTTTCTCACGCATACAAAAGCTGAAAGAATTCAACACCAGAGCTGCACAAGGAATGTTAATGGAAGTCTTTTAGGCCAAGAAAAAAAAAAAAAAGCCAGATTAAAAAAACTACATCTACACAAAGAATGAAGAGCCCCAGAAATGGTAACTTGTGGGCAAATACAAAAGTTTTAAAAAATATTTTAAATCTCTTTACAAAATAATCAACTATTTAAAGCAAAAATAAAAACAATGCATTGTGGGGTTTGTGACATATGTAAAAAGTAAAATGTCTCACCACAATAGCAGAAAGAAAAAAATGAAAGTATACTGTTGTAGGTTTCTTATGCTATATTTGAAATGGTATAATATTACTTAAAGATGGACTATGATAGTTTAAAGATGTATACTATAAACTCTAGAACAACCACTAGAAATAAAGCAAAGAGGCAGCCAGGCACGGTGGCTCACACCTGTAATCCCAGCACTTTGGGAGGCTCAGGCGGGAGGATCACGAGGTCAGGAGATCAAGACCATCCTGGCTAACATGATGAAACCCCGTCTCTACTAAAAATACAAAAAAAAAAAAAAAAAATTAGCCGGGCGTGGTGGCGGACACCTGTAGTCCCAGCTACTCAGGAGGCTGAGGCAGGAGAATGGCGTGATCCCCGGAAGCGGAGCTTGCAGTGAGCCAAGATTGTGCCACTGCACTCCAGCCTGGGCGACAGAGCGAGACTCCATCTCAAAAATAAATAAATAAATAAATAAATAAATAAATAAATAAATGAAACAAAGAGGCATAAGTGATAAAGTAGAATAAGAAAATAATAAACTGAAAAGAAGGCACACAAAAAGGGAAAAAGGGTCGAAAACAAATAGGGCAAGTAAAAAAATAGAAAACTGGTACATTCAAACCCAGCCATACCAATAATCAAACTAAATGTAAAATTGACCCCAAAGACATTACAAGGACTAGCCAAGAATATTTTGAAATATAGACCCAATGAGGAGGTATTTACCTTTCCAGATGCAAACACACTATAGGGCTCCTGTTATTAACGATACTAACACAACAATAGCCATTTAGGGCAAGGACTGGCAAAGTTTTCCCATAAAGGACCAAAGAGTAAATATTTTGGACTTTGCCATCATACCGTCTCTGTTGCAACTACTTTAACACTGCCACTGCAGCCTGAAAGCAGCCATCGTCAATATGTAAACAAATGAGCATGGCTGTGTTCCAATAAAACTTTATTTACAAAAAACAGGCAGCAGGCTGGATTTAGCTCACAGGCTGTGGTTTGCCAATCCCTGATTTAGAGCAATGTAACAGACAAAGAATCCAGGAACAGACGAATCTACAAATGGGAACTGAGTATATAAAACACACAGCATTTCAAATCATAGAGGGAAAGGTGGATTATGCAATAGTTAATGCTGAAAAAATTAGCTTTCTTTTGAAAAATAAAATTAAATCTCAGTCTTTTACCTTACACAAAAATAAATAGCTAAATACTTAAAAATTAAAACTATCAAAGTATTAGAGGGCAATAGAGAAAGTTTAGGGCGGGGAAACTTCCCTAAAATCCACACATTACTCCCAAGTCACACAAAAAATTTGATAAATTTGAAATCAAAAAAAGGCTGAAAAACTCTTTATACCATTACCTGAAGATAGGTGACATGGGGAAAATATCTACAACTTTTACAAATACAAATAATTGGGTCTATAGCATATTAAGAGATTCTGCAAACTCCCAAACAACACAGTAGAAATATTAGAGGGATCTATGCATGGGCAATTCACAGAGGAAAAATTTTAAAACAGCTTATAAATGTGGGAAAAGCTGTTCAACCTTACCAGTAACAAGTTAACCAAACATTAATATACTGATTTTTTTGTCTATCAAACTGACAAGTTAAAATGATTGATAATATCTAGTGTTTGTAAGAGTGTGAAGAAATAGATACCTTCATAATTTTTTATCATAGTGTAAATTAATACTGCATTTTTGTAGGACGATTTGGTAGTTTCTACCAAAATTTTGAATAAAATTACCTTGCAACTCAACGATTTGATTTCTAAATATTTATCCTATAGAAATAAACATAAAAATTTAAGAGTATTGATTTGAAAAGAGAAACATGTTATACAATCTAGGTGTCAAATAAATATTGGCACAATCTTATTATGGAGTTAAAAATAATAAAGGAGTTAAAAATAATAAATGGTTCAGATGCACAGACATTAAAATATCTTCAGCATTTGTTATGTACAAAAAGAAAGACAAGATGCAGTTCACTAGTGTAGTATGAAAAAACAGAAGATACATAATTATATGTGTATGTTTAAATGTAAGTGCCTGAAAAATGACCTTGAAAGACATCCCACTAACTAAACCATTGGTAACTCTGAAGAAGGGAGTATTAAAGAAAAGAGGGGAAAGGGAATTTGCCTTTAAAAAAAAAAAAAAAGAAAAAGCAGAACTCCATCTTCTCAGGAAAAAAAAAAAGCAGAGATTATGCAGAAAGTAAAAAAACTTTTGGAGAAAACAACCTCATAATAATATTGTCAGAGAGATAGAAAATATTGCACTCAGAAAATTGGAGAGGATTGCTATACAGATAGAGAGAATTATGAGCTCTTCAAAATATAATAGCCAGAATAAATGTTCCAGTGGTAGAACTGGAAGATAAAGGAAATCTCTCAGAAAGCAGAACAAAAAGACAACGAGATGGACAACAGAAAGGATAGGAAATGAGAGATTCCCAACATCTAGGGGGCAAATGTTACATACATGCCTACATAGAGACAGGGAGGCAGCTTATGTACACAGAAAAAAATAGAGGAAAAAATCTTACAAGGAAATTCCTCAGAACTGAAAGCCATGCATTTGCAAACCGGAAAAACAAACAAACAAAAACAATGCAAGCAACGCCTAGAAAATGAGGAATAAAGACCAATCCAGGACACAACATCATACAATGTTAAATACTAAAGATAAAGAAAAGACCATAAAACCTTCCACAGACTTTTTAGAAAAAGAGAGAGGTTTTACAGTTCTTTGACGAAAGTGGGAAAAGTTGCTGATGCCTACGTAGAATAACTGAGCAAGCAAAAAGAGGAGGTTATTAACTCTGAGAACAAAATGTTGAAGAAAAACATATAATCATAGTATAATACATGGGTTAACAATGAACAAGACTTGTACAATCGTAATGTAAACACTATTATAATGTCAATATATTAAAAGTTACATTATAACTTTAAAAGTTACAAGTTAAACAAATTAAAAGTTACAAATATAACATAAATATGGGAAAAGAAGGGAAAATCTATGTGGATAGTCTGAGAAGAGTAAATGTGTGTAAAAGTGCTATATTGTCATTTTCCACAGTAGGAAGTTGATAATGTCCCAAATTGAAAAAGCATAAAGAAACAGTACACAAATATGACTATTACTTAGAAATATAGAGGTTAATGCATTTCTGCTAAAAACACTTCAAGAGTTGAAAGTGTTACTGTTCGGGGAAAGAAGGAAGAGAAAACTGCTTTTTTTGTTGTTTGTTTGAGGCTTTGTATTATATTTAACTTTTAAGTTGTGTAGATGTGTTGGATAAAAATAAAAAGTTCCTTTTTATAACAAGAAGATAAAAACTATTTTGGTCACTAGCATAGACTCCTGTTAATAACCCTGGGTTCCTGGAAGCCATAAAGAGAAAAGCACCAACAAATGGAAGGAAGTGGGGATGAGTGGGTGTTCGGTCTCTATTTTGAGGAGTGGGCTGTTATATTTGTCTTGAATGAATAGAGGACGTGGGCGCCCAGCCAGGAGATGGAATGGAAGAGGGAGGCTGATGTTCCTTTGGAGTGGGCTCTTTCTGACAACACACTCAGGCTCTTCTGGGAGATGTTAGGCTATTCAGGAGAAGGCTTTGGGGAGCCGTCTGGGAGCTGTTTGTAGTGAAGGCGCCAGAAGGTGAGGCGGATCCTCTTCCTCTCTGCACACGGGGACGCGTGGGGTTGACACCCAGTGAGAGTGATCTGACTCCCGTTTCTTTGGCGAGAACAGCCAGCAGATGGGTGTCTGGTAACCCAAAGCCTTTGCTGAAATGGCCCAAGTCAATTGCTCCACCTGGCACTGGGGCTGGGGCTGACTCCAGTTTCAGCCACAGGCCTCTAGGGGCTAATGACAAAAAGTGGAGTGAAAGACCAAACCTGAGGCTGGTGTTCAGAGGGAGGGGTTGGAGACACACAGGGCAGGGAGTTTTGTAGTCAGGAAGGCAGGAGAGGCTAACCAGGAGATTGTTGATCAGTCTAGCCCCTAGTTCTAGGGTTTATAAACTTAAATGATTCTTGGAAGCTCCAGAGGAGCTTTGCTAAAGCTAAATAAATAAATAGATTTATTTCCGGGCCTTAGCCCACATCTACTGATGAGAACCTCTGAGGGTAAGGCCGAGGGTTCTGATGCACCCATTCATTCTTTGACCACCCTTGGGAGCTAGCTGTGCCAGTTCCAGACCACCCTGCCCATTTCCCAAGGCAACCCTCTGCCTATTTGAGCTCTTTCTCTTCATCCCCTTCATTAGAATTTCAGATGCAAAGAGAACTTTCCAAAACCCCGTGTCTGAGAGAATATTGTTAAAAATTTGCTTTTTGCTAGGGTGTTGATGGCATCTGTCAGTAATAAATTCATGCTGGCAGAGAAGTAGGTGCTTCCCAGGAGGGGCTGTAGCAAAGCTTCACATAGATTGTTGCCATTTTTATTCTCATCATTCATCTTCAGTGAGAACCTCTGAAGGGCAACTCAGAGGTTCAAAGACAAATATTTCTTGCTCCTCCCACAGCCTCCAAGGTGTAGAAGGTGTGTTGTGGGGAACATCAAAGGGCCAAGCTTCTGTGCTTTTGCTCAGCACCAAGAGATGCTACCAAAAATGAAGATACCTGAATGGGCTGAAAATAGAGCTTTGCTTTTAGAAGTGAATTTCTTTTCCAGAACACAGAATACTGGGATAGCATGAGGAGAATGCTAGAGAGCTAAGGGAAAGCTTTCCCCCCAAAAACAGGGGGAAGATGGTAGATGGATTTTTAAAATTGGAGCCACTAGATGCTGTTTTCAGCTGCCTGGGACCTGCATCGCTGATTTTCCTTTTGGGTTTTGGTATTTGCAGTCACAAAGCCCTCCCCACCAAAGCCACCCTAATTCAAAATCCAGAATAGAATTTTTCTTTTCTTTTCTTTTCTTTCTTTTCTTTTCTTTTTTTTTTTTTTTTTGAACAGGGTCTCACTCTGTGGACCAGGCTGGAGAGCAGTGGCGCGATCTGGGCTAACTGGACTCAACCTCTCCGGCTTAGGCAATCATCCCACCTCAGCTTCCTGAGTAGCTGGGACCACAGGCATGTGTCACCATGCTCAGCTAATTTTTGCACTTTTTGTAGAGATGGGGTTTCACCATGTTGCCCAGGCTGGTCTTGAACTCCTAAGCTCAAGCAATCCGCCGGCGTCAGTCTCCTAAAGTGCTGAGATTACAAGCGTCAGCCACAGCACCTGGCCCAGAATAGATTTTCTATGATGAAGAAGATCCAGGCCTTTAGAAATTGAGGGTCGGCAGAGTTTTAGCTTTCATGAAATAAAAAATGCACCAGGATGTATAAACTTCATGAGGGCAGAAGCCGTATCTCCCTCATTCTCAGCTTCATCCTGAGGAACTAGCACAATGCCACATAGAAAGGGTGCCCAATAAATGTTGACTCAAGCAGTGAGTGAAACTTCTTCACCTGTGCCGGGATGCCAGGTGTACCCCCACTGCGAGATCCAGAGTAATATCAGTCTGTTTCCCGCTGGATGTTAGGAACTATATCACAGGTGTGTGTGCACCTTCTGCGATATTGGGAGTAATATCAGCCTCTACCCCGCTGCATATTAGGAACAATATACGGGGGGCGGGGGGGTTACACTCCCTGCGATATTAAGAGTAATATTATTCTCTTTTCCCTGTACATTAGGAACTATATCACGGGGGTCTGTACAACTTCTGCTATATTGGGACTAATGTTATCCTCTCCCCCCTTGAATATCAAAAACAATATCACAGAAGGGTGTACGCCCCCTGCGATATGGCCAGTAATATCATCGTCTCTACCTTTGGATACTAGGAACAACATCACAGAGGGTGTGTGTACACGCCCAGCGACATTGGGCATAGTGTTATCCTCTCTTTCCCTGGATATGAGGAACAATATCCCTGGTGGGGGGAGGTGGAGTACATTAAGAACAATATCTTAAGGAGGTGGGTGAACACCCCCCGCGGTATTGGGTGTAGTATCATCCTCTTTTTCCTAGGATATGAAGAACAATATCACAGGAGGGGTGTACAGCCCCTGCGATATTGAGAGTAGTATCATCCTCTCCCCTTCTCGATATAAGGAACCATATCCCAGGGTGGATGTACATCCCCTGCGATATTGGGCGTAACGTCATAGTCTCCCAACGTGGATATTGGGAATAATGTCACGGGGCTGTACACCTTCTTCGATATTGGGAGTAGTATCATCCACTCCCCTCGGGATTGTAGGCAAAATATCGAAAGGGTTTTACAACTCGTGCGATATGGGTAGTAATATCATCCTCTCTCCACCTAGATATGAGGAACTATACCAGAGGTGGCTGTACACTTCTTGCGATATTGGGAGTAATATCATCCTCTCCCATTGTGGATATTAAGAACAATATTCCAAAGGATGTGTACACCCCTTGTGATATTGAGAGTAATATTATGCTCTCCCCTTCAGGATATCAGGAACAATATCGCAGGAGGTGTGTACAACCCCTGCGATATTGGGAGTAATATCATCCTCTCCCCCTGAATATAAGAAACAATATCACAGGAAGATGTACATTCCCTGCGATATTGAGAGTAATATCATTTTCTCCCCCTCGGGATATTCGGAACAATATCACAGGGGGTGTGTACAGCCCCTGCGACGTTGTCGCTAGTATCTTCCTCTCCCTCCCAGGATATAAGGAACAATGTCACAAGGGGGTGTACACCCCCTGCGATACAGAGGGTAATATCTTCCTCTCCCCTGCTGGCTATTAGGAACAATGTCACGGAAGGGGTGTACACCCCCTGCGATACTGGGGGTAATATCTCCCTCTCCCCTGCTGGCTATTAGGAACAATGTCACGGAAGGGGTGTACACCCCCTGCTATATTGGGAGTGATATCATCCTCTCGGTCCCTGGATATTAGGAACAATATCCCTAGGGAGTGTACACCTGCAATATTGAGACTAATATCATCCTCTCGCCGCCTGGAGATTAGGATCAATATCACAAGGGTGGTGTGCACCCCCGGCGAAATTGGAAGAAATATCATCCTCTCCACCTTTGGATGTTAGGGACAGTATCAGGAGGGAGGTCTCCGCCCCCTGCGTTATTGGGAGTCCCATCATCCGCTCCCACCCAGGATATTAGGAACAAGATGACCGAAGGGATGTACACCCACTGCGCTATTTTCAATAATGTCATCCTCTACCCCCTATTAGGAGTAACATCATAGAGGGGTGTACACTTTCTGCGATATTAGGAGTAATATCGTCTCCCCCACGGATATCGGGAACAGTCATATTAATTATTAATATTAATAAATATAATAATAGTAATCATCGATATTAATAATTACAATAGAGATAGTAAAAGTTAAGACTGATTAAAAATATTAACGATTACTATTAATAATTAATAGCAATATCACTATTAATAATAAAATAATGATATCAGGAATTGTCACTTAAATCAATCATAAGTGATGTTGGTAATAAAACAATAATTACTATTAAGATTAATAACTAATACTATTGAAAAATTACATTAATAGCAATAATTAATTTTAAGCATGCAGAAACATATTTAAAATAATCATTAATTATTAATAACGTTATACTATTAATTAATATTACCATTGATAATTATTATTAAGACTGATGTTTAATAATTAATGATATTATTACTCCTAATACCGCAGGGGGTGTACACCTACCTGTGATATTGCTCCTAATATCCAGGGATGGAGGGCATGATATTAGTTTTAATATCGCAGTAGATGTACACTCACCCTGTGACACTGATCCTAATATCCAGGGGGTAGAGTATGACATGACTCCCAACATAGCAATGAATGTACAGCCACCCGGTGATATTCCTCCTAATATTCATGGAAGAAGCGTATGATATTACTCCCAATATCGCAGGGAGTGTACAACTCTTCTGTGATATTGTTCCTAGTATCTGAGAGGGAGAGGAAGATAATAATTCCAGCATCGCAGGCTGTGTTCACTCACTCTGTGATATTGTTATTAATATCCTGAAAGGGAGACGATGGTATTACTCCTCATAATAGATAGATATGACTCCCCATAATAGAGCAGGAGGTGTACACCCACCCTGTGATATTGTTCCTAATATTCAGAGGCCGAGAGGTTGATATTACTCCCAGTATCCCAGGAACTGTACAACCCCGTGTGAGATGGTCCTTAATAATATTCCAAGGCGGAGGCGGTGATCTTACTTCATATATCGCAGAAAGTGCACAACCCCCAGGGATATTGTTCCCATGATCCTGGAGGGAAGAGGATGATATCACTTTAAATATCACAGCAGGTGGACACGCCCCACTGATATTGTTTCTAATTTCAACGTGGGAGAGGAGGATATGACACCCAATATCGCAGGGAGTAGAAACACCCCTGTGATGCTGTTCTTCATATTCAGGGAGGAAGAGGCTGATATTACTCCCAATACAGACGGTGTACACCCGTCTGTGAAATAGCTCATAATTTCCACAGGGGGAGATGATATTACTCACAATATCATAAACAGGCAGAGAGTCCACCGTGGATCGTAAGAGCCAGGGGGGGAGAGGGGGGTGGCTGTTACTCCCCGCATCGCGGGGGGCGCCTCGCCCCTCTGTGATGCGGAAGGCCATATCGGGGGGGGTAGTGGGGGGTGATATTACTGCCCGCACGGCGGGGGGGTGCCCCCGCCTCCCTGCGTTGTGGATCGTCATATCCATGGTGGGATTGGGGGGTGATATTACTCCCCGAATCGAAGGGGGGCCCGCCCCCATGCGATGTGGATCTTAATATCCAGGGGGGAGAGGCGGGTGATATTACTCCCCGCATCGAGGGGGGCTTCCGCGCCCCTGCGATATGGATCGTAATATCCAGTGGGGGAGAGGGGAGTGATATTACTCCCCGATTTTTCCTCGGATCCTTTCTATAGTGCCTCCCTCGGTTCACACCCTGGGACATTATCTTCCATATTCTAGCAGGATATGGCTACTAAAGTCGCAGGGGGTATACACCCGTCAATATTATTCGTAATTTTCTAGGGGAATGTTAAACCTGATGTCACAGGACTCTGTACATTGTGATGTTTTTCCCAATATCCTAGCTTTACCTTAATAATAATGTCACATTGTGTGTACACCTTGCGGTATTATTCTTATTCTCCTAAGGGGAGGTTGTTTTATTGTCACACGGGGTATGTTCCTTTGGATATTATTCATAATGTCCTAGAGGGATGTCACCCCTTATGTCACAGGGTTTGTACAGCTTGTCAAATTACTCGTATTATCCCATAAGATGTCACTCCTCATATCACAGAGGGTGTACACTCTGTGATATTGTCGTCATATTCTAGGGAAATGTCACTTTTAATGTCACAGTGGGTGCACACCTTGTGAAATTATCAACCGCCACTCCCCCCCGGGATATGAAGATCCATATCGCATGGGGGCGGGTGCCACCGCGATTCGGGGAGTAATATCACCCCCCACTCCCACCCTGGATATGACCATCCACATCGCAGGGGGGCGGACGCCCCCCCCCCCCGATGCGGGGAGTAATATCATCCCCCACTTCCCCCCTGGCTCTTCTTCCCCCCCTGGCTCTTTCAGGACCCCATCGCAGGGGGGCGAGGCGCCCCCCGCGATGCGGGGAGTAAGAGCCAGCCCCTCTTGCCTCCCTGGCTCTTAGGATCCGCGGTGGACTCACACCCTGTTTACAAGATTGTGTGCAATGTCATCTCCCCCGCTGGAGATTATGAACTGTTTCACCGACGGTTGTATACAGAGGGTGTACACCTTGGACAGAGGGTGTACACCCGTCTGTATTGGGAGTCATATCATCCTCTTCCTCCCTGAATATTAAGAACAGTATCACAGGGGTGTTTCCACTCCCTGGGATATCGCGTGTCATGTCCTCCTCTCCCACGTTGTAATTAGAAACAATATCCGTGGGGGCGTGTCCACCTTCTGTGATATTGAAAGTAATATCATCCTCTTCCCTCCAGGGTTATGGGAACAATATCCCTGGGGGGTGTCCACTTTCTGCCATGTATGTAGTCATATCACCCCCTCCGCCTTGGAGTATTATTAAGGACCATGTCACACGGGGGTGTACACTTCCTGCGATATTGGCGCTAATATCAACCTCTCGGCCTCTGAATATTAGGAAGAACATCACAGGGTGGGTGTACACCTCCTGCTCTATTATGGGGAGTCATGTCTATCTATTATGGGGAGTCATATCTATCTATTATGGGGTGTAATATCATCCTCTCCCTTTCAGGATACTAATAACAATTTCACAGGCTGGGTGAACACAGCCTGCGATGCTGGAATTGTTATCACCCTCTCCCCCTCGGGATACTAGGAACAATATCACAGAAGAGGTGTACACTCCCTGCGATATTGGGATTAATATCGTACGCTTCTTCCGTGAATATTAGGAGCAATATCACCGGGTGGCTGTACATTGATCGCTATGTTGGCAGTCATGTCATACTCTACCCGCTGGGTATTAGGATGGGTGTCACAGGGTGAGTGTACACCTACTGCGATATGAAAACTAATATCATGCTCTCCATCCCTGGATATTAGGAACAATATCACAGGGAGGTGTACAGCCCCTGCGGTATTAGCAGTAATAATATGAATTATTAAACATCAGTCTTATGAATAATTATCAATGGTCATATTAATTAACAGTTTAACATTATCAATCATTAATGATTATTTCCAAGATATGATTATGCATGATTAAAATTAAATATTAATATTAATGTCACTTTTAATATTAGTTATTAATCTTAATAGTAATTATTGTTTTATTACCAACATCACTTATGATTGATGGAAGTAACATTAATCAGTGATATCATTATTTTATTATTAATACTGATATTGCTATTAGTTATTAATAGTAACGTTAATATTTTTCATCCATACTGTTTTACTGTCTCTACTGTAATTATTAATATCGATGATTACTTTTAATTGTTTTTATATTGATTAATATTAATAATTAATATAACTGTTCCCGATATCCGTGGGGGAGACGATATTACTCCTAATATCGCAGAAAGTGTACACCCCTCTATGATGTTACTCCTAATAGTCAGGGGGTAGAGGATGACATTATTGAAAATAGCGCAGTGGGTGTACATCCCTTCGGTCATCTTGTTCCTAATATCCTGGGTGGGAGCGGATGATAGGACTCCCAATATCGCAGGGGGCGGAGACCTCCCCCGTGATACCGTCCCTAACATCCAAAGGTGGAGAGGATGATATTTCTTCCAATTTCGCCGAGGGTGCACACCACCCTTGTGATATTGATCCTAATCTCCAGGCGGCGAGAGGATGATATTAGTCTGAATATTGCAGGAGGTGTACACTCCCTAGGGATATTGTTCCTAATATCCAGAGACGGAGAGGATGATATCACTCCCAATATAGCAGGGGGTGTACACCCCTTGTGTGACATTGCTCCTAAAGGGCAGCGAGGGAGAGGAAGATATTACAGCCAATATCGCAGGGGGTGTACACTCCCTTGTGACATTCCTCCTTATATCCTGGGAGGGAGAGGAAGATACTAGCAGCAATGTCGCAGGGGCTGTACACACCCACTGTGATATTGTTCCGAATATCCCGAGGGGGAGAAAATGATGTTACTTCTAATATCGCGGGGGGTGTACATCCTCCTGTGATATTGTTTCTTATATTCGGGGGAGAGGATGATATTACTCCCAATATCGCAGGGGTTGTACATACCTCCTGCGATACAGGGAGTAAGAGCCAGCCCCTATCCCCCCCGGCTCTTAGGAGCCCCATCACAGGGCGGTGAGGCCCCCGCGATGCGGGGAGTCATATCACCCCCCTCTGGATATAACGATTCACATCGCAGGGGGGCGGGCGCCTCCGCGATGCGGGGAGTCATATCATCCCCCTCTCCCCCCGCGGATATGACGATCCACGGTGGTCACACAGCGTGTTCACGTTATTGTCAGTAATATCTTCTCCGCCTCTGGAAATTACCAACTATGTCACAGACGGGTGCACATCCTCTGCACTCTTTGGAGTAATAGCATCCTCTTTCCCCTTGATATTAAGAACAATATCACAGGAGTGTTTTTACCCCTAGGGGCATTCCGTGTAGTATCATCCTCTCCCACGTTGAAATTAGGAACAATATCACTGGGGGCGTGTCCACCCCTTGCGATATTGAAAGTAACATCATCCTCTTCTCTCCTGGATCATGGGAACCATATCACTGGGGCTGTGTACACTTTCTGCGGTATTGGGAGGAAGATCATCCTCTCCGCCTTGGAATATTAAGGACCATATCACAGTGGGGCTGTACACACCCTGTGCTATTAAGAAGAATATTATCCTCGCCTGCCCTGCACATTGGAAAAAATATCACAGAGTGGGTGTACACCTCCTGCGATGGGGGGGTGATATCATCTTCTCTTCTTCTGGATAATAGCAACAATAGTACACGGCTTTGTACACTTTCTGTGATATTGGGAGTGATATCAACCTCTCCAGCTTTGAATATTAAGAACAGTATCACAGACTGGATGTACACCCCCTGCGATATTGGGAGTCATATCAGCCTCTCCTCTCCATGGATATTAGGAATAATATCCCAGGATGGGTGTACACCTCCTGCTGTATGGGGAGTCACATCGTCCTCTCCCTTCCTGGCTGCCAGGAACAATATCAGAGGGTGGGTGTACACAGCCGGCGATATTGCGAGTAATATCACCCTCTCCCCCTCCGGATATTAGGAACAATGTCACAGAAGGGGTGTACACTTCCTGCGATACTGGGAGTAATAGCATTCTCTTCTTCCGGGAATATTAGGAGGAATATCACCGGGTGGATGAACACCCACTGCTGTCTTGGGAGTAACGTCCTACGCCATCCCCCGGAGATGATATTCGGATCAATATCACCGGGTGGGTGTACACCTACTGCGATATTGAACGTAATATCATGCTCTCTCCCTCCCTGGACATTAGGAACAATATCACCGGTGGGTGTACACCCACTGAGGTATTAGGGATAATATTCATATTAATTCTTCCTCATTTATCATTACCATGAATATGTATTACCAATATTAATATTAATATTAAGAAATCATTGCTAATAGTGTTCAGATAATTAATATTAATATTAATTATTAGGAGCTAATATGGCAGTTTTCTAATGAATAAGATCAATATCACCCTTTAATACCAGGCATCATTAATCATTAATATTAATCATTTATTGTTATCGTGAGTATAACTCTAATATGAATTATCATTCTTATCGGTATTGATTTTAAGAATTATATGATCAGTTATTAATATTGATCATTATTAGTATCAATTAATAACTGAGATTAATTGCGGCAAGTCACATTGCGCCATTCCACCCCACCCCTCCCCCGGCAGCTCATTGACGACCCAAAACGGGGATCCAAATACCCCTGAGAGAGCAGCGGTATACTGGGATAGAGGAGGATGGTCACGTGGTGGAGAGGCGTGTTTTTGTGTACCAGCCCTTCACCTCTGCCGACCTTCTCAACTGGGAGAACAATACCCCATCCTAGAGCGAAAAGCCGCAAGCCCTAATTGATTTGCTCCAAACTGTTATCCAGACCCACAAGCCCACCTGGGCTGATCGCCACCGGTTGCTCATGTTCCTCTTTAAGAGAGATGAAAGGCGAAAGGCGGAGAGGGCTCCACGCAGCAACTAAGTGGCTAGAGGAACATGCACCAGCTGATTATCAAAACCCCCAAGAGTATGGAAGGACCCAGTTACCAGGAACCCAGCCCCAGTTGGACCCACATGAAAGAGAGGATATGCAAAGGCTAAACCGAGACAGGGAAGCTCTCTTGGAAGGATTCAAGAGGGGAGCTCAGAAGGCCACAAACGTTAACAAGGTCTCTGAGGTCATTCAGGGAAAAGAAGAAAGTCCAGCACAATTCCACCAGAGACTGTGTGAGGCCTGTGGTATGTATACTCCCCTTGATCCCGATAACCCTGAAAATCAGCGCATGATTCACATGGCTTTAGTCTGTCAAAGCGCAGAAGACGTTAGAAGAAACCTGCAGAAGCAGGCTGGGCTTGCAGGGATGAATACGTCACATTGATGAGCAATAGCTAAGCAGGTGTTGGTAAACGGGGACGCAGTAAGCCGCGAGGAAAAGCGCAAAGAGAATGAACGTCAGGCCCGGCGAAACGCCGACCTGTTGGTTAGCTGCAGCAATCAGAGCGGTCCCCCCAAAGAAGCAAGGGAAGAGGTGCCCTGGGAAAGAAACTCAGCTTGGCTGTCAGAGTTTGCAGCGTAACCAGTGTGCTTATTGTAAAGAAATAGGACATTGGAAGAACAAATGCCCTGAGCTCAAAAGAAAACAAGGTGACTCAGAGCAGGAGGCCCCGGACAAGGAGGAAGGGGCCCGGCTCAACCTGGCAGAAGGGTTATTGGACTGAGGGAGACCGGGCTCAAGTGTCCCCAAAGAGCCTCTGGTCAGAATGACAGTCGGGGGTAGAGACATTGATTTTCTTGTAGATACCGGTGCTGAACATACGCTAGTAACCGCCCCGGTCGCCCCCTTATCCAGAAAGACTCTTGACATCACCGGAGCCACGGGGGCTTCAGCAAAGCTAGCTTTCTGCTTGCCTGGGACTCGTACTGTGGGAGGACATCAAGTGATTCATCAGTTTTTCTACATGCCTGACTGTCCCTTGCCCTTGTTGGGAAGGGACTTGCTTAGCAAGCTGAGAGCTGCTCTGTCTTTGACAGAACACAGCTCTTTGCTGCTAAATTTACCCGCCACGGGAGTCATTATGACCCTTACGGTCCCCCGAGAGGAGGAATGGAGACTTTTCTGAACTGAGCCGGGCCAAGAGATAAGACCAGCTCTGGCTAAGCGGTGGCCAAGAGTATGGGCAGAAGACAACCCTCCAGGGTTGGCCAGTTAAGACTGGGGCCCAGCCGCTTAGGCAAAAACAGGACCCGGTCCCCAGAGAAGCTCTTCAAGGTATCCAGGTCCATCTTAAGCACCTAAGAACTTTTGTAATGATAGTTCCTTGTCGGTCTCCACGGAACACTCCCCTCCTGCCTGTTCCCAAGCTATGGACCAAGGACTACAGGCCGGGACAGGATTTGCGCTTGCTTAGTCAAGCTACCCTGACTTTCCATCCAACAGTACCTAGCCCGTCCACATTGTTGGGGTTGCTGCCAGCTGAGGACAGCTGGTTCACCTGCTTGGACCTGAAAGACGCTTTCTTTCCTATCAGATCAGCCCCTGAGAGCCAGAAGCTGTTTGCCTTTCAGTGGGAAGATCCGGAGTCAGGTGTCACTACTCAGTACACTTGGACCGGGCTTCCCCAAGAGTTCAAGAACTCCCCCACCACCTTCGGGGAGGCGTTGGCTCGAGACCTCCAGAAGTTTCCCACCGGAGACCTAGGCTGCGCATTGCTCCGCTAGGTTGATGAGCTTTTGCTGGGACACCCCACAGCAGTCGGGTGCGCCAAGGGAAGGGATTGCCCTACGCTGACACCTGGAGGACTGTGGGTATAAGTTGTCCAAGAAAAAAGCTCAGATCTGCCGACAGCAGGTACGTTCCTTGGGGTTTACTATCTGACAGGGGGAACGCAGCCTGGGATCAGAAAGAAAGCAGGTCATTTGCCATCTAGTGGAGCCTAAGAGCAGAAGGCAGGTGAGAGAATTCTTAGGAGCTGTGGGGTTTTGTAGACTGCGGATCCCAAACTTTGCAGTATAAGCCAAGCCTTTGTATGAGGTCACAAAGGGGACGGGGACCGGGAACCTTTTGAATGGGGATCCCAACAACAGCAAGTCTTTCATGAGTTAAAGGAGAAACTTATGTCAGCCCCAGCCCTGGGGCTACCCGATCTGACAAAGCCTTTTTCATCCTATGTGTCAGAGAGAGACATAAGATGGCAGCCGGACTTTGAACCCAAACTGTGGGGCCCTGGCCGAGGCCGGTGGCCTACCTCTCTAAACAATTAGACGGGGTCTCTAAAGGATGGCCCCTGTGTTTGAGGGCCTTGGCAGCAACTGCCCTGCTAGTACAAGAAGCAAATAAGCTGACTCTTGGGCAGAACCTGAACACAAAGGCCCCCCATGCTGTGGTGACTTTAATGAATACTAAAGGACATCATGAGCCCTGTCGAGCATGATTGTGTAGAAGTGTTGGACTCAGTTGACTCTAGCAGACCCGACCTCCGGGACCAGCCTTGGGCATCAGTAGACTGGGAACTATAGGTGGACGGGAGCAGCTTTGTCAACCCCCATGGAGAGAGAGGTGCAGGGTATTCAGTGGTAACCCTGGACACTCAACAACTTGAAGCCAGATCATTGCCCCAGGCCACTTCAGCCCAGTAAGCTGAACTCATTGCTTTAATTCGGGCCTTAGAACTCAGTGAAGGTAAGACTGTCAACACTTACACTGATTCTTGGTATGCCTTTTTAAGCCTTCAAGTGCATGGAGTGTGACAGAAAGAAAAGGGCCTATCGAACTCTGGGGGAAAAGGCAGAAAATATCAACCAGAAATCTTTCATTTATTAGAAGCAGTATGGAAACCCCACAAGGTGGCAGTTATGCATTGCAGAGGACACCAGCGAGCTTCCACCTTGGTGGGCTTGGGGAATTCCCGCGCTGACTCAGAGGCTGGAAAAGCAGCATCTGCCCCTTTCTAGGCATCAGTCACAGCTCCTCTGCTCCCTCAAGCACCTGATCTTGGACCTGCTTATTCTAAAGAAGAAAAGGACTTTCTCCAGGTAGAGGGAAGGACAAGTGATGGAGGAAGGATGGATTCGGTTACCAGATGGGAGAGTAGCTGTGCCACAGCTGCGAGGAGCTGCAGTTGTACTGGCTGTGCAAGAAACCACCCATCTAGGTCAGGAGTCACTGCAAAAAGTTGTTAGGCCAGTATTTCTACATCTCGCCTTTCTCAGCCCTTGCCAAAACGGTGAGGCAGCGTTGTGTCAGCTGCCGACAGCATCATGCGAGGCAAGGTCCAGCCGTTCCGCCCGGCATACAAGCTTATGGAGCAGCCGCCTTTGAAGATCTCCAGGTAGACTTCACAGAGATGCCAGAGTGTGGAGGGAATAAGTATTTACCAGTTCTTGGGCGTACCTACTCTGGGTGGGTGGAGACCTATCCAACAAGAGCTGAGAAAGCTCGTGAAGTAACCCGTGTGCTTCTTCGAGATCTGATTCCTAGATTGGAACTGCCCTTCCGGATCGGCTCAGATAACGGGCCTGCGTTTGTGGCTGACTTGCTACAGAAGACGGCAACGGTATTGGGGATCACACGGAAACTGCATGCCGCCTCCCGGCCTCAGAGTTCCGGAAAGGTGGAGCGGATGAATCGGACTATCAAAAATAGTATTATGGTCTTCCCCGCTGGATATGTAAAACAACACCACGAGGGGTGTCAAACCACCTGCTAAATTTGAGGGAATGTTATCCTCTCCCCGCCTCCCCCTGCCCCGGATATTAGAGACAGTAACACAGGGGTAATGTACACCCACTGCTTTATTGGGAGTAATGTCATCCTCTCCCTTCTTGGATATTAGGAACAATATCACACTGTGCGTGTACGCCTGTCGCGAAATTCAATGGAATGTCATCCTGCGCCTCCCTGGATATGACGAACAATATCACGGGGGATGTACAACTTCTGAGATATTGGGAGTGATATCATCCTCTCCCCTCTGGAAGTTAGGAACAATACCACAGGGGTAGTGTACACCCTCTGGGATGTTGGGACTAATATCATCCTCCCACCCGCTGGATATTAAAAACCGTTTCACTAGGGGCGTGCACTCACACTTCGATATTGGTATTAATACCATCCTCTCCCTCTTTGGATATTCGGTGCCATATTTCAGGTGGGGTATACACCACCTGCAATACTGGAAGTAATATGATTTTCTCCCCCGCCCCGGATATCAGAAACAACATCACAGGGGGTTGTGAACCACCCCTGCGATATTTGGAGCAATTTTATCGTCTCCCCTCACGATTATTAAGAACGATATCGTAGGAGTGGGGGGTGTACACCCCCTTTCATATTTGATATCATCCTCTTCCCCCCTGGATATTAGGAACAACATCAGGAAGGGATGTCCAGACCCTGCGACCTTTGCTGTCATATAATTGTCTCTCCCTTAGATATTAGGAAAAATGTCACTGGGGATGTGAACAGCCCTGCGATATTGAGAGTAGTATCATCCTCTCCCCGCCTTGCATATTGGGAACAACATCACAGGTGGGGTGTACTGCCTCTGCGATATTGGGAGTAAAATTTTCCTCTCTTCCCCTGGACATTAGGAAGGGTATCAGAGGGGGAGGGTGCACATTCCCTGCGATATTCAACGTCACCTTATCCTCTCCCTCCCAGGGTATTCAGAACAATAGGACAGGAGGGGTGTACACCCCCTGTGATATTGAGAGTCATGTCATCCTCTTTCGCTCTGGATATTAGGAACAATATCACAGGGTTGTGTACACCCCCTGCGATATTGGGAGTAATATCATCCTCTCTCCCTGTGGATATTAGGAAGAGTATCACAGGGCTGTGTAAACCCCCTGCGGTACTGGGAGTAATATCATCCTCTCTCCCTCTGAATATAGGAAGATTTTCACAGGGGTGAGTACACCCCCTGCGATATTGGGAGTAATATCATCCTCTCCACCCAGGAAATGACTAACAAGGTCACGGGGGGGGGGTGTACCCCCCCTGCGATATTGGAAGTAATGTCGTCCTCCCCAAACCTGGATGTTAGCAACGAGATCACAGAGGGGGTGCACACACCCTGCGATATTGGAAGTAATATGATCCTCTCCCCACCTGGATACTGGGAAAGATACCACAGCGTGGGTATACGTTTCCTACGCTGCTGGGAGTAATATCATTCTTTTCCTTTCCGGATATTAGGAAGAATATCACAGGGGTGCTGTACAATTACTTCGATATTGGGAGTAATATCATCCTCTATTTTCCTGGATATTGGGCACGAAAACACAAAAGGGTGTACAACCCCTGTGATATTGGGAGTAATAGCATACTCTCCTTCCCTCGATGTTAGAAAACAATATCATCAGGGCTGAACACCCCCCCGCAATAATGGGAGTCATATTTACTCTTTCACAGGCCATTTGGAACAATATCACAGGGGGTGTTTACAAACAGGGGTGGTGTACACCCCCTGGGATATTGGGAGTAACATCATTCTCTCCACCTCCGAATATTAAGAACAATATCCCAGCGGGAGGTGGTACACCCCCAGTGATATTGGGAATAATGTCATCCTCTCCTTCCCTGGATATTCAGAACAATATCGCAGCGGGGTGTACACCTTCTGTGATATTGGAAGCAATATCATCCTCTCCCCCGCTGGATATTAGAAAAAAATATCACTCACGGTGTACACCCACTGTGATATTAGGAAGAATATTACAGGGTGTACACCCACTCTGACTTTAAGAGAAACAGCTCCCTCAGATGTCCCAAACAATATCACCGGGTATACAATGATATTTCCCTAGGATATTACAAATACTATCACAGGGTGCACACCCACTGTGATAACAGGAGTAATACATCCCAAGGATACTACCAAGAATATCACAAGGCTGTACACCCACTATGACATCAGGAGTGATATCTCCCTAGGCTATTATGAATACCATCACAGAATGTACACACACGGTGTGCACCCAAGGTGATATTAGGAGTACTATCAACCCAGGACATAACCAATAAGACCACAGGGAGTACATACATGATGTACACCCACGGTGATGTTATGAGAACTATCTCCCTAGGATAATACGAATAACATCACAGAGTGGACACACATGGTATACACCCACTGTGGCACTAGGACTAATAACTTTCCAAGATATTACCAATAGCATCACAGAATAGAAACACATGGTGTACACCCACTGTAACATTAGGTGTAATTTCTCCCTAGGATATTACGAGTAACATCTCAGTGCGTACACACATGGTGAACACCCACTGTGACATTAAGCGTAATATCCCCCTAGGATATGACCAATAACATCACAGGGTGTCCACCCATGGTGTACACGCTCTGTGAGGTTAGGGATAATAACTCCCTAGGATATGATGAATAATACCACAGGGTTTACAGAAACTGTGATATTAGAGGTAATATCTCCCTAGGATATTATGAGTAATATCACAGGGTGTACACCCACTGTGATACTGGGAGCAATATCCCTGTAGGATAGTACAAATAATATCACAGGGTGTACACCCACTGTGATATTAGGAGAAATATCTCTCTGGGATATTATGAATTATATCACAGAGTGTACACACATGGTGTACATCCACTTTGATATTAGGAGTAATATCTTCCTAGGGCATTACAAATAACATCGCAGAGTGTACACCCACTGTAATATTAGGAATCGTATCTCCCTAGGTGATTACAAATACTATCACAGGGTGTACACCTACTGTGCTATTAGGAGTAATATCTTCCCAGGTTATTACGAATAATTTCACAGTCTGTACACACATGGTGTACACTCACGGTGATATTAGGACTAATATCTACCTAGTAGATAACAAATAACATCGCAGGGTGTACACCCACTTTGGTATTAGCTGTAATATTTTTCTAAGTTGTTACAAATAAGATCACAGGGTGTACAAACATGGTGTACACTGACTGTGATATCAGGAGTCGTATCTCCGTAAGATATTATGAATAATATCACAGGGTGTACACCCACTGTATTATTAGGAGTAATATCTCTGTAGGATATTACAATTAATATCACAGGGTGTACAGCCACTGTGATATTAGGAGCAATATCTTTCTAGGATGTTACAAATAATATCACAGGGTGTAAGCCCGCTCTGCTGTCAGGAGCAATATCTCCCTAGGATATCAAAAATCCTATCACAGGGTGTCCAATCTCTGCCTTCCAGGTTCTAAGGGATTCACCTGCTTCAGCCTCCCGAGTAGCTAGGCTTACCTGCCACCCTCGGCTAATTTTTTTTAAATTTTCACTGGAGACAGGGTTTCACCACGTTGGCCAGGCTGGTCTGGAACTCCTGACCTCAGGTGATCCATCAGCCTCGGCCGCCCAAAGTGCTGGGATTTCAGGTGTGAGCCATGGCGCTCGGCCAAGAGTTATATATTCAATTCATTTGGAAACACAGCTCCCATATTTGAGTGTGCATGTACTTTTGTGAAGAAACGATGTCAGAAAACCTAAGGATGATAATAAATATGAAAAGTCACAGGCAGGTGAAAAGGTGTTCTGATTGAGAACTATAAGGTTCGATTTCGTTTTTAGATAATGCGGTCCTAGCTCTTGTGTCGTCCTTTTACATACTCTACATCAAAGGAATTTGTAGCACGGTGTCAGAATAAAATAGAGTGTATTTCACGGCTTCTTAATTTCTTTCAATTAGACTGAGATCTTTTTCTTAAAGAGAGAAGGACATTTTCATTGCATTGTATTTTTTCTGAAAAGAGTAGGCAGTATTTTACTGAGATCACGGATTTGTTATACATGACGTTTTGGTCTTCTAATATTCTTCAGTGGATTTTCTCTAAAGTAGTATGTACCGAAAGACTTGTATAGCAAAAAAGTAAATCACATAATAATTCTGAGATTTTTGGAATTGTCACAACTGAGAAACATTGCTGGCGGTGTATGGTCCGCAAGTGTGAAAATGTTCCTTGTGAATTGCTTGCATCCAAAATATACACACAGCATTAAGGGCTGGTTTTTATCTTTTATTTTCCCAATCCTCTTTCCTTCTCAAGGTGTCCAAGACACACAGAGCCACTGAATCTCACAGGTGTCTGAGAATTCCTCCTCCTGGGACTCTCAGAGGATCCAGAACTGCAGCCGGTCCTCGCTTTGCTCTCCCTGTCCCTGTCCATGTATCTGGTCACGGTGCTGAGGAACCTGCTCAGCATCCTGGCTGTCAGCTCTGACTCCCACCTCCACACCCCCATGTACTTCTTCCTCTCCAACCTGTGCTGGGCTGACATCGGTTACACCTCGGCCACGGTTCCCAAGATGATTGTGGACACGCAGTCGCATGGCAGAGTCATCTCTCATGCTGGCTGCCTGACACAGATGTCTTTCTTGGTCCTTTTTGCATGTATAGAAGACATGCTCCTGACTGTGATGGCCTATGACTGCTTTGTAGCCATCTGTTGCCCTCTGCACTACCCAGTCATCGTGAATCCTCACCTCTGTGTCTTCTTCGTTTTGGTGTCCTTTTTCCTTAGCCTGTTGGATTCCCAGCTGCACAGTTGGATTGTGTTACAATTCACCATCATCAAGAATGTGGAAATCTCTAATTTTGTCTGTGACCCCTCTCAACTTCTCAAACTTGCCTGTTCTGACAGCGTCATCAATAGCATATTCATATATTTTGATAGTACTATGTTTGGTTTTCTTCCCATTTCAGGGATCCTTTTGTCTTACTCTAAAATTGTCCCCTCCGTTCTAAGGATGTCATCGTCAGATGGGAAGTATAAAGCCTTCTCCACCTGTGGCTCTCACCTAGCAGTTGTTTGCTGATTTGATGGAACAGGCATTGGCATGTACCTGACTTCAGCTGTGGCACCACCCCCCAGGAATGGTGTCGTGGAGTCAGGGATGTACGCTGTGGTCACCCCCATGCTGAACCTTTTCATCTACAGCCTGAGAAACAGGCACACACAAAGTGCCCTGCGGAGGCTGCGCAGCAGAACAGTTGAATCTCATGATCTCTTGCATCCTTTTTCTTGTGTGGGTGAAAAAGGGAAACCACATCAAATCTCTACATCTGCAAATCCTGCCCCTTGGTCACATTATTTTTGTGGCTTGACGGCTTTTATTCCTTTCCGCATTTCCTTTGTGAATATTGCTTTCTTCGTTATGCCTTTCACTGGAATGGGTGAGTATTCTGGGATCCTTTGTTCAGCAGAAACCTCATGACAGAATCCTCTATACCTAGGCGGCCTCTTTTAGTTTCTGAGCAATAACCCTGTCATCCAGGTGGAATCACAACCATCTTTTTATATACATGAAGTCCTCACTTCATTTTGGAATTCCCTGAAAACTGACTTTATGGAAACAATGTACAAGAGGTCCTCCAACACCATTGGTTGTTCAAAGTTGTGTAGTTATACTGTTGATGAAAAATAAGTGGTTTCACTATACATAACTTTGCTTCAAGGTGAAGTTTCCAAGAGACTTTCAAAGATGTTAAGTGAGGACATACTGTACATCAAATTCATAACCTCTTCCACAGTTCATGTGGAATTTCTTTATAAACTGCTTCTAGAGAATCTATTTAGGCAGGTTGTGTGTAGAGATCCATGTCGCCGTTCCTCAATCTTGGCTTTGAGTCAAATCACCTGGGGAGCTTACAAATGATGAGGCCTGGGTCTCGATACCTGAGATTCTGATTTCCTTGCACCTGTGTGAGTATGTGGATTTTTTTTTTTTTCCTTTAAAGCACCAGAGGTGGTTCCAATGACGAAGTTTTTAGAGGCATCAAGCTCCAATGAGTAAGAACAGAAATTAACTGTAATATGATTTCTTCAAATATTATCTTCAAATGCGTTGTCCATCAACACCATACAATGTGTATTATGCTGTTTTTTTCTTACCATTTCGCATTTTCTATCTCTTTCTTTTCCTTTTTTTTTTTGAGTCAGAGTTTCACTCTTGTTGCTCAGGCTGGAGTTCAATGGCACGGTCTCGGCTCATTGCAACCTCTGCCTCCCGTATTCAAGCGATTCTCCTGTCTCAGCCTTCCAAGTAGCTGGTATTACAGGCATGCGCTACCATGCCTGTCTAATTTTTTTTTTTTTTTTGTATTGTTAGTAGAGACAATTTCTCCATTTTGGTCAGGCTGGTCTTGAACTCCCGACCTCAGGTGGTCCGCCCGCTTCCACCTCCCAATGTTTTGGGATTACAGGCGTGAGCGACCGCGCCCAGCCACCACTTAGCATTTACATTTTACATTTGTTGAAGTTATAGATTTATACACACATTGATTGCTGCTTTGTTATACACTTGCACATACATAAGATGGGAAATAGAAAAGAATAAAATGGGCACAGTATCCCTGAAGTTTCACATTCCGAGACATTTTAAAAACATTAGCTCTTTAGAAATTTGTTTCGATTAAGAAACTGTGGTATACACACCCAATGAAGTATTATTCAGCCTAAAAAGGAAGAAAATCCTCTCCGCTGCAGAGAAAATGGATGAGATTGCAGGTCTGTATATTAAATGAAAGAAGCCAGGCACAGAATGACAAATATTTCATGTCCTCACTTCTATGTAGGAAGAAAAAAGGAAACCTTGGCCAGGTGCGGTGGCTCAGGCCTGTAATCCCAGCACTTTGGGAGGCCGAGTCGCACGGATCATTTGAGGCCAGGAGTTCGAGACCCGCCTGGCCAACATGGTGAAACCCCGTCTCTACGGAAAACACAAACAATTAGCCGGGCGTGGTGACGCGTGCCTGTAGTCTCAGCTACTCGGAGGGCTGAGGCCCAAGAAGCGCTTGAACTCGGGAGGCGGAGGTTGCAGTGAGCCCGGACTGTGCCTGTGTACTCCAACCTGGGCAACAGAAAGAGACTCCATCACACACCTACACACAAAAGGAATCTCAGGAAGGTGGAAAGTATAAAGGTGGTTAGCAGACGCTAGGAAGAAAAAGGGGTGGGATGGGGAATGAAGAGAAGTGGATAATTGGGTCCCAAAATACACAAAGATGGAATAAGTGAGTTCCAGTGTTTGATAGCACAGTATGGAAATTTTAGTTCACAAGAATTTCTTGCATATTTCCAGATGCTTTGGTAAGAAGCTTCCTAATTTCCTAAGAGCCAGCGGGGGCCGCGGGGAGCGCCTCGTCCCCTGGGATGGGGGTCCTAAGAGCCAGGGGGGGAAGCGGGGCTGGCTCTTACTCCCCGCACCGCTGAGGGCGCCTCGCCCCCCTGCCATGAGGATCGTCATATCCAGGGTGGGATTGGGGGGTGATATTATTCCCCGAATCGCGGGGGGTGCCTCACCCCCCCGTCCATGTGGATCGTCATATCCAGGGTGGGAGTGGGGCATGATATTACTCCCAGAATCGCGGGGGGTGCCTCACCCCCCTGCTATGGGGATCGTCATGTCCAGGGTGGGAGTGGAAGGTGATATTACTCCCCGAATCGCGGGGCCCCCGCCCCCATGCGATGTGAATCGTAATATCCATGGGGGGAGAGGGCGGTGATATTACTCCCCGATTTTTCCTAGGATCCTTTCTAAACTGCCACCCTCCGTTTACACCCTGCGACATTATCTTCCATATTGTAGCAACATGCAGCTGCTAAAGTCGCAGGGGGTGTACACCCTTCAATATTATTCGTAATTTTCTAGGGGAAAGTTAAACCTCATGTCACAGGACTCTGTACACTGTGATGTCATCCCAATATCCTAGCTTTATCTTAATAATAATGTCACATTGTGTGTACACCTTGTGGTGTTATTCTTATTCTCCTAAGTGGAGGTTGTTTTATTGTTACAGGGGATATTTTCCTTTTGATATTATTCGTAATGTCCTAGAGGGATGTCACCCGTTATGTCACAGGGTTTGTACACCTTGTCAAATTACTCGTATTATCCTCATAAGATGTCACTCCTCATATCACAGAGGGTGTACATTCTGTGACATTGTCGTCATATTCTAGGGAAATGTCACTTTTAATGTCACAGAAGGTGCACACCTTCTGAAATTATTCGTTATAATTTTGTGGGGTGTTACCCCTAATGTCACACGGCGTGTACACACAGTGATGTTACGTGCAATATGCTGTGGAAATGTTGCTCGTAATTCACAGGTCCTGTTCACCCTTTAATATTATTTGTACTCTTCTAGGAAAACGTTACTGCTAATGTCACAGGGCGTGTAGACCCTGTTATAAAATTCCTAATATCCCAGCGGGAGTTCACTACTAATTGCACAATGCGTGTAGACCCTTTGATATTATTCGTATTGTCCTGAAGAGATGTTACTACTGACGTCCCAATGCAGGTACATTCTCTGATCTTATTGGTTATATCCTCGGGGGGTGTTACTTCTAATGTCACACAGGGTGTACTCCCTGTGTTCTATTTCGTAATATCCTAGGGCAATTTTACTCCGAATGACACAGGGGGTGTACACATTGTGATATTATTTGTGATAGTCTAGAAAGATGGTGCTCCTAATGTCACAGGGCTGTACACCCTGTGATAGTATTCATAATGTCCCAGGGGTCTATACTCCTATTGGCACAGACGATAACACCCTGTGACTCTATTCGTAATATTCTAGTGAGATAATACTTCTCATGTCACAGAGGGTGTACACCCCATGTTATTATTCTTACTATTCTAGGGGGATGTTACTCCTAATGTCACAGGGATGTACAACCTGTGATATTATTCATAGTGTACCTGAGGGATATTAGCACTAATGTCACAATGTGTGTACACCTTGTGATATTATTTGTCGTATCCTAATGCCACAGGGGGTGTGTTCCGTGTGATATTCTTCCTAGCATCCTAGACGGATATTGCTCCTAACGTCACAGGGTGTGTACACCTTGTCACATCATTCACAATATCCTAAAACTACTTTATTCCTCCGGTCACAGAGGGTGTTCACCCTGTGATATTTTTCATCATAGCTTTGTGGGATGTTACTCCTAAAGTCACACGGGGTGTACACAGAGTCACACAGTGATATGAGCTGTAATATTCTATAGACATGTTAATCGTAAATCACAGGGGCTGTACCTCCTGTGATATTATTCATAATATTCTAGGGGAATGTTGCTACTATTGTCACGGGGGTGTACACCCTGTGATGTGACTCGTCATATCCCAGCGGGATGTTACTACTAATGTCACAATGCCTGTATACCCTGTGATATTATTTGTAATATCCTAAAGAGATGTTACTACTAAGGTCACAATGCATGTACACCCTCTGATATGATTCGTTATATCCTCGGGGGATGTTACTCCTAATGTCACATGGGGTGTACTCCCTGTCATATTATTCGTAATATCCAAGGGGGAGGTTATTTTTAATGTCACTGGGGGTGACATTACACATTAAAAATGCGTATTCAACACCTGTGATACTATCCCTAATATCCTAGGGGTATGCTCTTCCGAATGTCACATGGGGTGTACACCATGTGTGTACACGTGCTGTGATATTATTCGTAATATCCTAGGGGAACGTTACTCCTGATGACACAGGCAGTGTACACCATGTGTGTACCCCTCCTGTGTTATTATTCATAATATCCTAGGGGGATGTTTCTTTGAATGTCACAAAGAGTGTACAAAACGTCACAGGAAGTGTACACGTTGTGACGTTATCTGTAATACCCTAGAAGGATGTTACTCCTAATATGTCACAGGGGTGTACACGCTTTGATGTTATTTATAATCTCCTAGAGAGATATTACTTCAAATATCACAGTGGATGTACACACATAGTGTATACCCTGTGATGGTATTCATAATATCCTAGGGAGATACAACCCCTGATATCACAGTGCGTGTACCCCGTGTGTGTACACCCTTGATATTAGTCGTACTATCCAGGGTAAATATTACTCCTCATATCACACAGTGTGCACACCCTGTGATATTTTTCATCCTACTTTAGGGAGATATTGCTTCTAATATCACAGTGGGTGTACCCCATGTGTGTATACTCTGTGACAGTATATTTTATATCCTAGGGAGGTATTACTCCTAGTATCACAGTGGGTGTTCACCCTGTGATATCATTCTTATTTCATCATGCAGCCTTTTTCGACCCACACTGCAAAAGGAATGGAACAGATAAGAAGGTATTGAGATTAGAACGTGCTGCCGTGCGGCCGCCGCAGGACACTTTTCATATCCCTGTTTCTCGGACTGTAGATGAAGGGGTTCATCATGGGGGTGACCACTGCGTACATCACTGAGGCCACTGCAGTCTTTCTCGGGGAAGATGACACATCTGAACTGAGGTACCCTCCAACGCCTGTTCCATAAAATCAGGAAACATCTGACAGGTGAGACCCATAGGTGGAGAAGGCTTTATACTTCCCACCTGATGATGAAACCCTCAGAATGGAGGAAACAATTTTATCGTAAGAGAAAAGTGTCCCCGAGATGGGAAGAAAACCAAATATGGCATCAGGGAAATACAGGATTATGTTATTGTTGAAGGTGTCACAACATGCAAGATGGGGGAGTTGAGAAGGGTCACAGAAGAAATTAGGAATTTCCACATCCTTGAAGCAGGTCATTTGTAAGGCAATCAAATTGTACAGCTGGGCATCTAAAAGACTGAGGGAAAAAAAAAAGACAACAAAAGTAGAAAGCCACAGAAACACGGGTTCATGATGGCTGAATGATATAGAGGGTGACATTTGGCTACAAACTGGTCATAGGCCATCACACTCAGGAGTATGTCTGTCTTCCATGCCTCCAAAAATGGCAAAGAGAGACATCTGAGTCAGGCAGCCTGCATAGGAGATGACTCTGCTGTGAGATTGGATGTCCACAGTCATCTTGGGGACTGTGGTGGAGGTGAAACTGATGTCAGGCAAGGACAGGTTGGAGAGGAAGAAGTACATGGGGGTGTGGAGGTGGGAGTCAGGGCTGATGGCCAGGATGATGAGCAGGTTCCCCAGCGCCATGACCAGGCACGTGGACAGGAACAGCCCAGTGAGGACCGGCTGCCGTTCTGGATCCTCTGAGCTTCTAGGAGGAGGAATATAGAGACATCTGTTAGATTCTGTGGGTCTCTAGAGATTGGACACCTTTTGCCTAGAAAAGAGGGTTGAGAAATTGGAAACAAGTAAAGCAACACCCAGCATCATGTCTGCATTTTGCATAGAAGCAATTCACAAGTCATGTTTTCAGATTTCAGAGCAATCCACACTCAGCAATAGTTTGCAGTGCTGACAAACTCAGTTGTCTTCTAATGCTTTCATCATTGATTTCTGTGTTCTTCACTTCTTGCTCTACACACCTGCCTTAGAGACACTAGATTCAAGAATCTTCCAAGAACCAAATCATCCTATATAAGAAGTTCGTCATTGCTAGAAAATACAGCCTATCTTTTCCGAAGAAAACGATGTAATGAAACCATTCTCTTCACTTTAAGAAAAAGGTTATCCTAATGAAAGGAAATTAAGAACTCAAATATTTTATTTTATTCGAATAGATTGATACAAATTCCCTTGATTTAGAACATCTGTAAACACTGTATAACTGCTGAGACCATGCCATCTGGAAATGAAATTAAAGTTGATGGTTCATAAGCAGAAAATAGTTCCACAGGCCAGGTGGGTCCCAGTGATTTCATCATTACGTTTTCTGACTTTTCTCCTTCAAGAGAGTAATTGCTTCCTCAAATCAGTGGGTCTTGTTTTAAAATTCATGGAAGCTATAACTCCTATCCTTAGCTTAGGTGGACTTAGAGTTTTCATCAGAACGTTTGGCCGGACGCGGTGGCTCACGCCTGTGATACCAGCACTATGGGAGGCCGAGGAGGGCGGATCACGAGGTCAGGAGATCAAGACCACCCTGGCCAACATGGTGAAACCCCGCCTCTACTAAAAATACGAAAACTTCGCCCGGTATGGCGGCGTGTGCCTGTAGTCCCAGCTACTCGGGAGGCTGAGGCAGGAGAATGGCTTGAAACTGGGAGGCAGAGGCTACTGTGAGCCGAGATCACACCACTGCACTCCAGCCTGGGCAACAGGAGCAAAACTCCATCTCAAAAAACAAAAAACCAAAAACACACGCTCTGTCACACTGACGTCACACTGATGACAGCCAATTTTTGTGAACCAAGGAAGTGTCAATTCAATAATCAGCATAGATGTTTACTTTGGCTATCTCCTATGTGCCAAGCAAGATATAGGCTCTGGGGAATCAGAAACAAAAGAGACTCAATTGTTCCTCTCACAATACTCAGTACTTACTGAGACAAGGACAAAATAAGATGTCCTGTCTGGAATGCAGGGACACAAGAACTTCAGGTCAGGGGATATTTCCGTTGAACCGTTTGGAGTTTAAGCTGAAAATATTAACGAATGTATCTAAAGTTCACTTTGCCTTGACTTTATGCATCCATCACATAGAGATCACGCAGCGGGCACCCACTATGGGTTTCATCATCGCTCACTTCCCTTGGATCAACTAGAAATCAACTCAGATGAGAGTGCTGAGTCTCAGAGGATGGACGTCTCACTCCTTGCCATACAGATAAGTAGAAAGGGTGGTATTGAAATTAATGGCCAGACTCTAAGTCCCGGGCACTATACTTGATGGTCTCCCAACCCTCAAAATGTTGTGGGTTCTTTTTTGTTTTTGAGACGGAGTCTCATTCTGTTTCCCAGGCTGGAGTGCAGTGGAGCGATCTCGGCTCACTGCAACCTCCGCATCCCAGGTTCAAGCTATTCTCTTGCCTCAGCCTGCCGAGTAGCTGAGATTTCAGGCGCCCGCCACTACGCCTGGCTTATTTTTTTCTCTTTTTAGGAGAGACGGGGTTTCACCGTGTTGGCTAGGCTGGTCTCGAACACCTGACCTTGTGATTTGCCTGCCTCAGCCTCCCAAAGTGCTGGGATAACAGGCGTGAGCCACCACGCCCAGCTTCAAAAGTTTTCAACAGAGCTCAGAGGTCTTAACCACAGGCACATCCGAGGAGCATTTTTGAAATGGTTTCCAGCTTCCTCAATAGGAATGGAAGCCAAACCCGGAACTGATGGCTCCTTGGAGGAAGTCGAGAGCTGTAAGGAAAGCCAGGAACAGGGGCAAGGGAGAGATGCATCCCGAATGATCCTGTGCCAATTCTTTCTGGAATCTTTGATGTGATCTCCGCTGCCCTTTCCATACTTGACACAGTGATTGTGGCACCCACTGGTCTAGCTGTGGTCTACAAGGAACCCCCAAAGGGAAGGGCACAGTGAGCAGGGGCATCGGCCTGAGTGACAAGGATTGGAGGGGGCAGGTTGGATGCAGGGAGAGGACTGGCCAAATGCCATGTGTCTGGCTTAGACTACCTTGTTCAAATTGGGCTTCACCATTTTTGACTTCGTGATCTGGTACAAGTTATATGAAAATGTGTTGCTCCTTTTCTAGTCTGTAAAATCATAAGGAAATGTGCACTAATAACTGGGAGACTATGCAGATGAAATGAAACAAGCTGCATAGAACACAGAGCTCAGAGCCTGGCCTTTAGGAAGCCCTCAGTAAGGGTTCATGATGCCATGGTGTCTGTCATCATCCTCTTTATCCTCATCATCACCTTCATCATCTTTTTGTTGTTCTGAGGGCATACTTTAGAGGGACTCATTCCCTGCTCTCATGGGTGAGATGTCTATGAAGAGGACAACCAGTGGGGGAGGGAAGCAAAATTTTGAAGAAGATTCCTGAGAGAGATCCCCCACCACAACCAAGAACAGAAACTCCACAGTCTGCTGAGCTGACAGTTTGCACATTGGTCTCCTCCCATCTGCCCACGGCACTCTCCCGTTTGTCCTGAAGATGAGGAAACAAACAAGGCTCCCGACCGTCCCTCAGCACTCACTGAACGGCCCTTCCCCTCTGCTGGGCCATGACCACGGAGAACAGGTCCACTGTCCTCCCTGAGTGGTGCACATGGGAGGCTCAGACTCCGTCCTCAAGGCTGGTAAGAAGACAGGGTGAGACATGAGCCTCCTGATACAGGTGACGGGTGTGGAGCCCACAGGACTGCAACCTCACACTGCAGGGCTGGAGGCACAGACTGAGTATTTCCTATTCTATGGCCTGGGGGGCTCAAGGCACAGAGCTCCTCATTAGCCAGAGTCGCCCATGTTCCCCATGCTCTAAGGATTTCCTCATCATCATGCAAGAAGAAGAATAGAAAAGTAAGTGTCCATAGAAGCTTTGGGGCTCTTCCTCTAATCAGGAGAGAGCTTGTGTGTATTATTTGCTTTTTTCTTTTACAAGATCCAAGTGCTTTAATTTTCATCTTTTATTATGGGAAAATATACCACGTATAAATCCTAAAAATTATAAATATAGATTATTTCATATAGAATGGCCAGTATGAACATTTATAATTTCCACTATTTTTCAGTTTAGAGTTTAATCACATTAGGTACATTCACATTGTTTAGCAACCATCACCGCCATCATCTCCAGAACAGTTTTATCCTTGAAAATGGAAATTGCACCCATTAACCAAACTCTCCATTCCTCTCCCTCTCACCCACCCCTGGGGGCCACCATTCTATTTTGCAGCTCTATAAGTTTAACTACTCTAGACACGTGATATAAGTGGAATCATACCGTGTTTAATTTTTTTGGTTTGTTTGTTTTGGAGACAGAGTCTTTCTCTGTCACCCAGGCTGGAGTGCAGTGGTGTGGTCTCGGCTGACTGCAACCTCCACATCGTGGGTTCAAGCGATTCTTGTGTCTCAGTCTCCCGAGTAGCTGGGATTACAGGCATGCGCCACCACGCCCAGCTAATTTTTGTATTTTTAATAGAGACGAGCTTTCACCATATTGGCCAGGCTGGTCTCGAACTCCTGACCTTAAGTGATCCGCCTGCCTCGGCCTCCCAAAGTGCTGGGGTGACAGGTGCGAGCCACTGAGCCTGGTCATGTTTATCCTTTTGGGATTTATTTATTTCACTGAGGAGAATGTCTTCAAGGTTCATCCGTGTTGCAGCCTGTGTCAGAAGTGCCTGTCTGGTTGTTTGGGTGTTTTTTTGTTTTGTTTTGTTTTGTGTTTACATGGAGTCTCACTCTGTTGCACAGGCTGGAGTGCAGTGGCACAATCTGGGCTCACTGCAACCTCCGCCTCCCGGGTTCCAGCGATTCTTGTACCTCAGCCTCCCAAGTAGCTGGGACTATAGGCACACGCCACCACGCTCGTCTAATTTTGTGCATTTTCAGTAGAGACAGGGTTTCACCAAGATGGCCAGGCTGGTCTTGAATTCCTGACCTCAGGTGATCCGCCCACCTCGGTCTTCCAAGATGCTGGGATTACAGGCGTGAGCCACCGCACCGGCCAGAAGTGCCTGCATTTTTATGGCTGAATAGTCTTCCGTTGTATGAATGAACTGCACTGTGCTTTTTCATTCACCTGCCCATGAACCCTTGGGTTGCTTCCACATTTTGGCTGTTTTGAGTAACGCTGCTATGAATATGGGTGTACAAATCTCTCTTCCACTCCTGGCTTCTAATTCTTTTTGGCAGGTACCCACAAGTGCAACTGTGGGAACATCTGATAATCCTGTTTCTACTTTTTCCAGTACATGCCATAGTATTTTCCCCATTCCTTCACGGTTTTACATTCCCTCCAATCAGATTCGAGCATTCCTACTTCCCTTTAGTTTCACCAATGCTTGTTTCTTTATCATATCCCTCCTAATGTGTGGTATCACATTCTTGGTTTGATTTGCGCTTCCCTGTGGTTCGTGATTTTGAACATCATTTTAGACGCTTATTGGCCATTGTTATATCTTGTTTAGGGACACGTGTACTCGAGTCTTCTGACCATTGTTAATGGGGTGCTTTGGGTTTCTTGTTGTTCAGTTCTAGCTGTTCTTTGTATATGATGCATATCAGCCTCTTTTCAGAGATAAGATTTGCAAATCTTTTTCCTAATCCATGGGTTATCTTTTCACTCAGTTCACAGTGTTTGCTGATGCACAAAAGTGTCTGTCATTTAGATGTCATCCAAGGAATCTAATTTTCTTTTGTTGCCTATGCTTTTGGTGTCGTATCCCAGAAAGCATTGCCCAATCTGATGTCATGAAAGTGTGGCCAATGTTTTCTTTGAGGCATATTATACTTTCAGCACTTGGGGTGAGGTCTTTGATCCAGTTTGTGTTAATTTTTGCACCTGGTGTGACATAGAGTCCACCTTCATTCTTCTGCATGTGGAAATCAAGTTTCTCCAACACCATTTCTTGAAAAGGCTGCTTTTCCACCAATGGACTTTCTTAGCACTCATGTTAAAAATCATTTGAACATATAGGGGAGAAGTTATTTCTGGGCTCAAAAACAAATAAACAACAGACAACAGATAAGGATACAGCATGGGCCAGGCGCGGTTGCTCACACCTGTCATCCCAGCCCTTTGGGAGGCCGAGGTGTTTGGATCACCTGAGGTCAGAAGTTCAAGACCAGCCTGACAGACAGGAAGAAACTGCTGTCTCTACTACAAATACAACATTAGCTGGGCGTGCTGGGGCATGCCTGTAATCCCAGCTGCTCAGGAGATGGAGGCAGGAGAATCGCTTGAACCCAGGAGGCAGAGGTTGTGGTGAGCCAAGATTGCACCATTACACTCCAGCCTGGGAAACAAGAGCGAAACTCTGTCTCAAAACAAAAAACCAAAAACAAAAAATCCAGCATGATTTCGAGAGCAGAAAGAGAATAGCTGAAAAACGAGCATAATGAGACAGTTAGGAAGCTTCTTACCAAAGCATCTGGAAATATGCAAGAAATTCTTGTGAACTAAAATTTTCATACTGTGCTTTCAAACACTAGAAGTCACTTGTTCCATCTTTCTGTATTTTGGGACCCAATTATCCACTTCTCTTCATTCCCCATCCCACCCCTTTTCTTCCTAGCGTCTGCTAACCACCTTTATACTTTCCACCTTCCTGAGATTCCTTTTGTGTGTAGGTGTGTGATGGAGTCTCTTTCTGTTGCCCAGGTTGGAGTATACAGGCACAATCTGGGCTCACTGCAATCTCCGCCTCCCAAGTTCAAGCGCTTCTTGGGCCTCAGCCCTCCGAGAAGCTGAGACTACAGGCACGCGTCACCACGCCCGGCTAATTATTTGTGTTTTCAGTAGAGACAGGGTTTCACCATGTTGGCGAGGCAGGTCTCAAACTCCTGGCCTCAAGTGATCCGTGCGACTCGGCCTCCCAAAGTGCTGGGATTACAGGCCTGAGCCACCACACCTGGCCAAGATTTTCTTTTTTGTTCCTACATAGAAGTGAGGATATGAAATATTTGTCATTCTGTGCCTGGCTTATTTCATTTAATATACAGACCTGCAATCTCATCCATTTTGTCTGCAGCGGAGAGGATTTTCTTCCTTTTTAGGCTGAATAATACTTCATTGTGTGTGTATACCACAGTTACTCAATTGAAACAAATTTCTAAAAAACAAATATTTTTAACATGTCTCGGAAGGTGAAACTTGAGGGATACTGTGCCCATTTTATTCTTTTCTATTTCCCGTCTTATGTATACGCAAGTGTATAACAAAGCGGCAATCAAAGCGTGTATAAATCTATAATTTCAACAAATGTAAAATGAAAATTCTAAGTGGTGGCTGGGTGTGGTTGCTCACGCCTGTAATCCCAGAATATTGGGAGGCGGAAGCGGGCGGATGACCTGAACCTGTGAGTTCAAGACCATCCTGACCAATATGCAGAACCACTGTCTGTACTAAAAATACCAAAAAAAAAAAAAAAAGAAAAAGAAAAAATTAGCGGGGCATGGTAGCACATGCCTGTAATCCCAGCTACTTGGAAGGCTGAGACAGGAGAATCGCTTGAATACGGGAGGCAGAGGTTGTAGTGAGCCGAGATCGTGCCATTGCACTCCAGCCTGGGCAACAAGAGTGAAACTCTGCCTCAAAAAGAAAAAAAAAAAAAAAAAAGAAAAAGAAAAAAATAGAAAATGCTAAATGGTAAGAAACAACAGCATAATAAACATTTGTATGGTGTTGATGGACAATGCATTTGAAGATAATATTTGAAGAAATCATATTACAATTAACTTCTGTTCTTACTCATTGGAGCTTGATGCCTCTGAAAACTTCGTCACTGCAACCACCTCTTGTACTTAAAAAAAAAAAAAAAAAAATCCACATACTCACACAGGTGCAAGGAAATCAGAATCTCAGGTATTGAGACCTAGGCCTCATCATTTGTAAGCTCGCCAGGTGATTTGACTCAAAGCCAAGATTGAGGACCGGTGACATGGATCTTACACATAACCTGCCTAAATAGATTCTCTAGAAGCAGTTTATAAAGAAATTCCACATGAACTGTGGAAGAGGATATGAATTTGATGTACAGTATGTCCTCACTTAACATCTTTGAAAGTCTCTTGGAAACTTCACCTTGAAGCAAAATTAGGTTAAGTGAAACCACTTATTCCTCACCAACATTATAACTACACAACTTTGAACGCACAAATGGTGTTGGAGGACCTGCTGTACATTGTTTCCATAAAGTCAATTTTCAGGGAATTCCAAAATGAAGTGAGGACTTCACGTATATAAAAAGATGGTTGTGATTCCACCTGGATGACAGGGTTATTGCTCAGAAACTAAAGGAGGCCGCCTAGGTATAGAGGATTCAGTCATGAGGTTTCTGCTAAACAAAGGATCCCAGAATACTCACCCATTCCAGTTAAAGGCATAACGAAGAAAGCAATATTCACAAAGGAAATGCGGAAAGGAATAAAAGCCATCACGCCACAAAAATAATGTGACTAAGGGGCAGGATTTGCAGATGTAGGTATGTAATGTGGTTGCCCTTTCTTACCCACACAAGAAAAAGGATGCAAGAGATCATGAGATTCGACTGTTCTGCTGCGCAGCCTCCGCAGGGCGCTTTGAATGTCCCTGTTTCTCTGGCTGTAGATGAAAAGGTTCAGCATGGGGGTGACCACAGCGTACATCACTGACGCCACGACACCATTCCTGGGGGGTGCTGCCACAGCTGAAGTCAGGTACACGCCAATGTCTGTCCATAAAATAAGCAAACAACTGCCAGGTGAGAGCCACAGGTAGCGAAGGCTTTATACTTCCCATCTGACGATGAAATCCTTAGAATGGAGGGGCGCCCGCCCCACTGCGATGTGGATCGTCATATCCAGGGGGGAGAGGGGGGTGATATGACTCCCCGCATCGCGGGGGCCTCACCCCCTTGTGATGGGGGTCCTAAGAGCCAGGGGGGGATAGGAGCTGGCTCTTACGCCTCGTACTGAGGGGCGGGGGGGGGCTCACCGCCCTGTGATGGGGCTCCTAAGAGCCAGGGGGGAAAAGGGGCTGGCTCTTACTCCCCGTATCGCAGGAGGTATGTACAACCCCTGCGATAATGGGAGTAATATCATCCTCTCCCCCTGAATATAAGAAACAATATCACAGGAGGATGTACACCCCCTGAGATATTGGAAGTAACATCATTTTCTCCCCCTCGGGATATTCGGAACAATATCACAGTGGGTGTGTACAGCCCCTGCGACATTGCTGCTAGTATCTTCCTCTCCCTCCCAGGATATAAGGAAGAATGTCACAAGGGAGTGTACACCCCCTGCGATATTGGCTGTAATATCTTCCTCTCCCTCGCTGCCCTTTAGGAGCAATGTCACACAAGGGGTGTACACCCCCTGCTATATTGGGAGTGATATCATCCTCTCCGTCTCTGGATATTAGGAACAATATCCCTAGGGAGTGTACACCTCCTGCAGTATTCAGACTAATATCATCCTCTCGCCGCCTGGAGATTAGGATCAATATCACAAGGGTGGTGTGCACCCCCGGCGAAATTGGAAGAAATATCATCCTCTCCACCTTTGGATGTTAGGGACGGTATCACGGGGAGGTCTCCACCCCCTGTGATATTGGGAGTCCTATCATCCGCTCCCACCCAGGATATTAGGAACAAGATGACCGAAGGGATGTACACCCACTGCGCTATTTTCAATAATGTCATCCTCTACCCCCTGACTATTAGGAGTAACATCGTAGAGGGGTGTACACTTTCTGCGATATTGGGAGTACTATCCTCTCCCCTACGGATATCGGGAAGTTATAGTAATTATTAATATTAATAAATATAATAACAATTAATAGTAATCACCGATATTAATAATTACAGTAGAGACAGTAAAACTTAGTAAGGATGAAAAATATTAACGGTTACTATTAATAATTAATAGCAATATCACTATTAATAATAAAATAATGATATCACTAATGTTACTTCAATCAATCATAATTGATGTTGGTAATAAAACAATAATTACTATTAAGATTAATAACTAATATTAAAAGTGACATTAATATTAATATTTAATTTTAATCATGCATAATCATATCTTGAAAATAATCATTAATGATTAATAATGTTATACTGTTAATTAATATTACCATTGACAATTATTAATAAGACCGATGTTTAATAATTCATAATATTACTGCTAATACCGCAGGGGGTGTACACCTACCTGTGATATTTTTCCTAATATCCAGGGATGGAGAGCATGATATTAGTTTTCATATCGCAGTAGGTGTACACTCACCCTGTGACACCGATCCTAATATCCAGGGGGTAGAGTATGACATGACTCCCAACATAGCAATGAATGTACAGCCACCCGGTGATATTGCTCCTAATATTCACGGAAGAAGCGTATGATATTACTCCCAATATCACAGGGAGTGTACACCTCTTCTGTGATATTGTTCCTAGTATCCCGAGGGAGAGAGGATAATTCCAGCATCGCAGGCTGTGTTCACTCACCCTGTGATATTGTTATTAATATCCTCAAAGGGAGAGGATGATATTACTCCCCATAATAGATAGATATTACTCCCCATAATAGAGCAGGAGGTGTACACCCACCCTGTGATATTCTTCCTAATATTCAGAGGCCAAGAGGTTGATATTACTCCCAATATCGCAGGAAGTGTACAACCCTGTGTGAGATGGTCCTTAATAATATTCCAAGGCGGAGAGGGTGATCTTACTTCATATATCGCAGAAAGTGTACGACCCCCAGGGATATTGTTCCCATGATCCTGGAGGGAAGAGGATGATATTACTTTAAATATCACAGAAGGTGGACACGCCCCCACTGATATTGTTTCTAATTTCCGCGTGGGAGAGGATATGACACCCAATATCGCAGGGAGTAGAAACACCCCTGTGATACTGTTCTTCATATTCAGGGAGAAAGAGGATGATATTACTCCCAATGCAGACGGGTGTACACCCGTCTGTGAAATACTTCATAATTTCCAGAGGGGGAGATGATATTACTCACAATATCGTAAACAGGCTGTGGGTCCACCGTGGATCGTAAAAACCAGGGGCGGCGAGGGCGTGGCTCTTACTCCCCACATCGCGGGGGGGCCTCATCCCCCTGCCATCTGGGTCATGAGAGCCAGGGGCGGCGAGGGCGTGGCTTTTACTCCCCACACCGCAGGGAGTGCCTCACCCCCCTGCCATGTGCGTCTTGAGAGCCAGGGGGGGCGAGGGGGTGGCTCTTACTCCCCACATCGCGAGGGGCGACTCACCCCCCTGCCATGTGGTTCATGAGAGCCATGGGGGGCAAGGGGGTGGCTCTTACTCCCCACATCGCGGGGGGTGACTCACCCCCCTGCCATGTGGAACGTAAGAGCCGGGGGGGGGGGCGAGGGGGTGGCTCTTACTCCCCACATCGCGGGGTGCCTTACCTGTACTCTTCATTCTGACCTCAGCTCCACCTCCCCTCCCCAGAAAGTTCTTCCATGACCACTCATTCCAAAATTGGTTCTCCACTGTGTCTCTATCACAGAACCCTGTTTATTTGTTAATACCAGCAATCACAACTCTGATTCACTAATTCACTTATTGATTATTCTTTGCCTGCGTCCTATACCATAATGTGGACCTGTGAAGGTGAGACCCTTGTCCATCTAGCTTAATCTAGCTTAACATACGCTAGCACTTACGGCAGGTCCTTGGCTCAGCAGGCACTCAATGAATTGGGGTCGAATGAATACAGTAACACTGGATCATTAGAAAAGGAGAGAAAACTTCCTCAACGCTAAAATGCACTTTTTATCGATTCTGGAAGGGGGCTGCATCTTCCATTGGATATGGATATTTAATGTCATATTTCATTCCCACTCCTCTCTGAAAAGTTCCTAGTACATCGAGGTGCTCATGTGGTAGATTGTGTCTTAGCACCAAGGAAGGACAACAAGCAAGGATTATCCTGGGAAGGGAGCTTAACTACCTCTAAATCCAGGATGCTTTTTCTGAGCAATGAGGAGGATGGAGGCACATCAAAGGGGACAGAATAAGGAAACCAGTGCTCAGAAATGATGAGAAGGAACGTGGAGTAGGAAGGCATCCGGAGATGGCAGGCCAGCCTGCAATGGTCTTCATCCTGCACAGAGCAGTACGAATTTTCCTTCCTCCCAGCTTGGGAGTGGATGGGGCCAGGAGTAGCTGCCTCACTTCAGGTGTTCCAGCAAGCATGCATTCAATGGCCTACAGGCCTGAGGTAGCAGGGTACGTAGGCCTAATCCCATCTGCCTGCTTGAGTCTCAGGTATTGCACAAAACCAAAGTCTGTGCTTAGCGACTGCCCCCAGGTTTGAGCAACTGCTTAAAGCATTATCTGCTCAAAGTACAGCAGTGCACCACCAACGTCAGGACCTCTCAAAGAGCTTGCATAAAACGCAGGGCATTGGGCCCAATTCCCAACCTGCAGAACTGGCCTTCACAAACAGAGCCCAGGAATCTGCTTTTTAATTTATTTATTTATTTATTTATTTATTTATTTATTTATTTATTTATTTTGAGACGGAGTCTCGCTCTGTCGCCCAGGCTGGAGTGCAGTGGCGCCATCTCGGCTCACTGCAAGCTCCGCCTCCCGGGTTCACGCCATTCTCCTGCCTCAGCCTCCCGAGTAGCTGGAGCTACAGGCGCCCGCCGCCACGCCTGGCCAATTTTTTTGTATTTTTAGTAGAGATGGGGTTTCACCGTGTTAGCCAGGATGGTCTCGATCTCCCGACCTCGTGATCCACCCGTCTCGGCCTCCCAAAGTGCTGAGATTACAGGCGTGAGCCACCGTGCCCAGCCAAATCTGCTTTTTAATCAGCTCCCTGCTTCGCGGGATTCTTAGGTGAGTGGTTCTCAAACCTAATAAGTTGAAGTGGGGGATGACTCATTCAGGAGGCTCATTCTCCTCCGCTGCGCCTCCTCCAGCCCTCTTAAATGTTGTCTCTTCATCTTTCTTCGTACCTTCGGTTTATCACACTCCAGGCAGCTTCTGGTGTGCCTGCCCCTGTCCATTACAGAGGAGAAAGGAATCCACAGGCCCCTGCTGGGCGAGCTTGGGTGAGTCTGGGGGAGCTCCAGACGTGCCCCGGAGGGCCTGGGAGGAACTAGGTCAGATCTCTCCTTTGGGGACCTACTGCCTGTTCCTAACTGCAGCCTGACCTCTGGTGGTCAGAAGGGAGTCGTTTGGTAGGAAGAACCCAGAAAGTTTGGCTTTTTGCAATTGGGGGCTTGTGGGAGGAGGAAATTTAATCCTTACAAACTCCATCTCTGCTTGCAGAGGCTCCTTTGCTAAGCCTGGGGTTATTTGAGGAGGGGGTGGTGTGCAGTTTATGGCTCTTCCAAGTTCCTTGTTTTGCCTCCGTGGCACGCTGATCTTGACAGCTCCCCTGTACCTGAACGTTTGTGGGAACATTTTAGCTGCATTGCTGCCTTTCATCTGAGGGGGCAGAGGAGAGAGAGAGAGATGGGCAAGGAAGGAGATGTTGGGTCTTTTCATGTTTTTAAAGGTTTTCTTTTTTTTTAAAGGTGGGGTGGCCAAGGTTGAAAAGCCTAGCAAGCAGACACAGCTCTGGAAGGTGTGCCTGTGGCCTCCATTATTCATGTCTTGACCTTCTCTCAGCGGCCAAGCGCCCACTCTGCCTCTCACTTGGCTGGGGCACCTGAAACCGCTGAGGCCTGAGAGCGCTGGCTCCATGGCTGCAGCAGCCCTTTCTCTGCCCCACCAGGCCCAGGTGTGGCTTTTCTGGCATCCAGATCCTTAACCTGGTCAACGTGCTAAAGCTCAGTCACACACAGGATGAAAGTGGCCATAAAAACACTTAGAGAAGCCTCTCTGGCAATAAATCGCCCTCTCCTTTCCTTTTTAATTCTTAGGAATTAATTAACTTAATTATTAGCTAATTAATTAGTAGTTAATTAGTCAATTAACTAGCAGAACTAGATCACCTGACTTCCATGATAAACAATAATGTGCTTTTGCATTTCCAGAACCAAAATATAGTGCCCAATTCAAGGAACTGTTACTCTTTAGTAATCACAAATAGTGTAACAATGTTGGTAAACAGAGACGTTAAGGCTGGACCAAGAAAGGTAGTGCGGTAGAATGGGAAGTGCACAGTCTGGCAGTTGGAAGCTGGAGCTATGGTTGGGTTGACTGGGCAATTGATTTATTCAGTCATTTAACAAACTTGACTGAGAGCCCTTGATGAAGCAGGCATTGCACTGAATGCCAGGAAGACCAAGAAAAGCAAGACATATGACCCCTACCCCCAAGTTATTTTCAGTCTTGTGGGAGGCAATCAAAAGACATATAAACTGTTTAGACCATGAAATCTGTCTGGCATATTTAGCTCCTCGATTTGCTGCATGGTCTTCATCATTGTCAATCTCCTTCAGAGAATGCATGGAATCTCATTTCGTTCTCGCAATAATCCTATGAGGGAGGTCTTATCATCCCCTTTTATAAGGAAACTGAGTCCTTAGAAAGATCAGAGAGTTTGCCCAAGGCCAAATGGCCAGTAAGTGGTGGAGCTGGCACTGCAATCTAAGTCAGCCTGACTCCAGAGCCTGTGCTGGTGGCCACCAGGCTACACGGTTCTCCAAGATCTCCCACCTCTAATCTTTTTTCTGCTGCTCTTTTGCAGAGTCCACTTCCTGCCCTCTCACTTAACAAAGTCATCTCTGCCCATCCACCCAGCCTGATGGTCTTCCCTCCAGTCTCAGGGAAAAAGACACACACCCTCCTGCAAAGCCCATGCTCCTCACCTGAGCCTCCTCCAGTCCTCTTAGGATCGTGCCTCTTCATCTTTCTCCTGCACCTTCAATTTATCACACTCTACTTGTTTCTTCCCCGCTCAGTCCCTAAATGTGTCAAGCGCCCTCCTGTTCTAAACAATCCCCAAAATACAACAAAACAAGAGCTTCCTTTTCCCCATACCCAGCTCAGCCCTACCTAGTCCCCACCCCACTAGCTCCACTTCACCAGCCCCACCCCATCACCCACCTCTCTCCTCTTCCCATCCAGCGCCCATTACATTACAGAATGTAATCGCTGTACCCGTCTCTACTTCCTCAGCTTTACATCCAACCAGTTGATGGGGTCTTCCTGAGTGGGCTCCTAAATGCCCCTCTGTATCTTGTCCCATATCCCGACTCTGACCCCTTTTGTCTCTTTCCTGCATTACTGCAACCATGCCCCCATTGGGTCCCTACTTACAGGAATAGCCTTCCTAAATATCTCCTCCACCTTAAGGGTTCAGCAATCTATTTGAAATATGAACTGTCTTCATCAAACCCTTGAGCGACCATCCACCACCTAGAGCAGGAGACCCAGCCCTTTTGTATGGCGTACAAGGCACCCTATGATCTATACAAAGGCACCCTATGATCTATACTGCCTATGGCAAGAGCCTATCCATTACTGACTCTCCGTGCTTTACTCTCTCACAGGACAGAGCTGCCCATGGTTGCTTGCTTGCATTTTGCTGTTTCTCACTTCCACCCCTTAGGTACTGCTCTCTAAAGAGAATGCCTTTCCTCACCCCAGCGCCCCGCCTCCAGATAAGCCTAGCTAACCCCTGCTCACTTCTTCATTAGGAATCATCACTAACCAACTCTCTCCACTCCCTCAGGAGTTTATATTCCGATTATTTGTCTATGCGTCTGTATCACATTTCCTCAAGACCTAATAGGAAAGATGATGATTCCCAATTTAAGCGCAGGGCTTCTAATTACTTTAGGTAATCAAAATATTCTCTTGCTTGAAACATGAGGTTTATGAAATCCCAGCATTTGGGAGGCCAAGCTGGTGGATCACTTGAGGTTGGAAGTTTGAGACCAGCCTGGCCAACATGGTAAAACCCCGTCTTTACTAAAAATACAAAAATCAGCGAAGTGTGTTGGTGCACGTCTGTAATCCCAGCACTTTGGGAGGCCAAGGCGGGCAGATCCCCTTAGGTCAGGAGTTCGAAACCAGCCTGGCCAACATGGCGAAACCCCATCTCTACTAAAAAATAATAATAATAAATTAGCCAGACATGGTGGTTCATGCCTGCAATCCTAGCTACTCGGGAGGCTGAGGAAGGAGAATTGCTTGAACCCAGGAGGCGGAGGTTGCATTGAGCCGAGATCACACCACTGCACTCCAGCCTGGGTAACAGAGTGAGACTCCATCTCAAAAAAAAAAAAAAAAAAAAAAAAGGATTTATGAGCTCCCAAGGAGGAGTTTAAAATGCCCTAGGTGCCACACTCTGCCCTTCACAGGTGTTTACATTCCAGGTGAGAAGGAAGAACTTGGAAAGAAGATGAGAACCCATCCGCAGAGGGCTACCTGGGGCCGAGGTGCTGAGGTAGCTAGGACTACTTTAGCTCAGACCTTGGTGTGTCTGAGGTGGGATGGAGATTGAAATCCACTCCATCTCCTGATACCGGCATAATCACAACAATAAATGATGTCTGAAGTGGACGTGCAGCAGCAGAGAACAGGCAGAGAAATGTAAAAAACAACAACATCAACAACAAAAAAAACCCCGTGCCCTTGATATTATGGGAAAAGAAATAAGGAATACACTCACATCTTAATGGAAATAGAGGAATTCAGAATTTTAAAGCCTGGTCAAGGCTCAGATAGACTCGATCAAGGACAGAGACCCCTAGGATAGTTAATTTTGGAGTTATGAGCTCTGGCAAGAATGTGAACAAAGAAGAGAGCAGCAACAAGACCTAGTGCAAACACCAAGAAGGCAAATCCTACAGCTTCCAAGCACCTCTACAGGGACTGTCTACTTTAGTCTTCCCTTCATCCCTAATCCTCATGCCTTAGCAGTCTCCTTTTGTGTTCTTTGGTTTATGCTTACCATTTGAAGGGTGACGGAGGCAACTTCTAAAAATATATTTTCATCTTAATTGAAACGTGCCAGGTTGCAAAATTCCCCTGCTGCAGGTTTCTTTTCTGAAAGAGAGTCATGTGCTGCCATCTTGTGGTTGAGAGCCGCCACAACAACAATTATGTACTCCCAACATCCCGCCCAGTCCAGTGCTGGGGTGGCGGAGGCGAGGGGCGCGAGTGGCGGGGGTGATGCGGCTTCCAGGTAGAAAGCTCTGGAAAGGGTTCCGCTGCAGGGACAATGGCAAACAGGGAATGACCAGTGGAAGGACAGGTGTCACACTGGGGACTGACCTGGTAGTAATTAGTAGCATTGGAATAGGATCCAAAGGGATTTTCCCTGGTCCCTCAACCAGTATGATTCCATCTCTAGGTGCCGTTTTCCCCCTAATTAATAGATTCTCATTAGTGGTGATTTCTTAAAAATGACCTTGTGCAATGGCAACAACACCAGACTGAGAGTTAAGACACCCGGTATCTAATTGCCCCTCTGCCACAGACTACCCAGGTAAACTAGCAACAGAGGATAATAGAAAAATTATTGACCTGGGACCAGGAGGTTTGAATTCAAGTGTGATCAGTCTGGTGTGTTACCTTAGGGAAGCTGTTTCACTGAGCTCCATCCTGTGCCAGATACTGTCCTAGGTATTTTACATGGTTTTGTTTGTTTGTTTGTTTGTTTTTCCAGTTTCTTACTCCAGGATAGTGTTCTACAAGTGAGAAAACTGAGGCTTAGCACGATTGAGGGAGCTGTCCAAGGTGTCACGGAGCCAGTGAGTCAGGATCTGATTCAAAGTCTGACTCTAAAGCATATGCGGTTTATTTATTTGTTATTTATTTGAGACGAAGTCTCACTCTGTTGCCCAAACTGGAATGTAGAGGGGCAATCTTGGCTCACTGCAATCTCCACCTCCCAGGTTCAAGCGATTCTTCTGCCTCAGCCTCCGGAGTAGCTGGGACTACAGGCATGCACCACCATGCCTGGCTAATTTTTGTATTTTTAGTGGAGACGGGGTTTCACTATGTTGGCCAGGCTGGTCTTGAACTCCTGACCTCGTGATCCGTCCGCCTCGGCCTCCCAAAGTGCTGGGATTACAGGCATCAGCCACCGTGCCTGGCTGTGGTTTATTTTTTTTAAATTTATTTTCCTTTCATAATTGTGTATCATATGAATATGATACATATATTCATTTGTGTGTGTGCAGGGGTTACACATAGGTCAGATGGCTTAAATTTATTGTGTCCTTTGATGGTAGGGCAAGCCCAATTTTCACAAGTGCTCAACAAAGCTGCAGATGCTTATGCTGTTGCTTTTTAATTTCCTGTGTGTTCTCATTTTTCCCCATCTAACGTTGTTTCTAAAGGCATTTAAGAGATCTAACGACTCTAGCTTCAAAAGTCATGTTCTTTGATTTCTGAAGATAAAAGGGACGACCTAGAGAGGGAACACTGCCATTCTGCTGAGGGATCAATCGGAAAATTAACTTCCTTACAGGGAAGACAAGATGCTCTCCATGGCGTTGATTTAGTGCTTTTTTCAGGGCTGTTGCTACAGAATCTCGCCCGGCACAGCAACCTTGTGAGGTGTGTGTTATTCTCCTCATTTGACCCTTGAGGGAATTCAGGTGCAGAGAGGTGAAAACACTTGTTTGAGATTACACAACTGTGACTTGAAGACAGGCCTTTTTCTTAAACAACTTTATTGAAGTATGATTGACATACAATAGACTGCATGCACATATTTAAAATACAAAATTTGATCTTTGATCAGTTTGACAGTATAAACCCATGAGACCAGTACCACAATCAAGATAATGAACATATCCTTTATCCCATCCATTTCCTCATGCCCCTTTGGAATCCCCCAGTCTCCACCCCCACACTGCCATCCCCAGGCAACCGTTGATCTGCTGTCACTATAGTTTTCATTTTATACAAATTTTACATAAATGGAAACATATAGTGTATATGCTTTTTTGTCTAGCGTTATTGGCATAATTATCATGAGATTCATTCCTGTTGTTTTGTGTATTATTCCATTTTATTGTTAGGGAATGTGTCTTTAGATGGGTATGCCACTATTCATTCTTTTGATGATGGACATTTAGATTATTTCTACTTTGGGGCTATAATGAATAAAGCTTCTATAAACACTGACGTGAAAATATTTGCAGCAGACCTAAGTTTTCATTTCTTTGGGGTAAAAATCTAAAAATGGAATGTCTGCATTATTTGATCAGTATATGTTTAGATTTTTCACAAACAGCTAAACTGTCTTCCCGAAATGGTCATACCAGCATGTATGAGAATTTCATACGTGGATACTCCACATCCTTGCCAATACTTGGTATGGTTAGTCTTTTCCATTTTGGACACTGTAATAGGTAGTAACATCTCATTGTGATTTTAATTTGCATTTCCATAATGACTAATGATGTTGAACATATTTTCATGTGCCTATTAGTCATTCAAATATCTTCTTTAGTGAAGTGTCTGTTCAGATCTTTTGCCCACTTACAAAAATTGGGTTGTTCGTTGGCATATTATTGAGTTTTGTGAATTCCTTATATATTCATATATAAATATTTTATCGGATATGTGATTTTTCAAATATTTCTTCTCATTCTGTAGATTTCCTTTTCATTCTTTTAATAATGTCTTTTGAGGATGGACGTTTCAAATTTTAATGATGTCCAATTTACCAAAAAATTTTTTTAGATCATGTTTTTAGTTCTGTATCTAACAAGTCTTTGTAACCCAAGGTCATAGGGATTTTCTCCTATATGCTCTTCTAAAGGTTTTGTAGTTTTGGTTTTGCTTTTAGGTCTATGATTTATTCTGATTAATTTTTTATATGATGTGAGATGTGTATTGGAGTTTTTAAAATTTATTTACTTTTTTTGCAAACGGATATCTATTTTTTTCAGCACCCCTTATTGAAAAGACTATCCTTTCTCCCCTGAATTTCCTTTGCACCGTTGTTAACTGTCAATTGACCAGATATATGTAACTCCATTATTATAATCTCTATTCTGTTCCATTGATCTATTTGTTTATTTTTATGCCGATACCATACTGATTACTATAGCATTATAATAAGTAGTTTTGAAATCAGGTAGATAAGCCCTCCAAATTTGCTGTTCTTTTTCAAAGTTGTTTTGACTATTTTTGGTCCTTTGCATTTCTGTACAAATCTTGTCAATTTCTATTTAAAAATTTCTGAGATTTTACTTAGAATCGCACTGACTCTACAGATTGTAAGGCTCACCTCATTTTTTTTACCATCTCTCAAGTGTCACAGAACTGTTTCCTATTTTCCATGTTTTGAAAAACATTCTTTCATTTTTTTTACCCCTAGTTTTGTGGTTGTTTCAGGTAGGAATTTTAAATCCCATTCCTGTTATTCCATCTTGGCTGGAAATAGCAGACTAACCAAGGCCTTTAGACCCCAGATACCTGTGCTCTTTCCATAAGAAGCCTCACGTGGGAAAAGAAGGGTCGAGTCTCACCTTTAAACAAAGAAAAAGATTTTATAAAAAGTTAAGTGACACCAGCCTTCAACAAATGCTTAAAACACTGATCCCTAACCCCTAATAACACTGGGTTACTACACACCAATTTAAAAATTCTCAAGTTTTGATTCTCATAGATCAAATCTTACTTTTGTTCAATTCTTTATTGTGTAAAGCCACAAAAAATGTGATCTCATGGCAAATTTACTCATTTGGAGAAGATGGACGGGGTGCTGTTTCCTCTGTAATTCTGATAGTTCCCAAGTGATTTCGTAATACATGAATCAGAGGACGTGGCTATGTCCTCTGTATTTAGACAGAGGAATTCATTTTTCTGATAAATCCCATCGTGTCCCCAAACAGAAAGTGGAATCAAAGACTATGGGATATTGGTGGTTGTAAGCAGAAACCCTAATGATCTACCATATATGCTTAGCTTGACTTCATTAACTTTTTGAAAATGAACCTGCTGGGAAGACAAATCTAATGTCATCCATTAAATAAGAAAAATAAAAATTAAATCATAAAAGTGAATGTGGCTGGCGTGAAAGCAAACAAAATGAAAAATGTTTTATTACACTTCCTTATTTCAAAGCAGCCTTTTAATTAAGATTTCCTCCAACAGCAAAACTAATTTGATAAGTTTATACAGCCAGCACATTTCAATTTACACTTTCAGAAAGTGACTCTTTTTCATTTATAAGGAATTTATGTACAATCTCCAGGAAGGAAATAAGGATAAAGGCAAAGGGGCACACCTCCAAGTGGGATGTGAAGATTCTTCCTGTGCAGGTGGAATAGAGTGAACAGTAACATTTTCCATTTCTTAGACTATATTTTATCCTGTCTGTTTTTCTCATTCCTAGCTATTAGGCTGATGCAAATGTAATTGTGGTTTTTGCATTGTTGAAATTTGACATTTGGTATTGGAATACATTCTTAAATGTGGTTATGTTATACATCATTTTAATGTGCATTTCTTGCTTTATGTTTTTTTCCTAATGACTAATTACTGTTTGAGAAATATTGTTGGAGGCATCAGGCTAGCTCTGGATTTTATCCCTCCTTGGAGTTGTTGATGGCAGTAGGGTTCTGAATACCATTAGCATTTTCAGTTGCCAGTTTCCATGAAAATGGGGCAGCATGAGTTTTATAACTGCTCAAAATATCAATTCAAGCTTTATCTTGATAGCCAGTGATCACTAGAACATATAGTACTGACCCAGCTTCTCGGATCTCTTAGAAGTGACTTAATTACACAATTGAACAGCTGCTAGAATCAGCCAAAGACACAGGGGGAAAAAACAGTTAAAGGAGAAACAAGACAAGATTAATTTCTGGTCTAACTCATTAAGACCTCCTGCTGTCATCTTTTGCCAAACTACTGAGCCTTCAATTTTTTAGAAAATGATCACATACCTCCAGCTACTCTTATTAGTTCTCTTGATTTTGCAGAAATCACAACAACCCCAGAAGTCATTAAAAGCACCCAGAGCATATAATTTGTTCAAAATGGGAAAAGCCTTCCCAAAGAGACAGGACTGGTCCACAGGGCTTTTGCCCTTCTCTCTGATGGTGTTCCCAAATACCTCTTGCACTCTTTCCATTCTTCCCTCCTCCTTCTCCTACTTGCTCTTCTCTCCTCTTTCCATCTTTCTCCCTATCCTTGTCCCCCTCTGGCTGCCATGTTGAGGCTAAAGATGGTGTATCAGGGACATAGATCTACAGCTACTTTCAATGTTCTTATTGAGCAATCTGTATCCATTATCTCACTTAATCCTTACAATAACCTTGAGACAAGGTATTTCTCCCCCTTATACAGGTATAGGAATTGAAGCTTAGTGAGGCTATGTAATTTACCTAAGGTCATTGTACTGGTTATTAAGCCATTTTCTTTCCGTTTCAAACCTGCCCTTTTGTACTCTGCTTTGTGATGCCGAGGTGGGGATTCTGCAAACCACATTTCTGTATGGTCAGCTGGCTGGTGTTTTGTTGGCATGCCAGAAGGACAGTGAGGCTGGATGAGGGAGAGGAGACTTGCTCCCTCCTATTTGCCTCCTGTTTCTGCCTGCATCATCTCAATAATGGTTTTTCACCTCAGCAACAGCCGTTTTCTTTCTTTTTAAACTTTTATGTTTGAGGGTACATGTGCAGGTTTGTTATATAGGTAAACTCATGTTAGAGGGCTTGTTGTACAGATTATTTCATTATCCAGGTACTAAACCTAGTATGCAATAGTTCCTTTATCTGCTCTTCTCCATCCTCCCACCTTCTACCCTCAAGGAAGCCCCAGTATCTGTTGTTCTCTTCTTTGTGTCCATGAGTACTCATCATTTAGCTCCCACTTATAAGGGAGAACATGTGGTATTTGGTTTTGTATTACTGCATTAGTTTCCTAAGGAAATTAATCCATCCATGTTCCTGCAAAAGATGTGATCTCATTATTTTTTAAGGCGGCATAGTATTCCATTGTGTATATGTACTACATTTTCTTTATCCAATCAGCAATCATTTTCTACCCTCCTGGAATGAACTCCTCAGAAATACCAGCACCAGTCCACTGGCACCTACTCCCCAGAAATCCAGGTCCCAATTATGAAGGGTTTCTACTCCAAGCCTCTAGGTTCTAATAACTTCATCCTCTTCTCTTTCCCCTTGCCTTTGTTGGAAACAAGTGCTCGGCACCACAAAGAAGAACCAGCACTCAGAGTTTCTCAGCAAGGCAACTTTACTTCTGCAGAAGGGTGCTGCTTACATCCATCACAATTGCAAGAGCACACCGAACAAAGGAGAGAAGGGATTTGTATCCCTAAAGCAGTTCCTGTTTCTGTGTCCTTCCCCCTATTGGCTGGGGCTGGACCGCACAATGTAAGCTGATCATGATTGGCTAAGACTTGAACTTTTCCAAACAGGGTAAATGCACAATTTGCAGGAAAAGGAGGAAAAAAAAGGAGGCAAGAGAAGAAGAGGGTAGGGATTTACAACCTTGTAAATTATGACCAGGAAGTTGAGTCTTTGAAGAAGAACTTAGTTATTCCAACACCCTAGGGGCAGTAGCTGCTTCCTGAAGTTATGATCTCTTTGGTGGCCCATGGTCCCCTTTTTGTCTCCAATACCAATTTAACCAATTCCCTCTATGAAGGTCTTTTCTGTGAAATTACTGGCTTGATTTCTGTTTTTCTGACTAATAACACACAGGAGAAGTAGGATTAAAAAATGAATATGTCTGACTCCAAATCCAGGCCCTAAATTCCTACTCTTCCCCCAATTTGCAGCCTGGCACTCAAACAACACTTTAAATCAAGTATAATTAGGAACTCAAAGTTATGTTCTTTGCGTGCATTCCTTGGGGAAAGCCTTAAGCATTGTCATATTGGTGATAAACATTCTATCCACTGTCAAATGGCTTTGAAAGACCTGACATGACAGAAGTAGCATCAGCCAAGTAAGATGGAACTCTGATTAACATATTCCTAGAAAGATCACAGAGGGTGCATGCAGGCCTGGAGCAGCAGGTGGGTGCAGAGCCAGCGTGGCTATAGGCTGTGAGGCAGCAGAAAAACAATCATGTTTGCTGTGTGGAGAGTAGATTGGAAAAGAGGAAGAAGTGGGAGTCTGCATGGAAAACTGTTGCAGAATCCCAGGATGCTTCCAAACCAGTCCCTGGGGGCCAACCAGAGCACAGACTGACCAGGTACCTGGGTGGAGACCTTAGCTGGGAGAAGGGGCACCTGGAAGGAAATTACAGAGGAAATCAACATGGAACAGAAGCCCCAGGACAGCAGGAGAGGCCTCACCTGCCGAGAGGTGCCCCTGGCGGCCAGGCTGCTGCTGGCCATGGCCCTCATGGATGAGTGGTTCTACCTCTGCCCTGACCACTTCTTCATTGCCTCTTGATGGTCCATGGCAGATGCCAGGCACTGTCCCTGTGGCCACTTCAGGATAGGACAGAGTCAAAAACCGCTCACTTGGGCTGCCCTGTGAGGAGCTGATAACAGAAGTGAGGCAGCTGAGCTGTGTCGGGGAAGGAGCTGTGAAGAGGATGAGCCTGGGCTCACTTCTGGTCACTGTCGTGGTGTTATTCCACTTAACACAGTGTCCTCCAGCTCCACCCGTGCTGCCACGAATAACAGAACTTTTCTTTGTAATTGATAAAGAGTACCCCATTGCATCTATGTACCACATTTTCTTATCCATTCATCTGTTGATGGACACTGTGATTGATTGTATATCTTGGCTATTGTGAATAGTGGTGCAGTAGGCATAGAGTTCAGTTTGTGGGAAGCAGCCTGCCACCCAGTGTTAGGAGCCTTGTCCGCTCTATGTTTCTATCTTTGAACTCAATAATCTCAGGTCTGGGACTTTATCCTAATAAAATAATCCAAAGGCAGGAAAAAAGCCAAATGCAAAAAGGAACGCTATAGTGATCAAAAATGAGAAACAATAACTTTAGGGGACTAGTTTATCAAATTAGGGTCCAACCACTTGACAGAATATTCTGCAGCCATTGCGTAGTTAGGAACCCATGTGGTAACATGAAGAAAACCTTATGATGATAAGTGAATACAACAAGATACAAAATTGTATGCTATACTATTTTCAACTGCAAAATTCTACATTTATGTAGAAAAATACAGAAATGATAGAAATTGTGCTAGGGTGAAAGGGAAATGATGGACAATTTTTTTTCCTGTTTTTAAAACTCTATGATGGTATTATACTGATTCTTTAAAAATTATTTCCAATTGACACATAATAATTATACAGATTTAGGGGATACATACTGATGTTTCAATACATACTATGTGTAGTGATCAGATGAGGACATATCCATCATCTCAAACATTTATTGCTTCTTTCTCTTGGGAACATTCAGTTCTGTCTCTGCTAGCTATTTGAAAGTATATAGCCAGAGTTTTTCCTGTTTTTAAAACTCTATGATGGTATTATACTGATTCTTTAAAAATTATTTTCAATTGACACATAATAATTATACATATTTAGGGGGTACATACTGATGTTTCGATACATACAATGTGTAGTGATCAGATGAGGACATATCCATCATCTCAAACATTTATTGCTTCTTTCTCTTGGGAACATTCAGTTCCGTCTCTACTAGCTATTTGAAAGTATATAGCCAGATCATGCCTGTAATCCCAGCACTTTGGGGGGCCGAGGTGGGTGGATCATGAGGTCAGGAGTTCAAGACCAGCCTGGCCAAGATGCTGAAACCCTGTCTCTACTAAAAATACAAAAATTAGCTGGATGTGGTGGCACGCACCTGTAAGCCCAGCCACTTGGGAAGGTGAGGCAGGAGAATCGCTTGAATCCAGGTGGCAGAGGTTGCAGTGAGCTGAGAGTGCACCATGGCACTGCAGCCTGGGCAACAGAGCAAGACTCTGTCTCAAAAATAAAAATAAAAAAAAATAAGGTATATAATACATTGTTAACTCTAGTCATCCTGTGGTGCTATAAAACACTAGAATTTGTTCCTCCTATCTAGCTGTAATTTTGTGTCCTTTAACAAATGTCTCCCTATCCTGCCTTTCCCCTACCCCTCCCAGCCTCTAGTAACCTCTGTTCTGCTTTTCATATCTGAGTAAACTTTTTAAAATTTCTACATATGAGTAAGAACATGAGGTGTTTAACTTTCCGTGCCTGGCTTATTTCACTTAACATAATGTCCTCCAGTTCCATCCGTATTGCTGTGAATGACAGGATTTCATTCTTTTTAATGGCCGAATGGTATTCCATTTTGTATATATACCACATTCTCTTTTATCCATTTGTCTGTTGATGAATACTTGGGTTGATTCCATGTCTTGGCTATTGTGAACAGCACTGCAATAAACATGGGGCGCACATTTTTAAAAATCACAAAATTGACATATTTGCAAGTCAAAGATGTAATGGGAACTTAGCTCTCTGCATTTCTGCTGGAAATCTAATTTCTCTAAAAGCAGAACATGCATTTTTGACCTTGTCTTACTAATCATTTTATTTTGCAGAAGGAAGAGGAAGAAACAAAAGGAACTTCTCTCTTAGATTTAATTCTGACCTACCAGGAAGAACTGGATTGTTGAAGCAGAAGTACTGGAGTCTCTGGAGCTAGTGAGTCAGAGAATGTCTTTCACAGCAGGGATTAAAATGCCCAATGAAAACCTTTCTGGAAAGGCTCTGATGTGGGTTCTAAATGGGTACACAGTTCTCAGAAGGTCAGAGGAAATTACAGTTTGATCCCATAATCAAATAATCTGAAAGAGAAGACAGAATGAGAGGGATGGGAGGATCTCCAAAATGAAATCCCGAGAACAAAAGAGTATGAATCTTGATAAGAAGTAAAAGAGTTTGGCTTCAAAAATACCAGTGTGACTAGCAGAGAGCAATTTAATGAGTTTAATTTGTCAAAGGACTGGGCAATAAATGGAAGAAGTTTACGGCAGATAATCTGTGAATGTCTCTTTGTTCCAGGAGCTCTCTAGAAGTGAACAACCCAAGCTGCTTATACTGTAGTGGAGGAGACAGACAATAAACCAATAAATAAGCAACAAACCAATACATATAGGAAGTATGACAGGCAGTGGTAAGCACAATAACATGATATGTGTGTGTTGAACCAATTGAAATTGACAATATTTACCCTTTTTTTACCTACAAAAATGGCAATTTCAGGCCAGGCGCCATAGTTCACGCCTGTAATCTCAGCAGTTCAGAAGGCTGAGGTGGGAGGACTGCTTGAGCCCAGGAGTTCAAGACCAGCCTGGGCAACATAGAGAGACCTCATCTCTATTTTTTTTTAAATGGCAATTTCTTTTTTCTTTTTTTTTTTTTTTTTTTGAGATGGAGTTTTACTCTTGTCACCCAGGCTGGAGGGCAATGGTACAATCTTGGCTCACTGCAACCTCCGCCTCCTGGTTCAAATGATTCTCCTGCCTCAGCCTCCCAAGTAGCTGGGATTATAGGCACCCACCACCATGCCCAGCTAATTTTTGTATTTTTAGTAGAGACGGGGTTTTACCATATTGGTCAGGCTGGTCTCGAACGCCTGACCTCAGGTGATCCACCTGCCTCGGGCTCCCAAACTGCTGGGATTACAGTCATGAGCCACCGAGCCTGGCCTTAAATGGCAATTTCATTTGATACAACTTACTATATTGTTAGAAGGGTGAGATTTGACACAAGGAGTGAGAGGCGACCTCTCAGAGAGTGGCATATGAGCAGAGACCCAAATAAAGTGAGGGAATGAGGCACATGCAAACTGTGGGAAGCGTGATACAGTATTAGGGGAAAGCAAGTTTCAGGAATGTGGGATGGGAATGCTGGGTGTATGTGAGGAACATCCAGAGGTCCAGCATGGATACAGTAGAGGGACTGGGACAAAGAAGTGTAGGAGGTGAGACAAGAGTGGCTGCCAGGAACAGGTCCAGAGGGCCTTACGTGACCTGCAGGTCATGACAAAGACTTCAGGTTTTTTTCTGGGAATAAAATGAGAAGCCCTTAGAGAGATGAGGACAGGGGTGATTTGACTGGATTAATATTCTCAAATCCTGGAAAGCCTGTGGAGATGAGACTACAAAGGACCCAGTGAGGAAGCCCTGCAACCATTTATGGGACCAGTGCAGGAATCCAGGAAAGATCTGATAGTGACATGGGAAGGTTGTTAGCAGTGAAGGAGGTGAGAAATGGTTGAGGCTTTAGGCTGTATTTTGAAGGTAAAAGTGACAGGACTTGCAGATTGAATTAGACATAAGAGTGGAAAAAAAGGAATCCAAGATGACAATAAGAATTTTGGCCTGAGGTACTAGATAAATGGTGGAGCCATTTACTGAGCTAGAAAGAGAGGAAAAGGTAAACATTTACTTAGGTAGAAAAGAATCAAAAGTTTGATTTTAGACATATTGACTCTAACATTCTTCTCAAGCATCCGATTTGAGATAGTGTGTAGGCAGTTGGATCAACAAATTTAGAATCAGAAAAAGAAGACAGGAGACATACATTTGGGAGTTATTAGCATACAGGTTTATTTAATGCATGGGACTGGTAGAAATTACCTGGGAAATGAGGTCAGCTAGACCATAGAAGAGGTCTTGGGACAGAATTCCAGGGCCCTCCAACCTTGAGAAGCTGTGGGGAAGGGGATCCAGTGCAGGAGGCTCAGGAGGAGGTGGCAGTGAGGACAGAAGGAAATCACATCAGTTCTGACTCCAACTCCCAGTTCTTGCCACAGCCTTCTTAGGAAGAGGAATCTGTCAGAAGGCATGGGGGAAGCTAGGGAAGGACCCACAGGAAACTCCTACTATAGCATCAATTCAAATAAACATGAGGGCTCAACTCTAGAGAGCCCCATCCACAATGAGAATGAACCCCTGAACTACCCCCACCTCTTCCACCTCCTCTTCCTCACTCCAAGTGACAAAATGGTCAGTTCTCCAAACCAAACATGATCAAGTCTGTCAGCCCAGTTATTTGAGGTATTAAAAAACCTCTTGTCTTTCAACTGGCCACAACAATTATCACTAACAAATCCTAATCAAATGCTCATCATTTTCTGGAAGGTCCTTAGAAAGCAACTTACCTCCCAGGGTGTGAAAATGTCTGAGTACAAGGAAAGCCAGAGGATAAATTCTTGGAGGGGGTGTTGGCAAAAGTACTAAAAGACTAAAGACAAAATTAATCCGGGGACAGCAAGAGGACGAAAAACAGGAGAATCCAACTAGATTATAAAAAATGAGTAACTTACAAATAGAGGGCCATTTTGGGCAGTTCTGTTTGGGGACTTTCTCTAGAATACATGGCTGCTTAGAAGAATAAGAGACTCACAGCAAAAGAGGGACCAATTAGGTACGTGCCAATCACAACTGCCTCCTGATTCAGGGCATTTTCACCAATTGCAAATTATAGTTTTCATTCTAAGTATCTCTGGAAATGGATAGGTAGGTAGGTAGACAGATAGATGATAGATAGATAGATAGATAGATAGATAGATAGATAGATAGATAGACATAGAAAAATAGATAAATGCTGGTCCTGAAGTTTATACAATTTGTATAAAAGCTATTCAGAATTGATGGGTTTAAAATTTAATATTTGCCTTGTGCATTGCTGGTAGGAATGTAAAACAGTGCCATTGTTGAGAAAAACAGTAGGGCAGCTCCTCAAAAAATTAGCCATGGTATTACCACACAATCCAACTATTCCATTTCTGGGTATGTAGCCAAAAAAAGGGAAAGCAGAGCCTTGAAGAGATACTTGTATACCCATGTTCACAGCAGCATTATTCACAACAGCCAAAACATGGAAGCAACCCAAATGTCTAGTAACAGATGAATGGATAAACAAAACATGGTATATTTATACAATGAAAAATTATTCAGCCTTAAAAGGAAAGGAAATTCTGACACATACTACAACGTAGATGAACCTTGAAGACATTATGCTAAGTGAATTAAGCCAGACACCAAAGGACAAATACTGTATGATTTCACAGACGTGTGGTACATAGGTTAGACAAATTCATTTTCATAGAGCCAGGAAATAGAATGCTAGTTGCCACGGGTAGCGGGAGGGTGGGTAATGAGAAGTTATTGTTACTAGGTACAGCGTTTCAGTTTAGGAAGATGAAAAAGTTCTGGAAATGGATGGTGGTAGTGGCTGTACAACATTGTGAATGTAATGTCACTGAATTGTACACTTAAAATGGATAAAATGGCTTTTGAAATGGCGATCAAAGATTATACAATTAAGAAAGATTGCTCATTAGGCAATGATGTCTCTGAAAGAATTATTAAGATTGCTTAGCTGGAAACAAAAATTACATTAACATGAAAGAAGCTGCCTTTTTAAAAAAGTACAGAGGTATGTGTATGTGAAAATTGATGTATACGTGTCAGCACATAACCATTTTTGTGTGGATTACCTTCAAGATTTTCTATTTCTTCCCTTTGTATATGTGAGAGCTATAAATTCATCAATGAAAAATGATAAATCTCAATATAATTCTGATAGCTGGAGGATAGTGTATTTTCAGGTTTGCTGGAGGAAAAAAACTGGACTTTAAATAATTAAGCCAAAATAATTGTATTAATTAACTTCTATCCTTAATCACTAATTTCATTTTTTATATTTCCCTTGACTTTTGGGGGAGAAATAGTCTTTGTCTCAAAAGTGGGCTTTAGTGACCTATGGGTTTGATAAAGCAACCAGAGATAACGAGACACAAGGATATTTAAATGGCAACATGCCAGCAATTATTATTAGTTAATTGGAAGCTTTTATGATTTTGGCCTGGGGCCAATGCTTTTCCCCTCTGCTGGGCTATAAAGTGGGTAAGGGAGAGGAAAAGCTTTGTTTCACTTTTTAAATAAAAGTATTAAGTAACTTTGAAATTTTTATAAAATTAAAAGATAGTAAAAACAACTATTCTAACTGAATTCAAAACCTGTTATGCTTCAGTGGAGAGATTATTCAAGACAAGTCCATTTGAAATTGGGAGTAAATTTCTACTGGTGAAGTTTGTCAGTGATAGCTATGCACTTCTGACAAAATACGAAATGGGGGGTATGGGCATGTCATATCATCATGGTGCAGATACGTGGATGTGTGCTTCCAAACAATGGCAACCTAACTCACTGTGTTGGAACCATATAAAATATCTGAGACTACTCAAAAAGAAGGTGAAAATTGTATGCAAAAATATATTTGAAAAATATTGAGCTAATATAACACGAATGGGGAATTATACGTGAGGTATTGTAACTCATCTACAGATGTGTTTTTTGTAATCAATATTTACGGACTCAGACTACACTATAAAAGCTTACATAGAAATCATGCTATATAAACTTTCCAAATATGAAAGTAACATATGTGTTTTACTACTGTATCTTTTTTTTTTTGTTTTGTTTTTTTTAATTATATTTTAAGTTTTAGGGTACATGTGCACATTGTGCAGGTTAGTTACATATGTATACATGTGCCATGCTGGTGCGCTGCACCCACTAACGTGTCATCTAGCATTAGGTATATCTCCCAATGCTATCCCTCCCCCCTCCCCCAACCCCACCACAGTCCCCAGAGTGTGATATTCCCCTTCCTGTGTCCATGTGATCTCATTGTTCAATTCCCACCTATGAGTGAGAATATGCGGTGTTTGGTTTTTTGTTCTTGCAATAGTTTACTGAGAATGATGGTTTCCAATTTCACCCATGTCCCTACAAAGGACATGAACTCATCATTTTTTATGGCTGCATAGTATTCCATGGTGTATATGTGCCACATTTTCTTAATCTAGTCTATCATTGTTGGACATTTGGGTTGGTTCCAAGTCTTTGCTATTGTGAGTAGTGCCGCAATAAACATACGTGTGCATGTGTCTTTATAGCAGCATGATTTATAGTCCTTTGGGTATATACCCAGTAATGGGATGGCTGGGTCAAATGGTATTTCTAGTTCTAGATCCCTGAGGAATCGCCACACTGACTTCCACAATGGTTGAACTAGTTTACAGTCCCACCAACAGTGTAAAAGTGTTCCTATTTCTCCACATCCTCTCCAGCACCTGTTGTTTCCTGACTTTTTAATGATTGCCATTCTAACTGGTGTGAGATGATATCTCATAGTGGTTTTGATTTGCATTTCTCTGATGGCCAGTGATGATGAGCATTTTTTCATGTGTTTTTTGGCTGCATAAATGTCTTCTTTTGAGAAGTGTCTGTTCATGTCCTTCGCCCACTTTTTGATGGGGTTGTTTGTTTTTTTCTTGTAAATTTGTTTGAGTTCATTGTAGATTCTGGATATTAGCCCTTTGTCAGATGAGTAGGTTGCGAAAATTTTCTCCCATGTTGTAGGTTGCCTGTTCACTCTGATGGTAGTTTCTTTTGCTGTGCAGAAGCTCTTTACTTTAATTAGATCCCATTTGTCAATTTTGGCTTTTGTTGCCATTGCTTTTGGTGTTTTGGACATGAAGTCCTTGCCCACGCCTATGTCCTGAATGGTAATGCCTAGGTTTTCTTCTAGGGTTTTTATGGTTTTAGGTCTAACGTTTAAATCTTTAATCCATCTTGAATTGATTTTTGTATAAGGTGTAAGGAAGGGATCCAGTTTCAGCTTTCTACATATGGCTAGCCAGTTTTCCCAGCACCATTTATTAAATAGGGAATCCTTTCCCCATTGCTTGTTTTTCTCAGGTTTGTCAAAGATCAGATAGTTGTAGATATGCGGCATTATTTCTGAGGGCTCTGTTCTGTTCCATTGATCTATATCTCTGTTTTGGTACCAGTACCATGCTGTTTTGGTTACTGTAGCCTTGTAGTATAGTTTGAAGTCAGGTAGTGTGATGCCTCCAGCTTTGTTCTTTTGGCTTAGGATTGACTTGGCGATGCGGGCTCTTTTTTGGTTCCATATGAACTTTAAAGTAGTTTTTTCCAATTCTGTGAAGAAAGTCATTGGTAGCTTGATGGGGATGGCATTGAATCTGTAAATTACCTTGGGCAGTATGGCCATTTTCACGATATTGATTCTTCCTACCTATGAGCATGGAATGTTCTTCCATTTGTTTGTGTCCTCTTTTATTTCTTTGAGCAGTGGTTTGTAGTTCTCCTTGAAGAGGTCCTTCACATCCCTTGTAAGTTGGATTCCTAGGTATTTTATTCTCTTTGAAGCAATTGTGAATGGGAGTTCACTCATGATTTGGCTCTCTGTTTGTCTGTTGTTGGTGTATAAGAATGCTTGTGATTTTTGTACATTGATTTTGTATCCTGAGACTTTGCTGAAGTTGCTTATCAGCTTAAGGAGATTTTGGGCTGAGACAATGGGGTTTTCTAGATAAACAATCATGTCGTCTGCAAACAGGGACAATTTGACTTCCTCTTTTCCTAATTGAATACCCTTTATTTCCTTCTCCTGCCTGATTGCCCTGGCCAGAACTTCCAACACTATGTTGAATAGGAGTGGTGAGAGAGAGCATCCCTGTCTTGTGCCAGTTTTCAAAGGGAATGCTTCCAGTTTTTGCCCATTCAGTATGATATTGGCTGTGGGTTTGTCATAGATAGCTCTTATTATTTTGAAATACGTCCCATCAATACCTAATTTATTGAGAGTTTTTAGCATGAAGGGTTGTTGAATTTTGTCAAAGGCTTTTTCTGCATCTATTGAGATAATCATGTGGTTTTTGTCTTTGGCTCTGTTTATATGCTGGATTACATTTATTGATTTGCGTATATTGAACCAGCCTTGCATCCCAGGGATGAAGCCCACTTGATCATGGTGGATAAGCTTTTTGATGTGCTGCTGGATTCGGTTTGCCAGTATTTTATTGAGGATTTTTGCATCAATGTTCATCAAGGATATTGGTCTAAAATTCTCTTTTTTGGTTGTGTCTCTGCCAGGCTTTGGTATCAAGATGATGCTGGCCTCATGAAATGAGTTAGGGAGGATTCCCTCTTTTTCTATTGATTGGAATAGTTTCAGAAGGAATGGTACCAGTTCCTCCTTGTACCTCTGGTAGAATTCGGCTGTGAATCCATCTGATCCTGGACTCTTTTTGGTTGGTAAACTATTGATTATTGCCACAATTTCAGAGCCTGTTATTGGTCTATTCAGAGATTCAACTTCTTCCTGGTTTAGTCTTGGGAGAGTGTATGTGTCGAGGAATGTATCCATTTCTTCTAGATTTTCTAGTTTATTTGCGTAGAGGTGTTTGTAGTATTCTCTGATGGTAGTTTGTATTTCTGTGGGATCGGTGGTGATATCCCCTTTATCATTTTTTATTGTGTCTATTTGATTCTTCTCTCTTTTTTTCTTTATTAGTCTTGCTAGCGGTCTATCAATTTTGTTGATCCTTTCAAAAAACCAGCTCCTGGATTCATTGATTTTTTGAAGGGTTTTTTGTGTCTCTATTTCCTTCAGTTCTGCTCTGATTTTAGTTATTTCTTGCCTTCTGCTAGCTTTTGAATGTGTTTGCTCTTGCTTTTCTAGTTCTTTTAATTGTGATGTTAGGGTGTCAATTTTGGATCTTTCCTGCTTTCTCTTGTAGGCATTTAGTGCTATAAATTTCCCTCTACACACTGCTTTGAATGCGTCCCAGAGATTCTGGTATGTGGTGTTTTTGTTCTCGTTGGTTTCAAAGAACATCTTTATTTCTGCCTTCATTTCGTTATGTACCCAGTAGTCATTCAGGAGCAGGTTGTTCAGTTTCCATGTAGTTGAGCGGCTTTGAGTGAGATTCTTAATCCTGAGTTCTAGTTTGATTGCACTGTGGTCTGAGAGATAGTTTGTTATAATTTCTGTTCTTTTACATTTGCTGAGGAGAGCTTTACTTCCAACTATGTGGTCAATTTTGGAATAGGTGTGGTGTGGTGCTGAAAAAAATGTATATTCTGTTGATTTGGGGTGGAGAGTTCTGTAGATGTCTATTAGGTCCGCTTGGTGCAGAGCTGAGTTCAATTCCTGGGTATCCTTGTTGACTTTCTGTCTCGTTGATCTGTCTAATGTTGACAGTGGGGTGTTAAAGTCTCCCATTATTAATGTGTGGGAGCCTAAGTCTCTTTGTAGGTCACTCAGGACTTGCTTTATGAATCTGGGTGCTCCTGTATTGGGTGCATAAATATTTAGGATAGTTAGCTCCTCTTGTTGAATTGATCCCTTTACCATTATGTAATGGCCTTCTTTGTCTCTTTTGATCTTTGTTGGTTTAAAGTCTGTTTTATCAGAGACTAGGATTGCAACCCCTGCCTTTTTTTGTTTTCCATTGGCTTGGTAGATCTTCCTCCATCCTTTTATTTTGAGCCTATGTGTGTCTCTGCACGTGAGATGTGTTTCCTGAATACAGCACACTGATGGGTCTTGACTCTTTATCCAACTTGCCAGTCTGTGTCTTTTAATTGCAGAATTTAGTCCATTTATATTTAAAGTTAATATTGTTATGTGTGAATTTGATCCTGTCATTATGATGTTAGCTGGTGATTTTGCTCGTTAGTTGATGCAGTTTCTTCCTAGTCTCGATGGTCTTTACATTTTGGCATGATTTTGCAGCGGCTGGTACCGGTTGTTCCTTTCTATGTTTAGCGCTTCCTTCAGGAGCTCTTTTAGGGCAGGCCTGGTGGTGACAAAATCTCTCAGCATTTGCTTGTCTATAAAGTATTTTATTTCTCCTTCACTTATGAAGCTTAGTTTGGCTGGATATGAAATTCTGGGTTGAAAATTCTTTTCTTTAAGAATGTTGGATATTGGTCCCCACTCTCTTCTGGCTTGTAGGGTTTCTGCCGAGAGATCCGCTGTTAGTCTGATGGGCTTTCCTTTGAGGGTAACCCGACCTTTCTCTCTGGCTGCCCTTAACATTTTTTCCTTCATTTCAACTTTGGTGAATCTGACAATTATGTGTCTTGGAATTGCTCTTCTCGAGGAGTATCTTTGTGGTGTTCTCTGTATTTCCTGAATCTGAACATTGGCCTGCCTTGCTAGATTGGGGAAGTTCTCCTGGATAATATCCTGCAGAGTGTTTTCCAACTTGGTTCCATTCTCCACATCACTTTCAAGTACACCAATCAGACGTAGATTTGGTCTTTTCACATAGTCCCATATTTCTTGGAGGCTTTGCTCATTTCTTTTTATTCTTTTTTCTCTAAACTTCCCTTCTCGCTTCATTTCATTCATTTCATCTTCCATTGCTGATACCCTTTCTTCCAGTTGATCGCATCGGCTCCTGAGGCTTCTGCATTCTTCACGTAGTTCTCGAGCCTTGGTTTTCAGCTCCATCAGCTCCTTTAAGCACTTCTCTGTATTGGTTATTCTAGTTATACATTCTTCTAAATTTTTTTCAAAGTTTTCAACTTCTTTGCCTTTGGTTTGAATGTCCTCCCGTAGCTCAGAGTAATTTGATCGTCTGAAGCCTTCTTCTCTCAGCTCGTCAAAATCATTCTCCATCCAGCTTTGTTCCGTTGCTGGTGAGGAACTGCGTTCCTTTGGAGGAGGAGAGGTGCTTTGCGTTTTAGAGTTTCTAGTTTTTCTGTTCTGTTTTTTCCCCATCTTTGTGGTTTTATCTACTTTTGGTCTTTGATGATGGTGATGTACAGATGGGTTTTCGGTGTAGATGTCCTTTCTGGTTGTTAGTTTTCCTTCTAACAGACAGGACCCTCAGCTGCAGGTCTGTTGGAATACCCTGCTGTGTGAGGTGTCAGTGTGCCCCTGCTGGGGGGTGCCTCCCAGTTAGGCTGCTCAGGGGTCAGGGGTCAGGGACCCACTTAAGGAGGCAGTCTGCCCGTTCTCAGATCTCCAGCTGCGTGCTGGGAGAACCACTGCTCTCTTCAAAGCTGTCAGACAGGGACACTTAAGTGTGCAGAGGTTACTGCTGTCTTTTTGTTTGTCTGTGCCCTGCCCCCAGAGGTGGAGCCTACAGAGGCAGGCAGGCCTCCTTGAGCTGTGGTGGGCTCCATCCAGTTCGAGCTTCCCGGCTGCTTTGTTTACCTAAGCAAGCCTGGGCAATGGCGGGCGCCCCTCCCCCAGCCTCGTTGCCGCCTTGCAGTTTGATCTCAGACTGCTGTGCTAGCAATCAGTGAGATTCCGTGGGCGTAGGACCCTCTGAGCCAGGTGTGGGATATAGTCTCGTGGTGCGCCGTTTTTTAAGCCGGTCTGAAAAGCGCAATATTCGGGTGGGAGTGACCCGATTTTCCAGGTGCGTCCGTCACCCCTTTCTTTGACTCGGAAAGGGAACTCCCTGACCCCTTGCGCTTCCCAGGGCAGGCAATGCCTCGCCCTGCTTCGGCTCGCGCACGGTGCGCACACACACTGGCCTGCGCCCACTGTCTGGCACTCCCTAGTGAGATGCACCTGGTACCTCAGATGGAAATGCAGAAATCACCCGTCTTCTGCGTCGCTCACGCTGGGAGCTGTAGACCGGAGCTGTTCCTATTCGGCCATCTTGGCTCCTCCCCGGAATAATCACTACTGTATCTTTATATGAATTTAAATCACATTTCCAAGTGCCTTACAGTAATCAAATTAAGGTTAATTTGTCATAAGGAAGATGCAAATTAAAACCACATTGTAATATCACTACACACCTACTAGTATGGTTAAAAAGAAAAAAAAAACAGAAAATATCAAGTATTGGTGACAATGTGGAGCAAATAGAACTCTTTTTCAATAATGGTGAGTATATAAAGTGGCACAAACACTTTGGAAACCTGTTTGGCATTATACTATACTAAACCTGAACGCATGCATTGTTTATGACTCAGGAATTCCACTCCTGGGAACCAAAAACAATGCATATATGTGTTGCATATGTTCACCAAAAGACATTTACAAGAATGTTGATAGCAGCACTATTTGAAATCGCCCCCAAGTGGAAACTGCACAAATGTTTAACAGTAGGATGGGTAAAGTATGGTATATTTATGCGATATAATATTATACAGAAACGAGAGTGAGGGATCTGCAAACTAATATGCAACTGTACGAATGAATCTCACAAATATAATGTTGGGTGCTAGAAACCAGGTGCAAATGAATACATGCTGTATGATTTCATTCTTTTAAATTAAAAAAATTAGTCACACAAAGTTTTGCTGTTAGAAGAGAGTGATTTGGTCAGGAGGAGGGGTAGTAACAGGAAGGGAGTTCAAGGAGATTTCTCATTGTTAGTTATGTTCAGTGTCTCAATCTAGGTGTTAAACAGGTGCAATCAAAATTTTAGAATTCATCAATTTGCAGGCTTATGACACATGCACTTCCCTGTATGTGTATTTCAATAAAATGTTTTAAAAAGTAAAATGACAAAAAGACACTACTAACAAAAATGACACTATTATATTAACTGTTATATTAAGGAAAATATAAAAATGAGTTCTATAACAGGGGCTCTGCAGGTCAAGCGGTCATGCTAAGAACCATAAGTGCTCAAGATTCTCATGACCTTTTGGAAGAAGGTTGGGCTTTCTTTCTTTTTTCTTTTCTTTTTTTCATTCTTTTTGTTTCTTTTCTCTTCTTCTCTCTCTTTCTCTTTCTTCTTTCTTTCTTTCACAGGGTCTCACTCTCTCCCAGCCTGGACTGCAGTGGTGCAATCACAGCTCACTGCAGCCTCAAACTTCTAGGCTCAAGTGATCCTCCTGCCTCAACCTCCCAAGTAGCTGGGACTACAGGGGTGCACCACCACACCTGGCCTTGTTTTTCTTTTCTGACAGCTGGTGCTACTCTCTGATAGTACCAACCAATATATCATAGACCTCTCTGCACTATTTGGATTTTATTCCAGGACACCTGAACTGAGGGTAGAGAAGGAAGGAAGAAAGAAGAAAAAAGAAAATCATGACCACCACACTCTCCTGTGAAAATTCTACCTAATGGGTATATTGTTTATAAATCATATGAATCAGCCTGTAACCTAGAATGAAGCCACCAGTGCACAACAAATGCTCTTTTATGGGGTGGGGTTAATGTCTGCAGTTCTGGGCAGCATTGTAATTTGAATACAGGATTTGGTGTGATAATATGTAACAGCAAATGTCAAATTAGGTAGGGGTGTGTACACACTATTTCTATATATATATATAAGTATGTATGAAAGAGTTGGAAACTTACCTATGTAACAAGATATTTTAAAAACAGAGAGAAGGACCCAGAGCAGGTGGTTGAAAGTATCAACATGAGCTAATGCTCCATGAAACATGCTCCATTGCTCATAGGCACATTTCTCACCCTCACTTATCCATTTGGAGATGAATAATTCTTTGTGGTAGGGACTGTTCTGTATATTCCTCTATCTACTAGATGCCAGGCATGCAACCGCCTGTTCAGGTTATTCTAGAGTATGTGTATGAAAGGACAGCTGTTAAGGAAGCAAGTCCAATTCCACAGCTTCAGAAAGTAGATGCCTAAACCTACAGAATGGGAGAAAATTTTTGCAATCTACCCATCTGAAAAAGGGCTAATATCCAGAATCTACAAAGAACTCAAACAAATTTATAAGAAAAAAACAAACAACCCCATCAAAAAGTGGGCAAAGGATATGAACAGACACTTCTCCAAAGAAGACAATTATGTAGCCAACAGACATATGAAAAAATGCTCATCATCACTGGTCATCAGGGAAATGCAAATCAAAACCACAATGAGATACCATCTCATACCAGTTAGAATGGCGATCATTAAAAAGTCAGGAAACAACAGATGCTGGAGAGGATGTGGAGAAACAGGAACACTTTTACGCTGTTGGTGGGAGTGTAAATTGGTTCAACCATTGTGGAAGATAGTGTGGTGATTCCTCAAGGATCTAGAACTAGAATTACCATTGGATCCAGCAATCAAATGGTAATTTGACCCATTACTGGGATATATCCATTAGGTAGAACCCAAAGGATTATAAATTATGCTACTCTAAAGACACATGCACACGTATGTTTATTGCGGCACTATTCACCATAGCAAAGACTTGGAACCAACCCAAATGTCCATCAGTGATAGACTGGATTAAGAAAATGTGGCACATATACACCATGAAATACTATGCAGTCATAAAAAAGGATGAATTCATGTCCTTTGCAGGACATGGATGAAGCTGGAAACCATCATTCTCAGCAAACTATCACAAGGACAGAAAACCAAACACTGCATGTTCTCACTCATAGGTGGGAATTGAACAATAAGACCACTTGGACACAGGGCAGGGAACATCACACACCAGGGCCTGTCAGGGGTTGGGGGCTGGGGGAGGGATAGCATTAGGATAAATACCTAAGGCAAATGATGAGTTGATGGGTGCAGCAAACCAACATGGCACATGTATACCTATGTATCAAACCTGCTTGTTGTGCACATGTACCCTAGAACTTAAAGTATAATAATAATAATTTAAAAAGAGAGTGGATACCTATTAATCAAGAACTAACTACAATTTAGCAAATTTATTTCTAGGCTGGGGGAATGAAGCCTAAGAGTTGGACACAGGAGTCAGTACTTAGCCCTGAGAACATCTCAAAACCAACCCTCCCTCACCTCCAAAAATACCTTCTAGTTTCTGTCCTCAAGAATATCCTCCATTTCTCTACTGTTGAGATAAGGGGAAAGAAGACAATAAAACAAACATCTTGACAACCTTGTGGGGCTTAGCCCAGACTCCCTAGAGAAACTCTCTTGACCAGAAGGCTGTAAGTTGCTTTCCAAAATGGGTTTTTGATGACTACAGAGTGTACTGTCACATAGTAAATGTGGACATTATTTATGTCCCTGGACAACATCCATTTGATTTTCCTTTGGGAAATTCATCCACACGTTTTGGTCACATATTTTGGTTAAATGACCTAGTCTTCAGCTCTAAGGGATTGCCTTAAGTCAATCAGCACCTTCCATCTTCTCTGGCCACAGTGATTAGTTCAGAGATGAGTGTGTTGCCCAGTGCAATGAGACACAATAAATACTAGGAATTGTTGAGAAGATGAGGATTGCTCAGAATGTGGTAGCAACCTAGGTGGTGCTGAGTGAAGTTCTGAGGTTGAGAACTGTGGCAGACATGTTGCTGCCATGAAGGGAATGGGCCTGATGGAAAGAAAGCACTAAGAGTTATGATCAAGACTTACCATTTGATTCCTGGATCAAACTGTACCTGGAGTCAGGGCTCAATCTGGACTATTCAGTTATATAAATCAATTATTTTAATGTTTTCTTTTTAAAATTTAACCCAGGATATAAATTTTCTATCACTTGCAACATAAAGGGTTATAAAAGAAATACTATATAGGCAGATTCTCTGGGAAAACCTCTCCTGGAGGATCTGATTTGGCAGGTCTGAAGAGAACCCAAGAACCTATAGTTTTTGAAGTTCTCCAGTTGATTCCAATAACTAGCCAAATTAGGACATCTCTCTATGGCATGATTCTCAACCCTGGCTGCATGTTAGCATTGCCTGGGAAAGCAAAGACACTCACAGAGCTTCCAAAAATAGATCCTGCCCCAGAAGAATTTCATAAGACTTCGAAGAGTAGTACCTTATCAAAGCTTTGCAGGTTAACGTTTTAAAAATTGGATAATACCAACTGTTGGAGAAGTTATATGAGAGCAACTGGAACTCTCCTACATAGCTGGTAGAAATAGAAATTGATATAGACATTTTAGAAACGTTTGGCGGTATTTACTGAAGCTAAACATATGCCTTCCTTATGGCTCAGCAGTTCCACTCCTAGAATTGAGTGGATATGACATGTGCAAGATTGTTCACAGAAGCTTTATTTATAATAACCAAAAAATGGGAAAATCCAAATGTCCATCAATAGTAGAATGAATAAATTGTTGTATATGCATTTGATAAAATATTACACAGTATTTATTATATATTTATATATAATATAAAAGTACAAACTACTTATAAATTGTAAAAAATCCTTGTAAAATTCATCAAGCTTTACACGTAAGACTAGGGCACTTTACCAGATATATGTCATATCTCAATAAAAAGTAAAAATCAAACAGGAAAAAAAAATGACAGGAATGTGCATCCAGAGTTGAAGAGCCTTGTTCAAGAGCCTCCAGCCTCAAAAGGGCATTTAACAATAGGTCACGCTCTGCTTGGTTTATAGAACGTACCTTGTCCCTCTTATTTCCCTGAAGTCCTTCTTTCAATGGGACGCCATGAAGACTGGCCTTCCTGTGTCATTCGTGCCCCCCAGCCTGGGGGCAATGGGAAGGAGTGAATTAAATGCTCTAAATATTAAACTACTTGTAAACTTCCATTTTTGCTTATAAGAATGTCTTATGCAATGATACCACTGGAAAAGATAAATCCAAAATTTATCTGTGTATCTTCCTTTCCTGTGATATTTTCTAAACTGTAATATGGATGATATGTTGCTTTTTTCTCATATTGTACAGTGAAGAAGCTCCTTGGCATCCTAGGCTGAAAGTGAAATTCATTTTAAAATATCTCTCCTGCCTTCAAATGATGGTCACAGCTATCTGACTGGGAAGCCAATTACATTACAGCCCCCACTCCAGCACATCTTAATAGAGTGCTATACCTCAGCAGGGAACAAAAGTGCGGCTGCCCCTCCTGGCCCAAGGCTGGCAGAGGCTTCTCAGCCCTGCCCAATGCCAGTATCTGAAATAAAAACAAGTAGTTAAATCTTCCCTTCAGATTGAAGATTCCCATCCAGTTCCTAGAATGAATTAAAATCCCATTCAAGATTGACATTATAAAATTCTTAAGATTTCCACTATTTACGGTTGGAGCCTTCTTTTTCCAGTAGTGGGTTTATCTCTAACCCTAGAAAATACCCTTCTCTTTATTTTGACAATAATCATCACAAGCTACTCTGTGCAAAGCAAGATTTCAAAGCAAGTTAAGGTCCAGCTTTTATCCTAATGAGATTTATCAGGGACGTATGACATCTGCAAAAGGAAACATATTATGGTACAAACTATATCAAGATTTTTTTTAAGGGAGTTCAAACAACGTGGCCTGAGGGTTCAGAGTGGCTGAGATCACTTCCAATTAGGAGGAAATAACCAGAACCCCCCCTTGCCAGTCTCTGCCCATGCCATATTTACATAAAGAGCAGTTAGAGGGCAAGAATGATGGAAAAGCAATTGAAACCCTACTGGATCCTCTGGGAGAATGTCAAAGGAAATACAAGAGATTGGCTGCAGCAAATCCCATCCTCCTCCATTTCTCTCTATCTCCCACACACTCTGGATAGAGAGTGGGAGAGGCTGCGATGACCCCAGGCTAATTAGTCTTGTCCTGTAACAGATGGCTTAGATCAGCCTCTACTGTAAACCTCTGATGTTGTTCCTCCCCCTTTCTCTCCATTCACCAAAACAATAAAAACTCTAAGATCTGGAGCTTAGAGTGTACTGATGATGTGATTAGTCTGAGTATTTTATCTTCATTTAATTTTCATCGCCGCCCTCTGAGCTGGATTTAACTCATGTACAAGCTATAGATGAAGAAACCAAAGCATAGAGGAGTCAAGTAGCTTGCCAGATTCTCACAGCTGGTATATGGTAGGCCCAGAACCTTATCCTGGACTCCAAGCCCATGCTGAGATTGTTAAGTGTGAGCTCCATGGAACCTTCCTCCAGAAACAGGGCTCTGGACTACAAAGACAGCCCTCCAGACTGTAGCTGTCCAGGGCCCTGGGGCTGAAGAAAGACTTGCATGACCACAGGAGCTCACACTTACAATCCATACTCTCACTTAGCCTCAAAGTATTTGATGGTAGTATGTTGTCTTTGATTTTTATTTGTATCTATTCATGTCTGTGTGCCTGCCATCTCCGCACCATCATAAGCTGTTGAGGACAGAGACTATGACTTCCAGGACCCACTAGGAATCTGATATTGTCAGGCTGCCTTGACAAGAGTATGGGTTCAATAAACACCTGATTCCCTTTCCCATATTCCCTTTTGCTCCCAGTGCCTAGCACATACTTGGTACTCCAAAAATATTACATGAATCGAAGACAGTAAGGACACAAATGTATTTCAGAATTTTAGGCATAAGTTCTACATACCACTTTCATTTCTGTAACTATATTTTGTATATTTCATGCTACAAAACAAATAATAAATAATGGCAGGAAGGCTTATTACAGAACTATCAGATGAGTTATGGCAGACTAATAGCAATCTTGCCCCAAAGCATCATCTGATCTAATGCATTAGTATGATTACTCTCAGCCTTTGAGTGAATTTAAATCATGCTTTTCTTTCTCTCTGTTAGTAAGAGCAATGATTAACCTGTTCATGAAACAAAACAAATGGAACTGGAAAAATAAGACTCACAAGCCACAGAATATATGACTAATGATCAGAGGGAGAGAGGCTAGCAATATCCGCAGAGGTCTGCCCTCAGCTCACAATTCATTCCCTTAGCTCATCCCCACTTGCCCTCACTCGGGGATCTGTGCTCCGTCACGTGTAGCAGGAGCTGCTGGGTCTCCTGCCCAGACTCTGCTGCTGTAAATCATTGCTCCTCAGAGCTGAGTGTTGCATGCCAAGATTGGAATTGCTAGTATCCAGAATCCTGCGGACAAGCTTCTGCCGTAGACTTCTCCTTTGGATCTGAAAAGTGCCCTTGTAAAAAGGGAATTTCAGTATTGGGAGTCCAAGGTTTGATAAGATGAGGGTTGCAACATGACTAGGTAAATGGAACCTCAGATGACTGTGAGATTACCTTACAGGGCATGGGTTGTGCGTTTCCACCTTACAGAAACAGGGGTTCTATGATAGGAGGAGCACTTCAGAAGCTGAAGAAGCACTTAGACACCCTCCCCTGAAATATTTCTCATTAATCAATTAAATCAAGGCATTTTGGTGCAACGGTGACTCCTTAGGGATTATGTATATATTACTTCTAATCTCCCCTGCCCTGGAGCTTAAACCCTAGGCCTCACCTGACTTCTTTGTGTTTTGCACCAAACTGAGAGCTAGAGCCACCAAATACTACTACTAATTAACATTTATGAAGCACTTACTAAAGCCAGACACTGTTCCAGACCTTTGTATTAGCTTATTTAATTCTCACAACAACTCTCTAAGGTAGGATTTATATTTCCCTGTAATTTATGGTTGAACAAATGGAAGCACAAAGAAGTTTGGTAACTTGCTCAAGCTCAAAGAGTAGGTAAGAGTTGAGATTCAAACCTAGATAAGGGTAGCCCTGGAGCCCACTCTTTAAACTCTGTAATATGGCTATGCTAAGAAAGAACAGTAGGTAGAGATGTCAGAAGAGTCAGAGGCAGAGGTATGTAGAGGGAGAGGGAGAAGATTGCCACAGCTTCCCGTTGCCACTCCTCGCTTCCAAAGATGGAGTCCATATGGGCTGGCTCCGTGACTTGCTTTGACCAATAGAATGTGGCAGAAGTGACATTGTATATGTTAGAGGCCTAAGCTTTAAGAAGTACAATAGCTTCTGCTTTTTCCCTTTTAGAAACCAAGGATAAGAACATTAAGATTATCCTGCTGGAGAGAGAGGCCATGCGGAAGAACCCTGGAAAATGAGACAGCTCACAGAGCAAGAGGCCATGTGGAGAAGGCCTAGAAGTAAAATGCCTCATGGAACAAGAGGCCACATGCAGAAGGCCTGGAGGATGAGACGCCCTGTGAAGTGAGAGGCCACGTGGAGAAGGCCTAGAGGAGGAGACACCTTATGGAGCAAGAGGCCGAATGGAGAAGCCCCAGAGGGTTAGACACCTTGTGGAGCAAGAGGTCACACGCAGAAGTCCTGGGAGTGAGATGCCTCACGAAGCGAGATGCCTCGTGAAGCGAGATGCCTCGTGGAGTGAGAGGCCATGTGGAAGAACCCTGGAACTCAGCGGCTGATAACACAAAGATCCCATGGTGTGAGAGAGGCCTTCATGAACTTCCCGTCCAGCCCAGCTAGAGCCAAATGGAGCCATATGTGTGACCGCAAGTGACATCTACAAAAGAACGACCCAGTCACCCTGAGAATTGTTAGAAATGCAAAGCACTAAGTTTTGGGGTAGTTTGTTACACAGCAATAGCTAACTGATACAGATGGTTTGAATTACTTGACTTTAAAGTTCCTTCTTACCCTGAAAGTTTATGGCTTAGTAAAGTGAATTAAGCACATTTGACTGAAACAGAGAGATGGTGTAGGAAAAGATCAGAAGGTAAGGGCAGGGCAAGGTGAGGAAGGCTTTCCGTGCCACGATAAGGAATTTGAGCTTTAACTGGTAGGTTCTGAAGCTGTCCCAGGAGGAAGTGACATGAGAAGATAGTTTTTTAGGAAGACCCACACTGCAGCAGCATGTAGATCAGACACGTGGGCACACAGAGCAGATGTGAGAGAGAAGGAGGCATGGAGACCTGATTGCTGAGGCAAAAAGATGCAGCTGACAATTATGGAGCAACAAGCTACTGAATACAGAATTGAACATTCAGTCTTCAAGACACAGATGTAAGCTGCTTTCTCTGTATCAGCCTTCTCTGTATCAACTCTTCATTTTTTCCAACTATGATGTTTTTACTTTCAAAAATCCATGGGAGAATACATGGTATGTCGTTAAAAGCCTGGGATTTGAAATAAGAAAGCCTTAGCTTTAAACCCCTTCTCTCACCTTCTAGCTGTGTAACTCTGGGCAAGTTACTGAACCTTGCTGTATCGCAGCTTCTTCATTTGTAAAATGGATATAATGATATTTGTCTCACAGGAGTAATGCAAAGATAAAAACGGATTATGTCTCATGCATTTACTTTTACTAAATGGCTAAATGCTCAAGCAACACAAATACATGATTATTTCTCTTTCACGTAACAGTCCAGGTTGGGAGTGTCAGGTTGAGGGGTGGATCTTTTTCACATCTTCTTGAAAGAATTCGTGGTAAAAGCTGTCTTCAGTTTATGCCTTCCAAGGTTCTTTTGGCCATCGCCATTCCAGAAAGAAGAGGAGAAGAGAGCATGAAGGAGCCCGCCTAACATGTTTTATCTGGCTTCTCAGAAATGGCACATGCTTCTACTTGCATTCCATTGGCAAGAACACACGGCACACCAGCTGCCCACGGGGATAGGGAATCCCAGCTAGAATTCCATCCAATAGAAGACAGAGGGGAGAGAAGAGCAGGGTATTGGTAAGTGTCACAGAATTGCTAAACCAACCTGATTGCACATATCTACCACCAGACCACACACCATCCCAGTTCAATCATCACCCTTTGGGATCCAGCCTGGACATCACAATTTTTAAAATCTCCTGAAGTGACTCTAATGCGCAGCAAAGTTTAAGAACCACTGGCTTAAGCCACCATTACTTGGTTTTTCTATGGCTTGCAGCTGAAATCATTTCTAACTTATAGGTTTTCAGGGGAGGTGCTTCTCAGCCTTGCCTGAACATTAGAATCACCTGGAAAGGTTTAAAAACATTTCAAGCCTGGGCAGCAGGGTGAAACCACATCTCAACAAAAAATTTAAAAATTAGCCTGGTATGGTGGTGTGCCTGTAGTCCTAGCTACTTGGGAAGCCAAAGGGAGAGGATTGTTGAGACCAGGAGGTTGAGGCTGCGGTGAGCCATGATCACGCTACTGCAGTCCAGCCTGGGGGATAGAGCAAGTTCTTGCCTCAAAACAAACAAACACAAAACATTTTAGTGGCAGGCCATGCATGGTGGGCCAGTAATGTTGGTATTACTGCTGTAATTTCAGCACTTTGGCAGGCTAAGGTGGGAGGATTGGATGAGACCAAGAGTTCAAGACCAGCCTAGGGAACACAGTGAGACCCTCATCTCTTCAAAAAAAATTTTTTTAATTAGCAGACATGATATTTGGGAGGCTGATACAGGAGGATCAGCCAGAAGGTTGAGGCTGCAGTGAGCCGTGATCACACCACTGTACTCCAGCCTGGGCAACAGAGCAAGACCCAAGCCCTAAACAAACAAACAAACAAACTTCAATGCCCAGGCTGTACTCCAGACCAATCATATCAGAGTTTCTAGGGGTGGGACTCAAACATCTGTAGTTGTTAAAGCTTTCCAGGTGATTCTGATGTGCAGACAAGTTTAGGAACCACCGTGCTCAAAAAATGGTTACATTGTTGAGACTTACCTCCTGCACACCTCTCTGTCTTATGGGTTAAGACTGCACTTCTCAGCCTGGCACAGTGGCTCATGCCTGTAATCCCAACACTTTAGGGGACCAAGACAAGGGGATTCCTTTTGTTTGGGAGTTCAAGACTGGCCTAGACAACATATTCAGACCTCATCTCTACTAAAAATTTTAAAAATCAGCCAGGTGTGGTGGCACACACCTACAGTCCCAGCTACTCAGGAGGCTCAGGCAGGAGGATCTCTTGAGCCTGGGAGATAGAGGCTGCAGTGAGCCATGACCTCATGACAGAGCAAGACCCTGTCCAAAAAAAAAAAAAAAAAAAAAGAGACTGCACTTCTCAAACTGCAATGAGTATAGGAATTTTCTGGGGTCCTTGTTAAAACACAGACTCTGATTCAGTAGGTCTAGGGTGGCACCTGAGATTCTGCATTTCTAACAAGCTCCCAGGGGAAGCTGGCCTACTAATACATGGTCCACACTTTGAGTAGCAAGGGGTTAAGCTACCATAAGGAGTTCTGTAACTCTAAGTTACAATTTAGCAGTTAGTTACATGAATAAAAATGTTTGATAATCAGTGAGGAATATACTTTCTTGTTCTTTCCTTCAAGGGAACTATCATCCCATAAAAATGTAATAAATACTTGCATATTTCAAGCTGTCTAGAGGGCTGTTTCAAATTACCCCATGAGACATCTCAAAAAAGAAATAGTCCTCTCTCAGTACCCAAGGGGAATTGGTTCCAGGACCTCCATGGATACCAAAATCCACAGATGCTCAAGTCCTGGATATAAAATGGTGTAATATTTGCATATAATCTATACACATTGTCCTGTATACTTTAAATAATCTCCAGATTACTTAAAATGCCTAATACAATGTAAGTGCTATATAAATAGTTGTCACACTGTATTTTGTTTGTATTATTTTTTATTGTTGTGTTATTATTTTTTCCCAGATATTTTAGATCTGCAGTTGATTGACTCCACAAATGTGAAACTGGTGGAAACAGGGCCAGCTGTTTTCGACAGATATCCTCTCTTTGAGGAAAAATGGCTTGATCTTTTGTCCAAGGAAGTTAGAAAACTGTAGGCAGAGAAAGTCTGCGTCATCATTTTTTAAAATTTTAAACCAAATTTTTTCATTTTAACAAATTTATTTGTCCTTAAACTAATAGCAAAGTGCTGACAATAACTTCCAGAAGAAAATGCAGGAATGCTTTCTTAAAGAGGAAGCAAAATGAGTACAAACCACAGAGGAAATGGATACACTTCACTATCCTGGAATTAGAACTTCTGTGCATCTAAAGCTCATCAAAACTGAAAACATAAGCAATATCAATTTTCTCTTATCCCATTCTTTCTTGAATTTCCTCCAAGCTTGCGCTTACCAAGGTCTGACAACCTGCCCTTTGAGAAACCCAGTGTTCAATGCAAGGCCTCAGCTAACTTTACCTTATTCTCCAAAAGCTGTGTTCTCTTGATTTACAGAATACTTCTCACTTGCTCTTTTATTATTACCTTTTAAAAAAGAAATACCATATGCACATGCTTAAAATTGATTTGTATTTAGAGACTTATAAATGAAAAAAACCCAAAGGTCATTTTCCCCTCCTTACCTCTCCTGATGCCTGTTCCCCAATGACAACTGCTTTCCACTCTTTACCTTTTTCTTCCAATATTTAAGTGAATAATATTCTTTTTATTTTTTGGCTGGGGTGTGGTGGCTTATGCCCATAATTCCAGCACTTTGGGAGGCCATGGCAGGAGGATCGCTTGAACCCAGGAGTTAGAGACCAGCCTGGGCCACATGGTGAAACCTCACCTCTACAAAAGATACAAAAATTAGTTGGGTGTGATGGTGTATGCCTGTAGTCCCAGCTCCTTGGTAGGCTGAGGTGGGAGGATCGATTGAGCCTGGCAGGTCGAGGCTGCAGTGAGCCTTGATCACACCACTGCACTCCAGCCTGGGTGACAGAGTGAGACCCTGCCTCAGAATAAAAAAAATGTGTATTTTTTAATTTATCACTTTTAGACATTTGGCAAAGACAGGATCTGTCACATCTCTTCCTTGTTATAGGAAAGTCTTTCTCTTTGCAATAAATAAGTATTCTGCACAATAATATTATTTGGTCCCTCTGCAGCCTGTCACCTGTTACCTGGTAAGTAGTTTTATTCATGGCATTCATTGATCCCTTCTTGCCTTAATCAGTTATTACATTGGGGTTGCAAATGGTTATTTTTCTATCTAAGTTCACATTTCTTATCCAGCATGTTTTCTTTCTTTTCTTTTTTTCTGTTATGTCAATATGTTGGCATTAGTTATACTCATTATTATTTTTGATGCTTTAATTGTTCCAAATTTGGCTAATGGGAGCCCTTCAGGCTGCTTCCTGTAAACTTTTGACATGATCCCATTAGTTCTTGAGTATTTCCTTAATTTCTGGAACAACAAGATGTCAAGGTTCACCTGTACTCTATCTGCTCTAGACTTGAACCTAGCCATTTCCGCCAAAAAGCCTTAATACCTTTTAGTGGAGAATGCTTTTTTGGTTTTCTTATTATAAAAGTAATACACGCTTATTGTAGAAAAATAGAACATAAAGAAAAATATAAAGAAGACAATAAAAACCATATATTTCTCTAGCATTTAGAGCTAGCCTCTCTTAATTTAGTATACTTATTTCCAGGCTTTTTTCTATTAAAAAAAAAAAAAGAAATTTCTCCTCTTCTAATTCTTCCTTGCTAGGTGAGCATGGGAATGCTATTTAACTGCTCGTAACTTACTTTTCTCAACTATAAGATGAGATTAATAGTAGTTTCTCCTACATAGCATTGTTTTGGCAATTAAATTAAGTAATAAAGTGTTTATTACAGAGTCTATCACATAGTAAGGTCTCAATCATACTATTAGAATTATCATGTCAGTTCAGAATGGTGAGTAGGATTTGAGCTAACATAAATGGGAGAGGAGGATTTAGGCTTATGGTGGGGAGATAGAGGGGCATTCTGAGAGAAAGAAAAAATCATAGCACAAGGTCTATTGAGCAAACCTGTTGAACCAGAGTTATGAAGATTAAATAAAATTGCTGTCATGGCTGGGTATGGTGTCATGCCTATAATCCCAGGATTTTGGGAGGCTGAGGTGGGAGGATCACTTGAGCCCAGGAGGTCAAGGCTGCAGTGAGCCATGATCACGCCACCACACTCCAGCCTGGGTGACAGAGCAAGACGTCTCAAAAAAAAAAAAAAAAAAATTACTCTTGGCCAGGCATGGTGGCTTACACTTGAGGCAGGGAGTTCGATACCAGACTGGCCGATATGGCAAAACTCCATTTCTACTAAAAATATAAAAATTAGCCAGGTGTGATGGCATGCGCCTGTAGTCCCAGATACTCAGGAGGCTGAGGTGGGAGGATCGCATCTACCTGGTTTCAAAGCCTCCCTACTCTGCGTCTTCTTTCAGAGCTGATAAATTTAGTTTTTATTTTATGTATTGATTTATTCTTAGAGACAGGGTCCACTGTGTCTCCCAGGCTGGAGTGCAGTGGTGAGATCATAGCTCACTGCAGCCTTGACCTCCTGGACTCAAGTGATCTTCCTGCCTCAGCCTTCCAAGTAGACTGGGACTACAGGTGTGACCCATCATGCCTGGCTCATTTTTTATTTTTTGTAGAGATGGGATCTTGCTATGTTGCCCAGGCTGGTCTCAAACTCCTGAGCTTAAGTGATCCTCCCATCTCAGCCTTCCAAAGTGCTGGGATTACAGGCATAAACCACTGTGCCTGAACCAGATCTGATAAATTTCTTAAAGGTACCCTGGGCACACTAAGACGGTTATAAAGTGTCAAGCATGTATATATGCCACTCCTAGCTGTGTGACTGCAGAAAAATTACTTAACTTCCTTCATTATTTAGAATAAGAATTACAAGTATATATACATATATAGTATATATATAGTATAAGGTCATTATTATATGTATTATTATTTTATATATATGTATATAGTATATATATAATATAAGGGTCATTGTAAGAATATAGTATAAGGTCATATATATATAGTATAAGGTCATTGTAAGAACAAACACAATGTCATATATGTAGCACCTAACACCATGCCTCCCAGTCCTATATGCAGGACAAACAACAAACAGTAGTGTTTATTTATGATGATATAGTTGAGACTGAAAATCTTTCTAGTTTCAGCATTCAGACCCCCCCGCTGCCCATCATTATGTTGTTTCTTATTAAATTTCTAAGCTAGAATCTCCATTAGATACATTGCCTTAAATGTGCAGAACATACATATTAAAAAAGAATCTCCTGTCTGTTCCCACTACAGGTATCCACGCAATTCATCCATTTATTCCTCAAGCATGTGTTAAGCGTTTGGCGATGCTTCACGATGTTGGACTCTGGACATTCACAGAAGATGAACACATCTCACAAAAGGTGAAAATGTTTAAATCACCTGGGATAAAGAACATTCAGGGTTGAAAGAATACATGTTTGGTTATAATACTGCTTATTAAGCAAGTAGAAAATTAGAGTAAATATCAGCCCTTTAAGAAGACAGATCTTCCAGAGAGCCTTAAAGGCAAGGTGGGCATTTGATGGTTTTATCTGGGAACATGCACTCCAGGTTCACCGTGAGCAGGTGAGAGACATGGCTACACCTCTGAAATGCTGCAAGTTCATTTTTGAAGGATTTGTCATAGTAAAACAGAAAAAGTTCCCTTATCCCCCTTACAGGGCGTGACAAGGGGAGTGGCTCCCTTCTTCCGCGCCCTGCAGCCTAAACCCCTAGGGAGAGCATGCAGTCGGGCAGGTAGTAGGGAGCGTGGGCTCCAACCCCACCGCAGCGTCTAGGGTTGAGTGTTTACAGTTTTCGAAGCCCCGGTGAGCGTGTGTTGCAGCGTGCTTTTTCAGCTTAGCCATCCGCAGGCGGCTTGTATTAATCAGCTCAATTAGACCCTCTGCCTTATCGCAAGGACAGAGGGCTTTTTGTATCCTGGGGTTCTTGCCTAGTGTACTGGAAAAATCTGATCATACATGGGCTTGGAGAATGAGTGCAAGGTTTTATTGAGTGGTGGAAGTAGCTCTTAGCAGATGGATGGGAAGCCGGAAGAGGGATGGAGTGGGAAGGGGTCTTCCCCTGGAGTCAGGCCGCTCAGTGGCTGGGCTTGCTTCTGACTGCCCTCTGCCAAATTTCCCTCAGCGTCTGCGTGGTTCCACCGTCGATGGCCTGCTAGTGTTTTTCTGCGAGTGTGTTCCTCTCGACGCCCAGCTGCTTGTACATGTGCCCACTAGGGTCTCTCGGGTTTCTATGGGCATGGGATGGCGGGGGGTTGTGGCGGGCCAGGGTGGTCTTGGAAAATGCAACTTTTGGGCGTGAAAACAGGAATGCCTGTCCTCACTTAGGTCCGTGGGCACAGGCCTGAGGGTGGAGCCCTGGCCAGGGACCCCATCCTTCTCTACCCAGCACCTCCCTGCCCCCTCCCGTATCAATAGCAATGATGAAGGACTCACGCAGCCATCTTTTCAGGAGCATGTGACAGCCTGCATGACCGGAGCCAATGGTGAATGTTTAAATTCTGGGTCCCGAAGCAATATCTTGGGAAGGGCCTTCCTCTGTCCCACAGCTTCTAAAAATGTTCTGTGCTTATAGTATTGGCTCAGTTTTGTGGATGTGTTTCTGGGATTATTCAGTGACCTCAGACAGGCTGCTCCAAGTCTCCCTGGACCACCTGCGTAGTTCAGCCATATTCTACAGTGAGCACTTAGGTAAGAAAAAGAGGACAATTTATTGGATATAACTGGGGAGGGAGGACAGAAGAAGAGATAGAAATGGTACTTAGCCATTTCTAAGACAATGGGTTAAGCCACTTGCTGAGCCCCCCCTCCCCCTCCCCCCGGCCACGGCCTTATCCATTAAACACATAGTTTTGAGTCCTTTTTACAGCTAAATAAAACCGCCACATCTCATTGGGACAAAGTTATTCAGAGACACAGAAACAATGGCTCCTGCCAACCACAGACCATGCACAGCATGCACAGGGGTCTTTACCTTTATAGTCCCAGAAGGGACTGGGAGAGGGTTGGAGGGCATGGAGGATATCAGCCTATGAAATACCAACTGCAGCAGCCCCAGCTCCTATTATGAAACAATCCACTGTTCTCTCTTCCTCAAGTCTTATCGGAAGCAAGAATATTATTTTTCATTGGCTCATTTACCCTAAGGTCCCATGAGAGGGAAGATAATCTGTGATTATTGGCTTGATCTCTGTACCCTACTTAGGGACACAAGTTTAATAAATCAGAGCATTTTTCTAGTTGGGTCAGATTGGCCAGGGTAAAATGAACATTTGCTTCAGGACACATTTTAGGCTAAACCATTCTCTGTATCTTCGTTTTCTGTAAATATACTTTCAGGGGTGAGTAACAAAAACTTCAACTTGAACTGGATTAAAAAATAAAGAATTTGGCAGGGTGTGGTGGCTCATGCTTGTAATCCCAGCACTTTGGGAGGCCGAGGTGGGAGGACTGCTTGAGCCTAGGAGTTCGGGACCAGCCTGGGCAACATAGGGAGACCACCATCCCTGCAAAAAATTGAAAAATTATCTGTGTGTGGTGGTGCACATCTGTGATCCCAGCTACTTGGGAGGCTGAGGTGGGAGTTTCGGCTGAGCCCAAGAGGTTGACGCTGCAGTAAGCCGTGATCATACTACTGCACTCCAGGCAGAGTAAGACCCTGTCTCAAAAAGAAGTAAATAAAAATAAATTTACATTGTTGCAGAACAGGACATGCAGGGGCTACACAGGCATCAAGGCTGGCTGATTCCACAGAGCAAGAATGTCAACAAGGATCCAGCTTATTTTTGCCTCTTCACCCCACCATCTTTTATGTCAGCCTCGTCCTCAGGGAAGTAGGATGCAACAGTTCCAGCTGGACACGACAATACTCACAGGAAGACGAAAGAGACTCTTATTGCTGCTGTATCGTGGGAACCTTGTCCCCGATGCCCATCAGGTTTCACCCTCCCTCCATGCTTCATTGGTTCCTTAATTGGATACTGGCAAGGAAAATGAAATTAAATTACCCTTGGCCATCAATGCCACCCCCAAGCTAGAGATGGGGTCAGTGTCACCTGAGGCACCTAGCTGAGTGAAGAAGGCATGGAGTGCTGAACAAATTGGGGTTCTTCTAGTGTGGAAGTCAGGGGAGTGGATGCTGGCTGGGTAGCTTACATTTAGTTGCAGGAAACAGAAAACCTGACTTACAAGTGGCTTAAGCCAAAAAATTATTTCTCTCTCATAATATAAATTATTGCCCTAGCTCGCTGCTGGCACAGATTCAGTGGCTTGATGATGTCATGGTCAGCAACGTGGTGAGGCTCTTGACCTTTCCCTCATGCTTGTGACCTTGTGGTTCCAAGGTGGGCTTCAAGTTCATACATCATGTCTGGATTCAAAGCAGGAAAAAGGGGAAAAGGGGTATGGGCTGTATACAACGCTACGTAAAATGTGCTGGAATCTGAGGGGCATATGCAAAAGTAGATTTAATTTCTCTTCCTTACAAGGGTCAACTATTTACATGGGAAGGAAAAACATACCCCGCAACTACAACCTGATGTCAGTACCAAGAGCAGTATGCAAACGACTATTACGGGCGCTCAGAAGCATCACAATGGAAGGGAAGTTGCAGCTGCCTATACCCACACCCACATCTTGTCTACCTGCCTGCTGCGTCACAGCCTGGCTGCATTACTGGGCTCACTTCAGTTCCAAGAAAGCTTCCAGAAATCATGGCAGGCACACCTGCAGTGAGCAGATCTGTGTCTACTTGTCCTTTAAGTGGACACCACTTTTCTGTTCAGAGCACAGATCAATGTGTCAGACAGAGCTCTTGGATGACAATATTGTCCTGGCAGGGATCCAGAGCGGCTGGGGATAGAGAATATTAAATGGGTCTGGTGCAGAACAGTTGAGGTGTGACTGGATGTGACAGAGGACAGCACCTCTTTGACAATGACATTATGTGAGTTTGGGTGGGCTCTCAGCTCAGGTTTCAGATGGCCAGGCATCTGTTGCTGGCCGCCATTCTGTTGACATTTTACATTTTGTGACCATAAATTAACTTTGGAAGAAGTTGATAGACAAGTAGGTCATTATTTGGGTGTTCCTGTGTTTCTCATAACATTTTAAATTCAGTCAGGGCAGAAAATATATATGTCTTTCCTTTATACCATTACCCTAATCCCTGGCACATGGTGGGTTTCCTCTTGACTTTAGTGGAACGTGCCTGGACCTTAACAATCCCAACACCCCACCTTCCCCGCAACCCTGTCTTCTTCCCCATCTCTCCAGCTGGCTTCCTGCCTTGTTTTCTCCTCACATAGATTTAACAGATGCTCTGAGCCCCGCAGTGCACTTCAGTTCTATTCTCTGCACTCGCCATGGCACTTGGCACCATTAACTGCAGCTCTCTCTGCCTTGACATCTGCACCCCACTCTCCCCTGTGTGTTTTTTCTTTGGGGGTTTCTTATCAGGCGCCTCTTCTTTAAATGCTTGTTTTCCTTTGAGCCCTGTCCAAAGCTCTAGGTTCCATTTTCCACTTTCTACGTTCTATCTGGTCCTTCATTCAAATTTACAGCTCACATCTCTGCTTTTGCCTCTAGCCCAGATCTCTCTCTCTCTCTCTCTCTCTCTCTCTCTCTCTGTCTTTCAAACCTTACACAACTTGAGACATCTTCACTCACATATCCTGCAGGTACACCGAACTCAACATGGTCAATACAGGAGACAGTCTCTCACCCCAAAATGGAATTTCTCTCTTTTTAAAGGAAACCAGCATTCATAAGCCAGAAGCCAGTGAGTCATCCCAGAATCCCCCATGTATAGATTGCATGTGTCAGTCATACTGCAATTATTATTATCATTAGTTATTATTATTAGTTTGAGACAGGGTCTTGCTCTGTTGGCCAGGCTGGAATGCAGTGACACAATCATTGCAGCCACCAACTTCTAGCCTCAAGCAATCCTCCTGCCTTAGCTTCCCAAAGTGCCGGGGTTACAGGCAGGAGCCACTGTGCCTGGTCTACGCTTATTTTGAATCCTGCTTTTCTGCTAAGAATATCCTAATTTTTTTATATTGTTAAATATTTATTGTATTATTATGAAAAATGTTTTTGTTCCTTCTTAAACAACAGATGGCTATGGATGGGAGATAATTTGATAAATACAGAAAGCATAAAGAGTAAATAACAATTATAATCCCACTCCTCAGAAGTACCGTTATTAATATTTTACAAGTTTATTATACTCTCTAAAATGCATTTTCCATAACTGAACTACATTTTATACTGCTGCAGATTCCTTCAGGCATTATGAAATTAGAAACATTTTCTTGTGCAATTTAAAATATTTCCCAAATAACTTGTAATAATTGCATAAAACTCCATTTTATGGTTATTCCATAGTTTATTCAACTACTCCTCAAACGTTGGACTTTCAGGCTGTTTCCAATTTGTTACAAGTTGTTGCAAATAACATCCTTATGTATACATGTCTGTGTTTCATAATGTAAATTTCTGGTAGTGGAATTAATCTGTCAAATTATGTGAATATTTAAAAGACATTTGATATATATTGTCAAAATAGATGGATGCCTTCCAGAAAGTTTTTATCAGTTTGTCCTCCCACCGCATAGAAGAAGGTATTTCTCACTGAACTCTCTCCCCCAACACTAGGAAGTTACTATCCGACTTACAAATCTTTAAAAAAAAAATCCCATCTGACCATTGCTTTAATTTTTGTTTTTCACTTAAAATGTGATTGAAGACTTCAGCATTTTTAAATTGTCATTTATAAATTGGCTTTATATAATAAATTATTTATGCCCTTTGGGATATTACTTTTTATAGAACTGTTAAGCATTTTCCATAATGATTTATATAAGTTCTCAATATTGGAACATTAACTTTTATTAATATTTTTCGCAAATGTTTTCTTAGCTTAGTGTTTACTCTTTAATTTTCTTAATGATTATTTTTATATATAGGAGATTTTAATGGTTATGTAGTCAACCCAATATTTTCCTTTATGGTTTCTTCTATTGATTTTAACCTTAGAAAGTGCCTCTCTATCCATAAATCTCTTCTATTGATTTTAACCTTAGAAAAGGCCTCTCCATCCATAAATCAAATATTTAGCTACCTTTCCTTCTACTATTTTTATGTTTTGTTGTACTTTTACATTTAAAGCTTTTATCCACTTGAGTTTATTTTGGCATGCCATGTGAAAAAAAGATCTAACTTGATTTTTTTTTCCTGAGAGTTGAGCAGTTGGGTGAGCATCATTTTTATAACATTATAATATCTTGCATTGAATTGCATTTCAAGACAAGATTGCTAAAAGGAAGCCAGAATAATGTTTCTGATGAAGTAAACCTTATAATGTAATTTAGAACGTGAGTGAAGGCTATGGCATCCCAGGAGGTGGGGAGAGGGTGGGCCAAGTATGAGTTAGGCCTTGGTGGCAGGAATGAGTTATATTTCTGGAAATATCTTTGGTGGGTGCAGGTACAAATAGAAAAAGCAGGAGTGAGGTTATGGAATCTCTCAGGCCCAGGAGCATTCACACATATGAAAGACTGATTTACCAATGCCTAGATATGATGTTGCCACTTACATTTCTTTGGAGGTCTATAAATACAATGAGATGGGAATGAGAGAGAGCAGATGGGGAAGATGTGATTTTAATTTGCATCATTTCATACCCAGACCTCAATCCTGACCCTGTGTTAAACAATGACTCATTTCTCTGCAAATTGCTAAATGTTTTAAAGAATATAAAAACTTTTTATAAATGGAATGCAAGTTTGTCTGCAAAATCCTAGGCTGCCTTATTAATGTGTGCAGTTCATAAGTTTACTCAAAAGTTGGGGTGACTTTTCAATAGGAGAGGAATCACTAATGAGGCCATTTCCTTCACCACGGGTGTAGACCAAGAGTGTCAGGACATGTGACGTTTGTCTGCCTTTGGTTAACAGATCTGGATTTTGTCTGGAAACTCAAGTATAAGACCTAGCACCACTTGCCAAGGACCTCTGCTTTGCTTTGGTAGGCCAAGGTAAGCTACCGTATGCACGGTCCTGGGAAATTTACCTTGTTCCCTTTTTAGTTATAACATAATGACTTTATTTCTCATAATATCAGCATTGCCATGCATAACCGAGGGCATACAAGAAAAAAAGAAAAGAGAGAGGGAGACGGAATATATTGCAGCTGCACACACACACACATACACACACACACACACACACACACACCTTGGCTCAGCTTTACTGATGAGATCTTGACTTAGAAATGAAACAATCTTGTAATTCATGCAATTTATGAAACAGACCAAAAAGCATCACTAAATAAGTAGTTGTCACAGAAACATAACAAATCCTTAAGTTACCCAGCCACAGCCTATGTGGCTACACAGCCTATACAAACAACCAAGATTTTTCTCCAAAAAAACAGTAGAATATTCAAGCTGGTAGCAACTCAAACCATATTGTAGTGCAACTCCTTTGTGTTACATTTTGAGGTTTTCAACTTGATTTTACAACGTTTTCTTATCATTTACTAGTTGTTTCCTAATGACTATTTCTCAGCTTGCTTTTCCAGCCAGGTTACAAATTCCTTGAGCACAGAGCCTGTGTCACCTCCTCACGCCCACAAGCCTGGCTCATTGCCTTGCACATGAGAGATGCTCGTGCAGAGGATGGTGTTGGTGCTGCACACGCACCTTTCAGTACAATCCCTGACAAGAAAATACTGCAACTGCATTCATTCTGGGTTGTCTGATGACCCTTAAGGATGAATGAGGCAAGCTTGAATTATAATAACATATATGCTGGCAAAATGAACTGGCACCAGGCAAAAAATGAGTTAGCTGCCTTGTTTTTCAAGAATGTTGTTTTGATTTGTGGCTTGTCCAGGTCCCTGGCTTTTCTCACCTTGGGAAGAAGTGAGAACAGAGAAATGCAGACTTCTCAATCTGGGTGTTAAAGCCAGTTTCTTGTAGCAGTCTGGTCAAGCACAGTTTGACCACTGGCATGAACTACTCAAAGCCCCCAAGAGCCTCTTCTCTCAGAGTGTTGTCTTTACCCATGTTTTTAAAATAGTGATTACAAATGGAAATTTTGTTCACTGGCGATTTAAAGAACTGTGAGCTGTTAACTTTTTAAAATAGTTTTTATTGAGGTATAAATAAAATAATCCAGCTTTAGAGCATTTCTGTCACCTCAAAATGTATCCTCACGCCTGTGTGTAGTAAATCCTGGCTCCCACCCCCAGCCCTGGGCAAACGCTGACCTGTTTCTGTCTCTACAAATTGCCTTTCCTGAACACTTCATGTAAGTGGAATCATACATACGATATGCTGTTTTGTATATCTGGCCTCCTTCACGTAGCACAATGTTTTTGACCTTCACCTCTGTTGTAGTCTGAATCCGTAGTTTTTTCATTTCAATTGTTGAATATTATTCTGCTGTATGGATTTACCATATTTTGTTGGTCAATTCTCCAGCTGATGGATATTTGGAAAGTTTCCAGTTTGGTCTATGATGAATCATCCTCCCATGAACATTCACATCTGTGTCTTTATGTTGTACAGGTGTTTTTTTTCTCTTGTAAAAATTCCTGGGAGTGGAATTGCTGGGTCATACAATAAGTTTGTTTAACTTTTTAAGAAACCACCAGGCCGGGTGCAGTGGGTCACGCCTGTAATCCTAGCACTTTGGGAGGCCGAGGCAGGCAGATCACGAGGTCAGGAGTTCAAGACCAGCCTGGCCAATATGGTGAAACCCCGTCTCTGCTAAAAATACAAAAAGCCAGGTGTGGTGGTGCACACCTGTAGTCCCAGCTGCTTGGGAGACTGAGGCAGAAGAATCACTTGAACCCAGGAGGCGGAGGTTACAGTGAGCCGAGATCTTGCCATTGCACTCCAGCCTGGGTGACAGAGCAAAACTCTGTCTCAAAAAAAAAAAAAAAGAAAAAAAGACAAAAAAAATAAGAAACCACCAAACTGTTTTTCAAAGAAGCTGTATCATTTTACATTCCTACCAGCAATGCACAAAGCATCCAATTCCTCCACATCCTCATCAACATGTGGTATTGTCTGTCTTTTTGATTATAGCCATTCTACTGGGTGTAGAATGGCATCTCATCGTGGTTTTTGTTTGCATTATCCTAATGACTGATGATATTGAACATATTTTCATGCTTTTACTTCCATTCCTATATCTTTTTTGATGAAATGTCTGTTCATATCTCTTGCCCACTTAAAAAAGGTTTTTTTTAAATTATTGAGTTGTAAGAGTTCTTTATATATTCTGAATACAAGTTCTGTATCAGATTATGATTTGAAAATGTTTTCTCTCAGTCTATGGTCCATCCTTTCATTTTCTTAATGGTGTCCTTTGAAGCACAAAAGTCTTTTAACTTTGATAAGGTCCAATTTATTATTTCTTTTATGCATCATGCTTTTGATACTGTTTCTATATTATGTCAAAATAAGAAATTTTATATAAATACAATATTTAATATTATAATATGTATAATATATAATTTTATATGAATATATTTACTATTAAATATACTATGAGGAAAATTAATACCTAAGCTACCTCAATTATTCCTCCTGACATACTTTGTATTTTGTTTTTGTTTTTTGAGACAGGGTCTGGCTCTGTTACCCAGGCTGGATTGCAGTGGTGCAATCTCGGCTCCTGTAACCTTCACCTCCTGTAACCTTCACCTCCTGGGCTCAACCCATCCTCTGGCCTCAGCCTCCTGAGGAACTGGGACTTACAGGTGTGCCACCACACACAGCAATTTTTTTTTTTTTTGTATTTTTGGTAGAGATGGGGTTTCATCATGTTGGTCAGGCTGGTCTCTAACTCCTGGGCTCAAGTGATCTGCCCATCTCAGCCTCCCAAAGTGCTGGGATTATAGGCGTGAGCCACCGCACCAAGCCCTACTTTGTATTTTGAATAGAAGCAACAGCAGTGATGGGATTCGTACTCCAAACCTCAGCGTCACACAACATTCCCATGCAGCAAATCTGCACATGTATCCTCTGTATCTAAAATAAAAGTTGAAATGTTTTTAAAAAGAAGCAATGGTAGCACTCTGTTTTAAACTAATGTTAATGTTCTCAAAGCCACAGTGGAAGAAATCCACTACATATCACCTAGAACTGGAGATCTAATCTGACAGGTGGGCCACAGTACTAATAATGTGAGCACAATTCCTATACAAAATTTTATTAAACTGTATTAGTTGAGCAGACAAAACTACACAGACACTCTTCTCTCTGCCTTGTTCCTTCTTGTACTCTGTTTCCTGTTTGTGTTTTTGTCATTTTCCTTTATGTGTGTATGTGTGATTTTCTTTCCTGCCTTTGCTGGAGCTGTCACCATGTGGATGGGAGACCCTCAAATCCCCAGACAACTGGTTTCCCAAAGGGTTGCTGGATTTGTTGCTTTTTCATTGTTCTGACAAGAGCTATGTGCCTGCCTTTGTTGAGTGGTAAATACGTGTTGGAAGCAAAAGCATCACTAATATAATGCTTTATGCTACTGAGGCAACTTTCTCATTAGTGCCTAGCATACTGAGCAAAGAAGCTGGGTTCCAGAAATAAATAGAAGTGAGCTGTTGACAGCATGAGCAGAGTCCCCTTTTTACATGGCAAGAAAGAGAGAGAGAAAGATCTTAATTCTGAATACCAAATTAAAAAGCCTTTAAAAGAGGCATCTGGAAGGATTTACTCCTCCTTCTGAATCAGCCATCAGTGGGCAGCAAGAACTGAGAAATGATGCTGTCATGTATATGAGAGGGTGATAGGAAAAGGGGGAGAGTTAGAGTCTAGTGAGGCTGAGGGTTGCAGGAGAGCATGCAGAGCCAGCAAGAGCGGATGGCTGAAGGTACTGTGGCCCTTCCTATCTGTGGGTTCCCAGACAGGGATCAAAAATATATATTAAATAAATAAATGACAACAATTTTAAAAATACAAATTTTGAAAAGAAAATATAACAACTATTTACATAAGATTTACTTTGCATTAGGTATTATAAGTAATCTAGAGATTATTTAAAGTCGTTGGAGGATGTGCATAGATTATATGCAAATTTTAAGTCAGTTTCCATCAGGGACTTGAGCATCTGCAGATTTTGGTATTGGTGGTTGGGAGGCAGGGGTGGTCTCCAGAACCAATACCCCACCTCGTGAGTATTGAGAACAACTGTATACATGCCATTAATCATGCTGAGTGCAGTGATGTGGGTGGCGGAATGGAGGCATTGACCTGAAACAGGAACACCTCATTCTCTGAGATGAAGGGATAAGAGGGAAGCAAGGGTGTGGCTACAGATAAACTAGTTATTTGGATGGAGTAAAATATAGAAAGAAATCACACTTGATGGGACCAACGTTACTTGCTGAAGTAGGAGATGAGGTCAGCTGAAGAGTTCAAAAGGGTGAATTAGAATGGTGAAGTTTTGGAATTATCAGTGAAGGAGAGAAAAGAGAAACCAAGGATAAGTTAAAAGACCCATAAATAAGCACAGCTGGGATTAGGCACAGAATGAGATGGCTATGAGGTTTTCTCCAGCCATGCTTGATGTCTAGCACTTAGGAGCAATGAGAAGATAAGTTGACACAGATCCGAGGTTTCCTGGGGGAAGGAGCGAGGCTGACACAAGGTGAGAGGTGTAGTTCAGGTAATTCACCACACCCTTCAAGGTGGGCAGGTAAGGAAGGGAGGCTAGACGGTGACAGCAGCAGTTCCCAAACTTACCTGTATGTAGAATAATCTGGGGATCTTTTAAAAGTTCCAAAGCCCAAGCCACATCCCAGGTGAATTAAATCACAATCCCTAGGAGAAGGGCACGGGCACAGATGTCAATACTCTTTAAAGCCTTCCAGGTAATTCTAACATGAAGACAAGTTTGAAAAATATTGGGCACATACACTAGAACAGTGCTTCTCGAAGTGTAGTCCTCAAACTGGCAGTATCAATATCACCTGGGAACTTGTTAGAATTGCAAACTCTTGAGCTCTACTCCAGGCTTATCAAACCAGAAATTCTGGGAGCAGGGATTCCGCAATCTGCCTTAACAAGCCTTCCAGGTGATCCTGATACCTGCTAAAGTTGGACAATCACTGAATTAGGAGGAAAAGAAGAAATCCTGGTCCCGGTGATCCCTCTGAGAACAGATGTAGTGAGAAAGCTAGGAGTGGTATTTTTTGATGTCATACAGTTCCAGACTATAACTAGCTCAGCTTTGAGACTTGAGGTCAAATAATTAAAGCTGTGATTAGTGTGTTGGATGTTCATCCACGTATATGTTTACATATCCCAGAATTACACGCAGTGGAAAAGCAGCACCGTGGAGCTGGGTGATTCCTGAGCCCAACCTGTGCCTCTGGTCTAGGGGCATGCAGGGGAAATTGCAACCTCCAATGGAAAGAGAAGCAAGAGATGGTGTACCTTCAGGCAAAGGTAGGCTTCAACAAATGGTGATGGAAGGATACTGCAAAGAGGAAAACGTTGAAGTGTTTATTCTCTGAGGGAATGGTGGAAAGAGTAAAGAGCTTGGAGAGAGAGTCTGAGAGTGGGAGGACTCAGGAGGGAGCATAAAGCTGCGGAAGATGAGAGAATAACCCAGGATAGATGTTTGGGTTGTAGACGGTTGGGGGAAGGCAAGCACCATATGCCTTGGGGGCAGTGGCCATGGATTCTCGGGATGAGAGGCCTCGGTAGAACTGACTAGCTTCCTCAACATGAGTTATTTGGTGCCACTGTGGCTGATTGTGCAGACAGTCCTGCCATCATCCCCAGGGGAGCTGAGTCACTGTGTGGTGAAAGCCACAGTCTCCGGCAAGGCTGCTTTGTGCTGGGCAGGGAAGCTGCAGGGACTGGGGAAGCCACCTCAAGGTGAACAGGAGGTGGCAGAGCCTGGTCTGCGGTGAGCGCTTTCACACAGTAGGGAAGTTTTCCTACTTGCCTGAGCTCCGGATTGTTTCCCCCAGCAGGGAGCTGTGCCTGCCTGAAAATGGTTCCAGGGCACAATTGTTATCATAAAGGAAAGCAGGACCAGAAGAACCTTGACAACTTTTTGATATTGCTTATCCTAGCTCTGACTGATAAGGGGGCAGGAGGAAAAAAGGAGGGAAGGAATAAATCAAGGAGATAATCACAAAACAACAAGGAGATAATCACAAAAGCAGAAGAAAACATGTTGTTTTCACTGGGCTGTGGTTGGCTTATGATATCTGTCTGACTCACGGCCACACTGAGGATTCTGGAATGCATTCTACCCAGGTATGAAGTAGGCATCCTAACGGCCACAAGATGTAGCTTAGTTTACAGACCCATCAAGCTGCTTGGGTTGGTCTAAGGCTGGACTGTGAAGCTGGTGAAATTTGTTTCTGACTCTGCTATTTTCAGGCCTCTTCTCCTCCCCAGAAACCCTTCTCCTTGGTTTCTCCTGCCCCTATAGCCCTGCCCTCACCCTTCAGGAACACCCCAGGGGCTCAGGGCTGGGGACGGCAGAGGCTTAGCCCCACTACCTCCCCGCTGCCTGGCAGTTTGATGTGCAGACGTGACAGGCCCTCTGTCTCAAGATATTAGCTCTCTTCCACCATCACACTCCCCAAACCCTCTTGTCACCATTCTTGGGAATGCCAAGGTCCACAGTGATGATACTTTGATTCTTTGTTGCTCAGGAATGATAGTCACAATATTTAACAAGTGAGCAAAGGCACTGATAGGTAGAACAGACACCAGCTGTGAACACCTCAGTAAGGCAGCAAGGCACATGCTGGCCAAATAGCTGCATCCTCCTATCCACCTAGCCTTTCAGTCCTCCAGTGACCTGGTCCTCCTGTGCCTCAGCTGTCCACTCCCAGGTGTATAGCCTAGACTTGTTACCATCCACAGCAGCACCTTCTCAGTCATCATCTGCTGGCTTTCCAGCTTATCTCCCCAACTCCCAAAAGTTCTTTAAATTCAACAGTGCTTGGACACACCTGCAAGCTATTGATCATACCACCTTTTCACTATCTGTTACAAGGCCCCCAAACACTTACTCCCTCCTTACCTAGCTCAGATTCCAGAGCTCATCATCATTATGTCCTCATCTTACTTGTCTTTCTTTTGCTCCAGGGTACTCACGTGTCAACCCCCATCCTGGCTAAACCCAACTCATCTCCTACTACAGACCTGCATTTGCATAACTGCTATTTCCTACCATCCTTATAAATAAAAACCCTATCTTGATCCCATATTGCCCTCCACTGACCCATTCCCTTGCTCTCTTTTAGAGTAAATCCCTTAAAAAGAAGTATCAATCTACACTGTCCCCAATTCCTTCCCTGTCATTCTCCATTAAACTCACTCCTGTCAGGATTTCACCTCCACCACTCCAATTCTGCTCTCATCAAGACCACCAGAGACATCCACTGCTAAACCTAATGTTCAGTTCTCAGTGTTTATCATATTTGACCTATGCTCCTAGTTGATCACTCCCTACTTCTTCTTTTTTTTTTTTTTTGAGACAGAGTCTCACTCTGTCACCCAGGTTGGAATGCAGTGGCACGATCTCAGCTCCCTGCAACTTCCGCCTCCTGGGTTCAAAGGATTCTTCTACCTCAGCCTCCCTAGTAGCTGGGACAACAGGCGTGCACCACCATGCCTGGCTAATTTTTGTATTTTTAGTAAAGATGGGGTTTCACCATATTGGCCAGGCTGGTCTTGAATTCCTGACCTCGTGATCCGCCCACCTCAGCTTCCCAAAGTGTTGGGATAACAGGCGTGGGCCACCATGCCCAGCTCACTCCCTACTTCTTGAAGTGCTTGATTCTTTTGACTTCCAGGATTCCTAACTCTCCTGGGTTTCCTTCTCTACGATTAGCCATTCCTTTGTAGTTTTTTTCTGGTTCTTTTTCATCTTACTGATTTCAAAATACTGGAGTGCCTCAGAACTCAGTCTTTGGACCTCTTCTCTATCCATACCCCCTTATTGAGCTCATCTCCTCTCATGGCTTTTAGTACCATCTTTGTCCTCATAACTCCCAAGATTATATTTCTAGCAAAGACTCCTCACCTGGACTCCAGTCTCAAATGCCAATTGCCTATTGGACATCTCCACTGGATGGTTCATATTTATCACGTCCAGAGTGGAGCTCCTGATCTTACCTTCAATCTGCTTCTCCTGCATGTCTCCTGGCTCAGCAAATAAAAATGCTCTATATCCTTCTAATTAAGCCAAAAAGCAGAGTCAATTCATGTCTTCTTTTCACTTGCAGACTCTACATTGAATCCATAGCAAACTTTGTTGGCTCAACTTTCAATATGTATTCAGCCGCTAACCACTTCTCATTACCACTTCGACTGTGGTCCAAGCTGCCAATGTTTTTGACCTGAATTACTGAGATAGCTTCTTAATAAGCCTCCTTGCTTTCATCATTGTCCCCATTCCAGTCAACTCTCGTTACTGCAGCAAAAGTGCACCTTTTCTAACATGAGATTATGTAGTTGCTCCTCTAAAGTCCTCCAAAAGTTGTCCATTTCACTCAAAATTTCAGTTCAAAAGCTAAATAGTTAAAATGGCTGACAAGACCTGACAGCACGAGCTGTTTCTCCACCCTATTTGTCTCCAACCTTCTGTCCTGCCTCTCTCTCCTTTGCTCATGCCACATGATGGCCTCCTTGCTAACCCACAAATGCACCAGGCATGCTCCAGCCTCAAGTCCTTTGTATACTTGCCATGTTCTCTAACTGAAATGCTCCTCCTCCAGATCTCTGCTTTGCTAGTTCCCCAACTCCAAAAATTATTTAACTCCAACAGTTTTAATGTCACATTCCCAGAGGCCCCTGCGTTTAATATTACTATAAACCTCCTCCTCCTTTGTGTTAGCACATTCTAGCCTCCTTCCCTTTAAAAACATTTTTTGCCAACATCTAATTATTATCTAACATACTGTATTTGTTTGTTTATTACATGTCTCCCCCAGTAGTATATAATCTGCAGGAGGATGGGACAGGAATTATTGCCTGTATAGATCACTGCATAGTCCCCAGTACTTAGAACAATGTCTGGCACATGTACTGTGCTCAATACATATTTTTCACATGAAAGGATGATATAAATGAAAAGGACAGCAAGGGGGACAGCCTTGATCCATAAAATCTAGACTGTCGGTATCAGAAACCACAAGCAATAGGGAGAACTATGGTAATAAAAAGGGGTCATGAAAGAGCTATATGTTTGAGCAACCAATTCTGAGAGAAGGAAGGGAAAAGCTCATTTCTTTGTAGTAGTTAGAAATTATCTGGCACTTTTTCCTTCTCATCTCATGGTCTGTAAGGAAGTGGACTTCAAAACAAAACACACTTGATATCACTAGAGAAGCTCTACTATAACTGAATTACTTCATGACCAATGCCAGCATAGTGTTATTTTGAAAAATAAATCGCAGTCTAACATTTAAAAAGTAATATAAAATTTTTGATGAAGTCTCATAAAGTGATACCAAAGTGAAATACATTATAAAATATGCAGCATAATTCCTAAAGATTCTCTTCTCACTGTCAAAAGTATTATTTTCAAAATTTAAAAAGAGAATTCCTATACAAATACATAGTGAACATGTATCAAAGTTTTATTTTAACTCATTAAAATGATGGGGAGGCTGGGCTGGCAGCTTATACCTGTAATCCAAGCACTTTAAGAGGCCAAGGTGGGAGGATCGCTTGAGCCCAGGAGTACGAGACCAGCTTGGACAACATGGCGAGACCCTGTCTGTACAAAAAATACAAAAATTAGTCGGGCATGGTGGCACACACATATGGTTTCAGCTACTCAGGGAGCTGTAGTGGGAGGATCACTTGACCCCAGGAGTTCAAGGCTGCAGTAAGCCATGATTGTGCCACTGACACTCCAGCCTAGCCAACAGTGAGACCCTGTTACAGGGAGAAAAAAAAAAAAGAAAAGAAAAAGATGGCAAAGCTATTTCAAATGATGATAAGAGAATTTAATGTGTGTATATATATAGTCAGTGAAAGCAAAAATAAATGGAGAAATATGATTGCTAATTAGATACAAAACTATTACAGGGCAATAAACTGCTATCTTTGGGGTTATCTTTTCTACTTTAGAAATAATTTGCATCACTATAGAGCAAAAATTATTCTCTCTCAGTGTCTTAGCTGGGCTTCCATAACAAAATATCATAGACTGGGTTGTTTAAACAACAGAAATTTATTCTCTCACAGTTCTGAAGGTTGAGAGGTCCAAGATCAAGGTGCTAGCATGATCAGTTTCCATTGAGGGTTCTCTTTCTGGATTTTGGATGGCTGCCTTCTCCCTGTGTCCTCACAAGGCAGGCAGGGAAACCAAGCTCTCTAGTGTCTCTTCTTATAAGGGCACTAATTCCATTATAAGGGCCTCACCCTCATGACCTCATGTAAATTTAATTACCTCTGAAAGATTCCATCTCCAGTTACCATCACATTGAAGATGAGGGCTTCAATATACAAATTAAGGGGTTTTAGACACAGAGCATAGCAATAGGCAAAAATGGTCTAAAAAATACCTGTTAGTAAGTCAGAGAATTTTACACACTTCTGAATTCAGATGACTCTTAGGCCTACTAGACAAGGTCTTCGCAACAAGGAAGGTACACAATCATCTATTTTGCCTTTCAGAGATTGGAAAAATTTTCTCAACCTTACAACTCATTTCTCTATAGATCCAGTCAAGATTAAAGCTTATGGGGCCTGAAGCTTATACAATTTGTCAGGGGCAGGGGATGGGGGAGGCAGGTGCTCTGAAAAGAAGAAAGATAGATAATGAATATGTAAACACATTATTCAGGTCTGAGGGACTTGGAGGGAGTCAGTACCAGTGAGAATTTCATGGAAAATCTACCTCCGGTACCTCTTCATAGCAATTTTCACACCACCCCCAAATCTGTCTTCTAAACATTCTATGAAAATCTTCATCTTTAATGGGCTCTTTCCTTTTTCAACTTTTTTCCAGTCCCTCTTTGTTCATGAATTTCTTCTAATGTAGATCACTTTACCCTCTCTAGGTGTCTGCTAGTTCATCTAGTTCTTGGCAACCCATTATCTTTTCAGGAGAAGGCAAACAGTCCTCCTTAGAACCTGGAGTAGGGTAAGACTGTGAATACAAATATATAATAATAACATTTGCTCCATTACACTTACTCTTTAGGAGAAGTCCAGATGCCTCTTCAAAAGGTGGAGATGCCAGATAAAACTTAATGTGGACCATCCTAAGGAATTTTTAACAGTGCTCAAGAAGTCTTAAAGGGATTATAATTTGTGGAGTAACAGATATAATAGAAGGATGTGATTACTTGAGGGGCATAGAAATGATAATACTGATTTTTAGAAAAGCTCCTGGGAGTCCACATTCTATAGACTATCACTCACCTGTCACTATAACCAGTTCATCACAGCAGTATTGCTGTGTGCCATCTGCTGCAATGATGAATGAAATTACTTTCACATAAGAACCACCAACTATCTTTGCCACTTGCTTTCTCCTTTACAGTGATATTGGTGGCCATATGAGTGGTAGGGGTCATACAGTGTTTCCATAGCTTACAGTAGGTGTCTTGAGATCCATTCAACAATAGCATCAGACTGCCTTGAGACAGCCTCATCATGCAATACCAACTGAATTAGTAAACATGGCCCCTGCTCTCTGGACAATTTCTAGAAAAGACCAAAAAAAACAAAGGCAGACAAAATGATTGGTGGGATGTTGCCTTCATTCAGTAACTGCCTTTGAAATATATAACACATTGAAGCTTTTGGAGATGGGGGAAGAAGGGCATTTTAAAGGCTGGCAGGAGAAGAGCTGGAATTGTCTCAGAGGATTCCTGTCTATTAACTAGTGCGATGCAAACGCCTCCTTACCTATACATTGAAGTTCCCCCAGAACGCCCCAAGGCATTCAGCACTTGGCTCCCGAGCTGTGGTGGCTGGATACCAGCACTGTGATGGCTTCCATCCCTGCACTTGCCTGGCTTCTGCCTGCCACGGACTCCCCTGCCGAGGTCAGAGCCACATGGAAATGAGGCCTTCCTTGGTGACAGAAAACAGAGCTTGTCGACCAGCTGGGAGACAAGTGTCAAGTGCTGGGTCCAGGTGGCAGATGAAAGGCTGGCAAGGTGCTAATGTTATTCCCTCCAGAGAATGACAAGTCAGAAGACAGCTGCCTCTGTCTTACGCTCCTGTGTTGCGTGGATACCAATGCCACTGGGTCCTGGGTAAGGATAGGCACTTGCCCTCTCAATATTGAGATTGCTAAAGCCATTTTTACTTTCCAGGAGAATCCTTTCCATGAGTAAGAAGGAAAGCACTGGAGATGTCACCTAAGTGAATTTGGGAACACATCTAGCGCTATAATGCATGCAAAGTTGTTGAGTACCTGACCTGAAGTGCTTGTTAATAGAATGCAAATATTCTGGAAATAGATTTTCTTTTCCATTCCCTTCGGGGCATTCGATTTATTTGTGCTATATCCTGCTCTGAGTTAGAATACTTTATTATATACCTGGTTTAAAGTTACCCTAAATGTCTACCCCGCTTCTATATAAATGAATAAGGACAAAAATTCAGTGCTAAAAGAGCCGAGGGCTCTAAAAGTCAGCAGAGTCTTAACCAAGGTAGCAGAATGTAACTTAATAGAAGGTGAAGGATGTAGAATTAGGCTCCAGAGAGTGGCTCAGCTCCTTTCATGCCCTCTCTGAGGAACTAGCAAAAGAGGAGACAAAAGAAAGCTTCTAGGTTAACCTGATGTTTATGAATGGCCCCCAGCTCAGTTGAGGTGAAGAGTGAAGCTGAGAGTCAACAATTACTGTAAGAAGCAAGAAGCAGCAGTGAACTAATTGAATCACAGAAGAGGCATAAAGGGCCAGAAAGTAGGAGATGAAGAGAAAGACTGGGCATCTAGGCTTTTGACTCTTTTAGCATCTAAACCTACATTCTAACTTCATTTGTTTCATCCTGAGTAGGAGAAACATTACTATTTATGTTCAGACCTCAGTTCTCCCAGCTGTCTTTAGCTGTAATGTTTCAGAGGTCCAAGGCTATACAGATAAATAAGATAGCTGTTTGCAAACTGTCTTCCCCAGTTGCCTCTCCCCACCTCTCAACTTCAGCAAAAACCCACACCACCCCCTACCTTTGATTTGAGATATGCTGACCCAGCACGTCAAAGTCTAACCCACTCCTGAATCCCATGTTCTGTGTGTCTCTGCAAACACTCAGATGCATCTAGAAAGCCATTTTAAGGTAAACTTACAGGATCATCCACTGCTCCCCTGACCTACAACTTCTCAATAAAGAAAAGACCCAAATTTTTGAGGCTCCCAAAGCCCAAAGTGTCTTCCTTTTAGAATTGAGAACAAATGTAAACATTTAACAAAGTAGAAAACTTTAGCAAAAACTATATTTTTCTTTTTCTCCTCCATTGTAAATATTAGTCTTATTACTAATTTTCAGGTCTTTTGCTGGGAGATGCTTTAAGGAAGCTTTAAATGTCCAGTCTTAGAAGTTTCAGGATAAGGGCTTTACAGGGAAACATATATTATAAATAGATTTGGTAGGTGTCTTAGTTCGGGATGCTATACAGAACACTATAGACTGGGTGACTTAAACAATAGAAATTTATTTCTCACAGTTTTGAAGGCTGAGGTATCTAGTATCATGGCACTGGCAGATCTAGTGTTTGGTTCGGGTTCTCTTCCTAGTTTGCGGAAGGCTGTCTTCTCATTGTACCTTCATTTGGCAGAGGAGAGATCATGATCATCTCTCTCCTGTCTCTTATAAGGGCATGAATCCCATTCAGGAAGCGTCCACCCTCATGACCTGATTATCTCGCAAAGACCTCACCTCCAAATGCCATCACACTGGGGGTTTAGGCTTCAACATATGAATTAGTGGGGGAATGAAAACACCCAATGCATAGCAGTAGCTAGGGTAGTAGTCATGCAGTATCACAGGGAAAGCACTAGATTTGGAAGTGGTCTCTGTTCTATAAAAGTCACTAATTCATTGAGTCACCTTGAACTCTTTGTGCCAGTATTCTATATGCAACATAAGAATATATATTATGATGTTGCTTTGAGGGTTAAATAAAATAATGTATATGAAAATGCTTTTAAAAATATAAAAAGTCACATGAAGTTTTATTGTTAATTTTTAATATACTGCCTGCCTCATTAGTGTCCTCTCCCCTCACCACAACTCCAGCAAGCACCAGTATGCCATTTACCACTGGTTTTGCAAAACCTAACCAAAATCTATTAAGTCTAATGTACTTCTCCTTCCCCTACTCCATTCTCCTCTACACACCCTTAAATGTGCCTGGAAAAAAAAAATCATAAGGCAAATTTATAGGATTCTCTATTCCTGCTCATTACAATAAAAAAACCTTAATGCTAACCTATCACTAAAAGTTTGTTTTTATAAACAATAAAATATTTTCAATATTATGATTTTAAGTGACTTCATCTTTTTTTTTTTTTTTTTTTGAGACAGAGATTTCCTCTGTTGCCCAGGCCAGAGTGCAGTGGCATGATCTCGGCTCATTGTAACCTCTGCCTCCCGGGTTCAAGCGATTCTCCTGCCTCAGCCTCCAAAGTAGCTAGGATTATAGGCACCTGCCACCACACCTGGCTAATTTTTGTAGTTTTTAGTAGAGACGGGGCTTCACCATGTTGGCCAGGCTGGTCTCAAACTCCTGACCTCAGGTGATCCACCCGCCTTGGCCTCCCAAAGTGCTGGGATTATAGGCATAAGCCACCGCACCCGGCCTGATCTCAACTTAACGTTGATGAAATAAAAATAAACTGGAAAATCAGTTATGAAAGAAACATACCTCATTTAATATTGTTTCCCATACCTAGATATAGGGAGAAAAAAAGTTGGGATGAGAATAAAAGCTAAAGTTTATCAAACACTTATTATGAGCAAAGCACTCTGTTAATTATTGCCAGATACAAAATTAAAATATAACTCGGCCAGGGGTGGTGGCTCATGCCTGTAATCCCAGCACTTTGGGAGGCTGAGGCGGGTGGATCACCTGAGGTCAGGATTTGGAGACCAGTCTTGCCAACATGGTGAAACACTGTCTCTATTAAAAATACAAAAATATTAGCCATGTGTGGGGTCGCATGCCTGTAGTTTCAGCTACTTGGGAGGCTGAGGCAGCAGAATCTCTTGAACCCAGGACGCAGAGGCCGCAGTGAGCTGAGATTGCACCACTGCATACCAGCCTGGGTGACAGGGTGAGACTCCGTTTCAAAAAAAAAAAAAAAAGTATGACTCATTCAAATATAAAGGGAGCACAAGTCAAAGGTTTTTTAACTTGTTAATGAGGGAACCAGCAGGCAGTTGAAATAGGAAAAACTGAAGTATTTATAGAGGCTGAAAAAGAAGAATGTTTGAATAAGATTCATAATTTAGATACAAAATTGGTTCATGTCCAGAGGGCAATAATAGTGTAACCTTGGAGTGATATTTCCAACCAAGATATTTTTATCCCTCTGTATTGCTCTTTGACGAGAATTATTTGCATTGCTCCTATGAGTTAACTTTTATACTGAGAGTTGTAAAATATCCTCGTCAGTAGTAAATAGGAAGTCAAACAAAAGTACCCACCTGGAGAATCAGATAATCACCCCCTCAGGTCTACACACAAGCCCCACTGACACTGAAAAGACTTGCTAATTTCCAAGTTTTGGATAATTGTTAACAGTACCTTATGCATATTATATGGCAGAACTTAATATTCATTATTTTATGAGATCTACACAATTCTGAAAAGTGTTTATTAATGCCTGTAATCCCAGCACTTTGGGAGGCTGAGGTGGGCAGACCACCTGAGGTCAGGAGTTTGAGACAAGCCTGGCCAGCATGGTGAAACCCCATCTCTACTAAAAATCCAAAAATTAGCCAGGCGTGGTGGCGTGCACCTGTAATCACAGCTGCTCAGGAGGCTGAGGCAGGAGAATCGCTTGAACCCAGGAGGCAAAGGTTGCAATGAGCCGAGATTGCACCACTGCTCTCCAGCCTGGGCAACAGAGCGAGACTCTGTCTCAAAAAAAAAAGGGGGGGTTATTAATCCCATTTACACAGATAAACTGAAAATCAAGGAGATCAAGAAATGTGTCCAAATCCGACATAACAAATGATTACCCAGATCTGTTTACTTAGGAAGTCCTTGTTCCACTTGCTACAAATTATATATTGACAAAAAGAAAAATGTTTTAAATTTTTTATTGAGATACAGCATTCATATGTTAAAGCACAATACTCCCTAATAAACTCCCGTTTATATATACATCTATCGTATGTCCCTCTAGAGAACTCTAGCTAATACAGACTCCATCTCTACAAAAAATATAAAAAATTAGCCAGCTTGGTAGTGCACATCTTTAGTCCCAGGTACTCAAGAGGCTAAGGTGAGAGGATTGGTTGAGCCTGGGAGATCAAGGCTGCAGTGAGCTGTGATTGTGCTACCACTGCACTGCAGCCTGGACAATAGAGTGAGACCCTGTCTCAAAAAAAATAAAAATGCAAGACACTCAGCAATAAGTGACCCCATAGTATGTACACCCCATGGATGAATCTCCATTACAGTGTGCTAAGTCAAATAACTCAAGCCCATAAGACTACCTATTGTCATGATTCCATGTATTTGACATCTGGGAAAAGCAAAACTATACAGATTGTGAGCCCGAAATATCTGAGACAGGTCTTAGTCAATTTAGGAAGTTTATTTTGCCTAAGTTAAGAACACACCTGTGACACAGCCTGAGAAGGCCCTGATGACATATGTCCACGGTGGTCAGGGCATAGCTTGGCTTTATACATTTTAGGGAGACATGAGACATCAATCAACACATGTAAGATGAACATTGGTTCAGTCTGGAAAGGTGGGTCAACTTGAAGCAGGGAGGAGGCTTCCAGGTCATAAGTAGCTAAGAGACAAATGGTTGCATTCTTTTGAGTTTCTGATTAGCGTTTACAAAATGAGCAGAGGGATGACTTCGAGTTCTGTCTGCCCTTTGTCCTCAAGGAAATTCCTTGTGAGGGAGGTATCTACCTTTTTTGTCTTAGTAGCTATCTTTTTTGGGAATAGAATGTGAGGTGGGTTTGCCCTACACAGTTCCCAGCTTGCCTTTTCTGTTTGGCTTAGTGATTTTGGGTTCCCAAGATTTATTTTCCTTTCACAAGATAAAAACAGATCAATGGTTGTCAGACGCCAGGGGTTGGAGGAGTTAACTGCAAAGGAGTATGAGAGAATTTTAGGGGTGATGCAGCTGTTCTATATCTTGATCGTGGTGGTGGTTACATGATTGTGTGTGTTTGTCAAACTCACATAACTACTTTAAAAAGGGTAAATTTTGCTATATGCAAATTATGCTTTAATTTTTTTAAATGGAAAAAGAGCAAGATGTACCACAACATTTTTAATTTTTTAAACAGCTTTACTTTTAGTCATTCAATATAAATATGGAGTCCTGGAATATATGCAGAACCATGTCTAACTTCATGTTATTACAACTCTAGGGGTAGATCTCCAACAGTCTTGCAACTTCAGCGAGTTGTAGGATGCTCCTGGGGAATTGGTCTTTGACTGACTGTCTTGCAATAAGCATTAGAAATGTGTTATAGTTTTGTATCAATTACTTGCATCTGGCAACCAGGGTACTGTGAAGGACTCCAGAAGGTATAAGAGTACCTGTAAGAATGGCAGAGGTGAGTTTCTCATGTCTGGTGAAATCACTGCTCCACCTGGGTAGCTCCATCAGTAGCTAGATGTCATCGTAGGAGCTGGGAATATGGAAGCCTGTACCTCGGTCTGGGAGCATGACACTTTGTCTTCTCCTTTACTCCCAGAACTTTCTTCATCCCTTATTTTATCATTAAGAAGCTTTATGTTCCTGTACAGTGTCTGTTGCATCTTTCTGTCAATCATGTCCCCTGTGACATCTATAAAATGTTCCACACAAAATCTACCACCAACAGAGAATCCAAAGTAGCTCCTTGAGCCCATTTGTCTTCCTCCCTCTTTATTGGGCAGAGTCTTGGTTCTCCACTCTGGATGCAGTCCCCAAAGTTGCCCAGTTCCCAGTTTACTGACAGACTTCTCTCCTCTGTAAATACCTCATTTCTGTTCTCCCTCTTCCACTGGTGCCCCAATCTCAAACTCTCTGCATCTTAAATTTTGCTTCTCAGCCTTGTGCCTGGATTGTCATTCATTCTGTTGCCTCCAAATATTTCCTGAGGTAGAGTGTAAGGTGGTTTTGGACTCAGTGAATGGATAAAGAGAGAAAGAATGTACTTCTGTCAATCTGCCCATAGGTCAAGCAACCAGGACAGTAGCCAGACCTTTCAGAGCTCTGTAAATGACTGCCTTTTAGCACATCTGCTATTCTTATATGCCAGAAGACAACCCCCTTCTTTCTTTTATATCAGTTAGTTATGTTAGATAAGCAAATCCCTGAAGCTTCTCCTACCTTACAATATCCTGAGCCCTAAAGCTAGGTTCAGTCCCTCATGTATAATGCTACAACAATGTACTACCTTTTACCACAGCGAATCTAGATTAATTGGAGTCTTCACATATCTGGTAATTTTTTTCCGAGAGCAGAAGTCACAATCATACCAGGAGGAGTGACCACAAATGCATAATATGAAACCCAAGATCAATAAAATACTATGATTGGTCAGTTTAGCAAGTAAGAAGATGGGTAGTTATTTATACATAGGTCCATAACTGGCAGGCAAAGAAAACTCCAAACTTACAAATGGAGGAAAATGCAAGAGAATAGGAGGGAAAAACAAGGATAGCACCACAGGAGACCCCCACATTTTAAGTAATGGTTCCCAAATGTTACTCTGTGAATCAGCTGCAACAGGCCCCTCTCCAGACTGACTGAGTTAGAATCTATGGCAGGGAGTCCAGGAATCTAGACTTTAAAATTTCTCCCCAGGTGATTCTGAATATTTGACCAGGTTTGGGAACCCTATGTTTAGAGGCTGCACCAAACAAACAAACAAACAAAAAGCCTGGCACTGTTTGTTCTGTATGAATTCATATAATCCTCACTGTAATCCTCTAAGGTAGATACTATTTTTCTCTCCATTTTACAGACAAGAATCCCAGAGCATAGAAAAGTCACACAGCTAATTAAGTGTTGGAGCCCGGATTTGAACCCAGGTAATCTGGCTTTGAAGTCCACAGTAATATTTCAACAGAACCATTAAAAGGAAAGAAAACAAGCAAGCAAAACATTAAGGCACATGAAAAGGGAAGGGTAGGATGGAGGCAGATGAGAAAAATCACTTTGTAGGAAATAGGAAATTATTGTGAAATAGACATGACTTCCAGCATATAGAGGTAGGTATAGATACAAGGAAATGCTTTTCTTTGGGGCCATACGATGACAACTGTGATCTTAATGACAGTTCCAGGCAATGCAGACTCCATCAAGAAAGAAGAATAAATTGTGTCCAATAGACTGCATGAAAATTATATTATTAATATATTTAAGAAAGATGTTTAATATAAGTTAACTGTTTACACACAGCTACCCAGAAAATCCCATCAAGGAATACAGGCTGGTCTCTGAACATTCTGTCTAATGAAGTTTCTAAGTCACTGTATGTTATTTTCCTATTGTCAAGAGGGCCTCCTTTTTAGCTCTCCTAGTTGGTTACCATGATGTCATGCTTATTTGCTCTATCCTGACCTAAATCATAATAAAATTGAGATCCTTCAAAAATCCTCCTATTCAGAGCCAGAACACTAAAAGCTTATTCAGATATGAGACTATTGTCCTGATAATATCTAGTCTAGACATAGGGATTCATGCAAGAAGGTACAATTAGAATCTTTTAGTCTGGCGTTGATGTCTTGAAATACATTTTCTAAAAAATTCAATTTTAATACATGTTATTTTGTAGAGAGAACAAGGAAGCATCTTCCCCAGGTCTTCACCAGAACAGTTCATTTGTTTCTTCTTTCTACAGCCTGTAGAGCTGTCCAAGTTGTGCTCAGCAATAATGGAACCTATGACTGGCAGGCAGAATTTCTTTTGCAGCAGCCGCAGGGCTCCGCACACGCAAACGGAAGTGCTCAGCAGCTGGGACACCCACTGTCCCAGTGCCAGAGTAGCTTTTCCTGAGGTCCCACCCCAGTGGTCACAGACCTACTCAGGGCTCAAAATTTATTTAACAAGATGGTTGGTTGGCCTATGTTACCACAAATGGCCTGTGTGTGACCCTTTTTCAGAGTACAGTTATTTGCCAGAATTTTTTTTTTTTTTTTGAGACAGATTCTCACTCTGTTGCCCAGGCTGGAGTGCAGTGGCACAATCTCGGCTCACTGCAACCTCCACCTGCTGGATTCAAGCAATTCTCGTGCCTCAGCCTCACCAGTAGCTGGGATTACAGGCACACACCACCACACCCAGCTAATTTTTGTATTTTTAGTAGAGATAGGGTTTTGCCGTGTTGTCTAGGCTGGTCCCGAACTCCTGACCCCAAGTGATCTGCCCGCCTCGGTTTCCAGAAGTGCTGGGATTACAGGCGTGAGCCACCACGCCTGGCCTATTTGCCAGAATTGAAGGAAAATTTTCTTCTCCCTCTGGAGAACTCTGCTGTTAATCTTGTTGCCACTAAGGTAGCAGGCTGAGATGTTGCAGCTAAAGACCGCAGAAGAGACTAACAACCCAATTAAGTTATAATTAGCTGAACTATTTCAGGTGTTTTTAATCAATGCTCTCCTTTCCGTAAATCATAGGAAAGGTCTTCAGGGGAGAGGGAAGAAATGATGCTTCTATATTAATGCAAATATACACTTGTTGAAGGGCTGGATGAAGGCACAAACATCTACTTGGTTGTCTTACTCTTGGAATTAATGCTGACCTCCTCTTTCTTGCTCTTCTCTCTCTCTTACCTCCTCACAGACATACCCAGACACCTGACTGCCAACTGCTATAGAAACCCCTCATATAGAACAATGAGAACACATGGACACAGGGATGGGAGCATCACACACTGGGGCCTGTCGGGGGTGAGGGGAGGGAGAGCATTAGGACAAACACTTGATGCATGTAGGGCTTAAAACCTGGATGACAGGTTGGTGGGTGCAGCAAACCACATGGCATATGTATACCTATGTAACCTGCACGATCTGCACACGCATCCCAGAACTTAAAGTTAAAAAAAAAAAAAACTCAAATATTTTGAGTGTGTCCACTCTGCTCCTGCCCTCAACCCTACTTTCTTTCAATGCCTATCCCACACTGTTATGGGGCAGTCTTTCCAACATGCAAACCCAGTCACATCAGTCCTCTTGACTAACAGTTTTAATGGTTCCTCATGTTTCCATTTTGATTGAATTGCCATGGAAGGTATTTCCTCAATTAACCCCAGCCCACCTCTTCAGTCCACCCCACCCACACAGCCTGGCCTTTTGGTCCCACTATGCCAAGCTATTCATGGCTCACAGAATAAGCCATGCTCTGCCCCAACTCATGCTTCCAAGCAGCCAGTGGCCTCAGCCTGCAAGGCCCCCTTTCTCCTCCCCACCCCTTGGTCACCACCTTGGTTTCCACCGTGGCTCTAAAGACTCTTCTGGTGACTCAGGCAAAGGAAATGTATCTCCTTTCTGTGCATCTCCTGGCTGTGTGTTCTCTTCTCAGTTCGCTCTGCTCCTTCCTACTTTGTTCTCGTGGCTGTCCCAGATATTCAACCAGTTTGATTGAAGACATTCAATTTGTTGAGGCAGAAACATGGAGCAGTTTTATCTTGCAAATGGCTGCTACCAGCTGTGTGTTCCTGTCACTGGCTCTCCTTTCCCTCTAGGGACCCAGTCCCCTTAACAATATTTGATTCTCTGTCATAACTCATAAGTCGTCACTTGTGTTTATTAAAACAATCTGGTCTGGTTTCCCATCTCATATATGGTTCAAACTCTCTCTCCCCAGGGTAAGCTGGACTAGGCTGGGTAGGGGGCAGATCTTATGTCTGAGACTGTCCCCTTCTGACTCATGATGTCACAGTGAAGAGGAGGAGGAGTTTCTCTAAGTCATTGTTTTCTTCATTGGCTTCAGTGGAGCTGAAGTTGCTGGTGACTCTGCTGTTGTTGACAGCCCTGTGTGTGTGTGTGTGGGTGGAGAGGAGTGTTATATAAAGAGTTAATATGGTCAGATGGAAGCCCCAAAACCTCCACGGAAGAGGACTCAGTTCCAAGAAGGTCCCCTGAGCATTGGTGGTTCCTTCCCGGGAGAACCTACCATAGTTTCCAGCTGACTCCCAGCTGGAGGCACCACACCATGGCCTTGGTATCTGTTCCTCTTTACCTCCTGCCACAATTTCTTTTTTTGAGGCAGAGTCTCACACTGTCACCCAGGCTGTAGTGCAATGGCATGATCTTGGCTCACTGCAACCTCTGCCTCCCAGGTTCAAGTGATTCTCTTGCCTCAGCCTCCTGAGTAGCTGGGATTACAGGCGCACGCCACCAGGCCCAGCTAATTTTTTGTATTTTTAGTAGGGATGGGGTTTCACCATGTTGGGCAGGCTGGTCTCAAACTCTTGACCTCGTGATCCTTCCACCTCGGCCTCCCAAAGTGCTGGGATTACAGGCGTTAGCCACCATGCCCAGCCCTCCTGCCACAATTTTTATTGAAACAACTTGGTGCTCTTGCTTTGATTTAAAATAGATAAAAAACACTGAATTTATTGTGAATTGTTTTTTTTCTCTTGGCTCTCTTAAAAATCTGTTTCTCTATGGGCTAAATTAGTGTATCATATGGGCCAAATCACTTTTTAAAAATAGGTAATTTTCAATCATAAATAAAGGCTGGTGCAGTGGCTCATGCCAGCACTTTGGGAGACCAAGGCAGGTGGATTGCTTGAGCCCAGGAGTTTGAGACCAACCCGAGCAACACGGCGAAGCCCTATATCTACAAAAAAATACCAAAATTAGTCAGGCATGGTGGTGCGCATCTGTGTGGTCCCAGTTACTCAGGAGGCTGAGGTGGGAGGATTGACTGAACCCAGGAGGTCAAGGCTGCAGTGAGCTGAGATCATACCACTGCACTCCAACCTGGGTGACAGTGAGACCTGTCTCAATAAATAAATAAATATCCATGGATCTTTAAACTATAATTAGATCTTAGAGGCAATCTTGCCCAGCATTTCTCAAAGTATGCTCTGAAGAACTACGAGAGATTCTGTGAAGGCAGTACTCAGTGGCCAAATACGTTTGGGAAATGCCATTCTTATTCTGTAGAACTCCCTCTCAGAGAGTCATCCCAGATGTCAGAATATCAAAAGCCCCGAGAAGTCCCATGGTAAATAAACCTGGTCAATGTTCTTGAACCTAAGATTTTGCAAAATGATTTGAGCTCTGAATTCCCCATCTGCACTTTTTACCCTGCGTGCCACCTATTGATCCAGTTTGGGACGTGCTGGCCTGAGTGATGAGTCAGTGGTATATGCTGGAAATAATATTAAGAAATGGTAGTTACAGGGCTGGATCCATCCTCTTTGTGCTCTGTAGTCCCCCGGGCACAGAGTTTTGTCTCGACATCACTGCTCCAGCATCTATAAAACATGGGACACTCCAGTTCATTGCAGCTTCCACCTTTGACAAGATAGGTATTACAAAATGACCTTGTGATTCAGCTGCCAAAAATTAACAGTAAAGCACCAGTAACTCTGTGAATCCTACTAGATTCAGTTTTTAAAATGTATAAACCATTTGTCAAAAGGCAGAAAGGTGGATATTGGAAAAGGAAAAACAGATTAATTTTAAACTACTTGACTCAGATATAATCATGAAAAATCAAGGAGGTGAGTTATCAACCATTTTAGTTTTTGTATATATTTGGAGTAATATAGAATATTTTTTACATACAATTTTTTTCACACACAAGTTCTCATCATACATATTACTAAAGATGGATAATACCTAGGTTATGAAAACCATATAAACCTGGATTAATCAATTTTTCTTATGTGGTTTTATCAGGCTGTTACAAATCAATTTTAAAAAGACAGGAAAGCAGCTAAATTTGTTGTTAATTCTCTGAAGTTGTTGGATAGAAGTAAAAATTCAACCTCAACCCCATATTAAATTCAAGCATTTGGAATCTTAATTCTAAAATTTAGAACTATAAAAAGAAGAACATTCTAAAAAAATGTGTGTGCGACCTGTTTTTTGCTTTGTTTTCTACCTAACTTAATTCTGCCACCCAGCTGAATATTTCAGGTTTCCTTGGTGGAACGCAGGCTGAGTGCTGAAGGGCTCTAGTCACCTGAGAATGGCATCTGCCTGCCCGTCACCATGCCAACACCCCTGGCTACAAAAAAGGGATTTCCCCTTTTTCCAGTCTTCCCTCCCATGTGGGACAGGTGCATGCACCCCTACTCCAGGAAGGGCACCATTCCTAATTACAATTGCTTCCTTCCCTCCACTTTTGTGTGAGAGAAGAAAGCTTGAGATGCAATCCTTTGTCTTTTCAAACATGATTCTTTTGGTTTTGTTTTGTTTTCTCGCTATTCTTACTGACGTCTTTGTGTGGTGCAGCGGCTGGGATCCCACTGCATCTACATGGCAACCAGGAAATCAGTCATTCAGAGTTTCCATGGTAACCAGAGGGGGGGAGGGGTGGAAAAATCCATTTTATCACGGTATGCTGTGTCCCTTCCTGGAAGCCTACAGAATTTTTAGACAGAGGTCATTATGAAATCAACAACAACAACAAACGCCCGTTGGCATCAAGACAGGCCTGTGAACTGGCATCCCCAGGCAGGCTGCAGACTGGGAGGGTGGGAGTGAGCATGCAGCTGACCCCACCATGAGGCACAGGGCGTCGCCTTCTCCCCTCAGCACAGAGGAGAGGTGACGAATGCCACTTGGTCTCTGCAGCGTCTGTAGAGGGAAGTCTGTAAGCGGGAGTGTCAACCCCAATTGGCAGATTCTCTGACACTTCAAGTCTGCAAAGGAAAAGCAGGTAACCGACGTTGTGTAAGAAGTGAGCCTCTTGGTTTGGGTGGGGGCACAGCTCTACTTTTATGGTAAGAGTAGCCCTGACTACGGAAGTGGGCTGAAGGGTGCTGTCCCAAGAAAAGCGGAAGTATCTGTTGAGTCTTGTTTCCTGTCACATCCTGGAGCTGAAGGTAGTCACATTTCAAATTTAAAAAAAAGAAAGTCATGTGAAGTTAACCAGTGAGATTATCTTTTACAGGCAGGATAATTAGAATCCTCAGTGGTGTAGAATCTTCCACCTACAGGCGGGTTGAGTTTTATCACAGACGAGAGGGGCCATGGACCCTCAGAAGGCCTTAGCTCCTGGATTTATTTAGTCTGACCTTTGGAGAGTCAAATTACCAAGAGGTGATCGCACTTCCAACTAAAATTGAGAATGTGCTCCTTGATTTTAAAAAGTCTTCTAATGGCGATATTCTAATAGGCCAGGACATAGGGATGTTACTCTATGAATACAGGTCCTTTTTCTTTTTTTTTTTTTTTTTTTTTTTTTTTGTAAAATGAAAAATTACCTCTCATCTTCCTTTTTAACAGTGGAAGATTAGGCTTTTCCTTTTTCCTCTTTGGAAATTGAGATGAACAAATTCTTGATTTCCTTCCCTCTTCACTCCACACTGCCCCCTCCACTCTCTTGAGTCCATCCTAGTAAATAGCTCCACCAGTCACCATTCACTTTGGAGTCTTCCTCACCCTTACTCTCCTTCCCTCACATCCAAGTCAGCAGCAAATTCTTATAGCCCTAGTTTCAAAATAGAGCCTGAATCCAATCTCTCCCCCTTGCCTTTACTATTTGTCATCCTAAGCCAAGCCAACATCATCTTTCTAAATTCCAAAAGGCCCTCCTCATTGTTCTAGTTTCTATTTTGGCTAGCGTCATTCTGGTCTCACAATGCAAGTCAGATCATGTCATGCCCTTGTTCAGACCATTTCCCACCCCGTGGCTGTACATCACACTCAGAATACAACCGTGACCAACAAAACTCTATGAAGTATAGCCCCCGACTACTGCCCCATCCTTATACCCTATGTGTGCATTCTGCTCTATCCATGCTGACCCCTCCTTGATGCTTCTGAACACACCCAACTTCTGCAGTCTCAGGGGAGAGTACTGTGCACTTGTTGAAATATTCTTCCCTAGATGTTAGGAGGCCTCCTCTCACTTCCTTCAGGTCTCTGTCTAAATGTCTTCTCCTGCAGGAGGATGTTTGTATCAGCCTGGGTATATTAGGAAATAGAAGGCACACCATTTTTAGGAGAATGAAGGGAGTATTTACAGAGGTATGTGTGGGGATCAGGAAACCAACAGCAAGATCTGATGCCACACCTAGGCTCGAATGGGCTAGTGTTGGAGGAATGCAGAGATTTGCAGTCCTGGACACCTGTGGGGCTGCCCAGAAGAAGTTGTGGTTCTTGAGGAAGGAAACCAGGACCAGAGAAGAATGCTGAGGAATAGACACACTGACCTCACTTTCTACCCGCTGGTCTAACACAGATGGAAATCAGAGATCGAGGGAGTTGGAGTAATGAAGTACTGGGTACTATACAAGTTATCTACTGGTATATAACAAATGATCCCCAAAACAGCGGTTTCATACAATATATACTTTTTTTCTCTTATAGTTTCTGTGGGTCAGGAATTTGGGAGCAGCTTATCTTAACATTTCTGGCCCTCAGTCTAACTTGAGGTTACAGTCAAAATGTCAGTTGTTTGAAGGCTTGTCTGGGGTGGAGGATCCATTTCCAAGGTGGCTCGCTTACATGGCTGGCAAGTTGGTGCTGGTTGTTGACAGGAGACCTAAGATCCTCCCCACATCGACCTCTCCACAGGGCAACTTGAGTGACCTCACAACATGGCACCTGGTTTCCCCCAGAGCAAATGCTCAAGGAGGCCAAGGTGGAAGCTACAGGGCCTGTTATGACCTAGCCTTGAAAAATCACACATTGTCACTTCAGCCACATTCTATTAGTCACACAGATCAGTTCTGACTCAGTGTGGGAAGAGACTATACCAGAGTATGAACAGTAGAAGCCAAGAAATAATTGAGGGCCATCTTGGAGAGCAAAGCAAAGTGGAGAATGAATTGAAAAGGGTGAGGGAGGAGATGGCGATCAGAGAATAACCAGCACCCTTCCTTGATCATTCAATTTAAAATACTGGGTACATTCCTGCTGCTCTGTTCCCCTTCACTGCTTTATTTTTCTTCTCAAAATTTAATGCTACCTGACATATTTATTTGTTAATGATTTTATTTTTGCATTCCCTCACTATCATGTAAAATCCATGCGATCAGAAACACTGTTTTGTTTCCTTCTGGCACCTAGTAAACTTCCAATAAATATTTGTATATTCAAATGTATAAATTATACCTAATTTTAGATACAAAGCAAATGCTTTTTTTTTTTTTTTTTTTGAGACAAGGTTTCACTCTGTTGCCCATGATGGAGTGCAGTGTCATGATTGTTGCAGCTCATTGCAGCCTCTATCTTTTGGGCTCAGGTGATCCTCCCACTTTAGCCTCCCAAGTAGTTGGGACTATAGGCGGGTACCACCATGCCTGCCTAATAAAAAATAAATGCTTTTAAATGGCCAATTCCAGTAATATCCCCATCCTTTTTAAACCAAAAAGTTGTTCCTCCCAACCCAACTCCATCCCTAAAAAGACTAATACTAATCACGGAATTAAAACTTTGTTTCTGGGAGTTTTGAAAGCAGCATAGTTGCCTCTTGGTCCTTTCTCTTTCTTCAGCTTCTGTTGTTTTCATTTGGCTGTTCCTTGGAGATTTTATTTTTGTTTTTTGCACTCCCACCCTTAATTTTAGAAGCAAGTTTTCATATTTCTTCCTCTTAAAGTAAGTTGCCTCTTATGTGGCTGTTAAAATTGCCTGTTTATGTGGCTCCCATTTGAGTTCTCTTTGCGGCAATCTTATTTAAAAAACAGCTCTCATGAAAAAAATAAACCCCTCCCTCCTAATCTTCTTCCTTATTCTCTTTCTTCTGTTTATTCCTGAAATCTACCAAGTGTACCAGTGAAAATTTCTTGTCTTCTGTGGCACATATGAGGCTAAAAAATTGCTGACCTATGGTTACTGACAGTCGGAGGAAAAGAACAGATTACAAGCAGAAAAACATTTCTTCTGGGCACTGGGGAACATGTAGAGTCCATTGTATTAGGCTGTTCTTGCATTGCTATAAAGAAATATCTGAGACTGGATAATTTATAAAGAAAAGAGGTTTAATTGGCTCTCCATTCTGCAGTCTGAACAGGAAGCATGGTGCTGACATCTGCTCAGCTTCTAGGGAGGCCTGAGGAAGCTTACAATCATGGTAGAAGGTGAAGAGGGTTCAGGCACATCACATGGCAAAAGCAGGAGCAAGAGAGAGAGAGTGGGAGGGGGGTGCCACCCACTTTTAAGTGATCAGATCTCCTGTGAACTCAGAGTGAGAGCTCACTTATCACTAAGGGAATGTCCCAAGCCATTCATGGGGGATCCACCCCCATGATCAAAACACCTCCCACCAGGCCCCACCTCCAACACTGGGAATTACAGTTCAACATGAGATTTGGGTGGGGACAAATATCCAAAGCATATCACCTGCATAGGCAATGCCAACCCACCGTGGAGCTTATGTACACAATGTTATCCCAGTTAATTGATTATAAGAAAAGGCAGCCTCAGGAACATTTGCACCCAAATCTAGAGAGGGTGGAAGGATGATTTTTGTCCTCCATCAGCCCTAGAAACTGATGACAAATTAACACATTTCCAGATACCAAGTGGGAGAAACCAGCCCCTTAGCTTATAAAACAGGTTCCCTTGGAGCGGGGAGATAATCTGGTGTCAAAAGATATAACTTGGCTCCCCATATGCATACTCATCATTCTACACAAAATCTACACAGAAATCTTCATTGTAAATGCTTTGATCATAAGATGCACTTCGTATCACCATCAGCTTTTGACCCAATGGTACTGGAGCAGCAGTTTTGACTCTTATACTAAGAGTACATACTAACCTCATCATTTACTTATATCATAAATGGGAACAGTGAGTTTCTATTGTTCTTGTGGAGTTCATTTACTCATTTGACAAAGATTTAGTGAGTGCTTACTGTATATCAGGCACCATCAAGACCCTGCCTGATCAAGAACACAATTGTTCTTTTCCTACAGACTTAAGGGTAGAAAGATGTTTTTATTTTCCCATCTGATGACTGTCATAGATGGTGAGTCTTTGAAGAGTTTCCTTAGACAGTTATTCCATAATGAAATGGGAGTCTGTCTCACTAATAAATAGATTAAGCAAATATGTCCATTCTGAACACTTTAATTTCTTCTTTAAAATCTTATCTTTTCTCTAGTGGTGCCTTCTCAGCTGTGGGGCATGAACAACTTTCTTCTCTCTTGCCTATAGTATTTGTGGTTATTGCTGCCACGTCCTTCAGATATAAAACCATTGATGTATGTAATCCTTAAATAAAGGTGCAGGTAATGTCATTTTTCCACTTTTACATCAGCTCTGCACCAAGTGTGTTGCTGGAATTTTGGCAGGATTTACTGAAGTCATATTATGCTGTTAATTTTCAGTTTATGCAAATCTACTTTCTAGATGTAAAAATTTAGCAGTGAGGGTGTACGTAAATATTTTAACGGTAAATAAATGACTTGGCTGTGGTCTGGGTAAATTTCAGTATTCTGAACTAGGAAGGAATCAATGACCATAACTGATCTTGAGCCTGTAACTCACTCTTTTCATTGGAAAATAAAATCATAAACAATAATGTATAATGAACAAACTTGCCATACTAACAGATACTATAGGACTTTGTTAACATTTTAAAAATTAAAAAGAGCCCTACAGAAACTTGACTTATCTTCCTCCTCCTAAAATGAATCTCTGGACCTTACTTGTCATGTTTTTGCCTTTATTCATATATGCAAATAAGATTTATTGCACACCTACTGTGTCCTATGCACTGAGCACTGTGCAAGGCACCAGAGATACAAGACTGAGTAAGACATTACCTATGAATTCTAGGATTTCACATGTGGTTGAAGATAGAGGTAAATGTGCAATGATAATACAATGTGATAAGAGCTATAACCAGGATGAAGAAGTGGTAATTTGTCGGGGCAGGGGAGGGGTCCCTAGCTTAGTCATTTTCCTTTATAAAACTGCACAAAAATAGTAATTCGCTAAGGAATCTTAATTATAGATTATTTTTGCCAAGTCAATAATTTGAGACTTACAATTGTACTCTATACTACATAATTCTTCTCTGTTGAAATTTCCCTGTGTAATCATACAAGTAATACTTAAAGAATGTTGAACAGCTTCTTACTAAAGTAACGGAAATCATTTTAGCAACATTTCATGAGAAGTGTTTTGCATCACTGCAAATGTACCTTCAGAGTTCACAGATTTGCCAGAAGAGCAATCAATTGACAACGCTTTCCTTCATAAGAGCTTTCTACATATAGTGGGACTTCATTATCATCTAAGTCAAGAACAGATTTTTTTTTCCTGCTGGTTTAATGTTATTACTTGGTCGGTAACTTCAGGGTCTTTCCTTTTCCAAAATCACTATCACATTTCCCCCCTTGCTACATCCTCTTCTCATTTTTTGATTTCTGGGGACATTTTTGGTAATATTTTAAGCAGCCTTAGTAGTTGTTCACTCATTCTCTTAAATTTTTAGCTGATTTTATAAAATGTTCTGGTATTTTCAAAATGGTCAGTAGTGGTCATAACTTTCTTCCATAGGACCTAATTGTTTATATTCAGTTAAAGTTAACAAACAAATACTGAGTGCACGCAATGTACAAAGTGCTGTGCGAGGTGGGTGCTGAAGATGAAGAGATGCGAGACCTAGCCCTTGCCCTCAGGGAGTGGCAGGTCTAGTTATCACACTCTAGTGGACTCTGATGAAAGGGACACATTCACAAGCCATAGTTCCCTCCACTGCTATGGTTCTGTTCGTGAAATTCTGTCATAGAAAATTCAAAATGAGAACCTGAAAACTTAGGTACAGAATAGAGCCAGAGGAGCCAAGGAAGGTCACAAGTAAATTTATGAAAACCCCTTCCAGTAGGGAAATCAACAAAGACATAAAGAAAAATGCCTTCAAACAGCTCCTTTAATTTCCTATCCTCTTTTGCCAACCTATTTACTGACAAAATAGATCACACTGTCTGGTCTACATTTTTGGCACAGAAAAACTAAGTCTTGCCTTTCTGCCTTGCCTATAAATTATTGGAGTTATTATTGTATAGCTTTTCTTTCAAGATACTTCAAAATGACTTACATGTGTGATATTAATCTTGCAGATTTGTATCCTTTAATTCTGACATTCCTTTTAAAGGACTATTTTTCCAAGGCTTTGTGGGTGCACAGTGTTCTCTAACCTCTGTCACACTTTGCTGCTAACTCCCTCTTCTTGATCTTGTTGCCCGTTTCCTGTTGTCCCTGAATTTCTTTTTTTTTTCTTTTTTTTTTGGGACAGAGTCTCGCTCTGTTGCCCAGGCTGGAGTGCAGTGGCACTATCTTGGCTTACTGCATCCTCTGCCTCCCAGGTTCAAGTGATTCTCCTGCCCCAGCCTCCCAAGTAGGCGTGCACCACCAGGCTAATTTTTGTATTTTTAGTAGAGATGTGGTTTCACTGTGTTGGCCAGGCTGGTCTCAAACTCCTGACCTCAGGTGATCTGCCTGCCTTGGCCTCCCAAAGTGCTGGGATTACAGACGTGAGCCACCATGCCCGGCCTATCCCTGAATGTCTATATTGATCTTCAGGGACTTTGTGGAAGCAACAAGTTTTACTTCGCAGAATCAGTGTTTCTGTTTTTATGGTAGTAACACATTTGGTTTAAATTCTTTCACCTGACCCCAGTCAATAGCCCAGCTCCAACTTCTGCTGGTGGAGGAAGGGTTTGGAACAGTTTCTGCTTATGGGAAGACCAGAACTTCAGAAACATACAAGGCAGCCCTGGTCTGGGGAGTGTGGAGCCCTTGTTCCTAGTAGCCTGGTCAAACTCTCTCTGGGCACAACTGTTGGTATCCACAGCAAGGCCTCCATGGCTCTTTTTTAAATTTTTTCTTTGTTTTTATTTTTATTTTTTAGGTAGAGTCTTGCTTTGTTGCCCAGGCTGGAGTGCAGTGGTGCTATCTTGGCTCACTGCAACCTCCTCCTCCAGGGTTGCAAGCAATTTTCCTGCCTCAGCTCCCCCCGAGTAGCTGGGATTACAGGTACCCGCCACCACGCCTGGCTAATTTTTGTATTTTTAGTAGAGATGGGGTTTTGCCATGTTGGCCAGGCTGCTCTCAAACCCCTGACCTCAAGTGATCCTCCTACCTTGGCCTCCCAAGGTGCTGGGATTACAGGCGTGAGCCACCGCACCCGGCCGGCCGTGGCTCTTTCTTACCTACTTCCGGCTCTGGCTATGCCTCCCTCCCGTCTTTTGCCTTCTCCCTGCCTGTGTCCCTCTGTGCTACTGTCCTCTTCAGTAAGACCTCAGGCTTCATGGTTAGCCCTCCTCCAGCCGCCTTCTTCAATCTCCATCTACTCTTGGCCTCCTTACCCATCCCCTTCCTCTCCTCATCAACATTTATGTTTGTTTTCTCGTGAGGGGTTAGGAAAGCAAGCATCTTTAACTCATTCATCACCGATAGCCTCCCCAGGAGTGTATGTATATATGCAACACACACATGTATACATATATGTGTGACATTTCAGGCAATATCAGAGAAGGATCTGGGGGGCTTCGCACTACTGGCTGTGCCCAGAGCAAAAGGAGAGAACTCATGGTTCCAACACATTTCTCTCTGATGAAAGAGTTGGCTATCACTCTTCATGTCCCTTGTCCCACTAGCTTTCGTGCTGGGCCGTGAGACAGAGACTGGCATTTTTCATTAGTGAAGGCCAGGCACTCTCTCTCCAGAAAGATTAGTTCTGCCCACCCACCCCCTGACTCTCTTCGAGCCAAATATGATTCAGTCTTCTTGGCTCCTAACAGCTGGGCTTAGGCTCAGATGTCTGGAGGGAGAGAATGATCCTGTGACACACAGATCAGATCATGATTATATCTTTTTGAAGAACTCTTTAAAGAGGCTTCTATTCCCTTTAGCTGATCCAAGAAATGCCTGGAATTCTAGCTTTTCTGTGATAAAATAACAGCTCAGTAATTTATTTATTCTTGATTACTATTCAGCTGAACAATTAAGCAAGCCATTAAATGTACCATCAATGTGTAAGAGTGGACAAGATTTATGACTACATGGATTTACCTTTTTGTTCCCATTTTACTCTTCCTTCTTCCCTGCAGCCCACACATGCACTCAAGGGCTGGCTTTGCTGGCACAGCTGATGGCTCCTTTCTGATAGGAAACAGAGAGAGAGAGAGAGAGACTGACCAACAGACCTACCTATCAAAGCTGAGACAGGGAAGAAAAAGTAGGGAGGGCTCAGCCACAGAAGGCAAGTCAATCAAAAAATAAAGAACTAGGCTGTAATCCCAGCACTTTGGGAGGCTGAGGCAGGTGGATCACCTGAGGTCAGAAGTTCAAGACCAGCCTGGGCAACATAGCAAAATGCCATCTGTACAAAAAATACAAAAATTAGCTGGGCATGGTGGGTTGGCACACGCCTGTAATCCCAGCTACTCGGGAAGCTGAGGCAGGAGAATCACTTGAACCTGGGAGGTGGAGGTTGCAGTGAGCTGAGATTGTGCCACTGCACTACACCCTGGGTAACAGAGCAAGACAGTCTCAAAAAAATAAAAAATGAAAAAATAAAGAACTAGCTGGGCATGGCGGGGGAGGAGAGAGAAGGAGGTGTACAGCATTGCAGAGAGATTAAAGAGTTTGGGGATTTGGCATATGAGATGCTCTGGGACAGTTGGAATGTGGCAAAGATTTGAGAGTGCAGAAGGGGATGTGAGAAGTGTTTCTAGCTTATTCATCAGTCTCTTTAAAGTTCCTACAGAGATACAAATAAAGAATAGCTTTCTTTTTAATATTTCTTTTCTTTTTTGTTGTTGTTGTTCGAGACGGAGTCTTGCTCTGTTGCCCAGGTAGAGTGCAATGGCAAAATCTTGGCTCACTGCAACCTCTGCCTCCTGGGTTCAAGTGATTCTCCTGCCTCAGCCTCCTGAGTAGTTGGGACTACAGGCGTGCACCACTACACCCGGCTTATTTTTGTATTTTTAGTAGAGATGGGGTTTCACTGTGTTGGCCAGGCTGGTCTTGAACTCCTGACCTAGTGATCTGCCTGCCTTGGCCTCCCAAATTGCTGGGATTACAGGCATAGGCCACTGAGCCCAGCCTTAATATTTATTTTCTAATTACTTTTTTGTTGCCAGACTATGCTTCTTTATAAGAAGTTCAATGCAGAAATGGAACTAGGAGTTGTCCCAGAATTTTTTAGGCTTGCCCATATAACAAATATTCAGAATTTTGTGTGCATGTGCCATGGATTTCTATAGAAAATTTGCAAAATATATATATAGAGAGGGAGGGATTTTATTTCTTACCCCATGACCAACTTCTCATTTTTGAGACTTCCTTTTCCTCCCCTCACTCAAAGGAATGGAATTTCTGCCAATGATGCCTTTTCATTATACAAACATCTGTTGACTCTGCTGTGTGACAAGCAAATGTGGACCTAACCTTAATGGACCCAAATGCTAATGGGTGAGATGCACATCTAACAAAACCTGAAAATAATGGCTTTAGTGCTGAAATGGAAGTAGAGGCAAGGCACCAGTCATACTCACAGAAAAGGAAGCACCTGCCTAGTTTCCACGGCCAGGGAAGGCTTCTGAGAAAAGCTGAGTCCTAAAGGATAAGTAGGGGTTTACTAGCAGGCAAAATAGAGGAAGGGATAGGGCATTTCTGGCAACAGAAATAGCATGTGCCAAGATGCAGGGAGAAAGCAGCACAGTCCCATCAGGAACCTGTTGTGAAGGTTGTAGGATATAAGGCTGCGACAGGCCCTAAGGTGAGAATGTGGACAGGTGACATCACAGAAGGCTTTGTATGCCATGCAGAGGAATTAAGGCATATATCCTGTAAGCAACCTGGAGGGGAAGATACTGAAGAATTATAGTAGGAAAGTGACTTGATCAACTCTCCATCTCAGCAATGTACTTCTGATGGGGATGGCTTCGAAGAGAGACTGGAGGTAGGAGGACAAAGTAGAAAGTATTGTAATTGCACAGAAAAAACCAAAGCATTTGTAAAATAAGACAGTGGCAAGAGGAAGAGAGAGGAGGGGTTTGGGCAAGGAGATAGTTTGGTGGTGAGAAGGAAAGGAAGAGGAACTTTAAATCAGATTGGGATAACAAAGATAAAAGGTTTTGGGATTATTCTTATATTCCTGATGTGGGCAACTGGTTTGTATTCCTCATTAAATGAAATGGAGAATATAGAAAGAGGAACAGGCTTTGGATGAAGGTATAGTACATAATTTGGGGATTATTAAACATAACTCCAAGGAACATCCAGCTAGAAAGCTCAATAACATAGGAGAGACATCAGGCCAAAATTATGTCCTCCTCATTACCCAACCTCCGCTACCAGTAGATGTAAGAAATACAAGGTATTAATGCCTGCAAATAGGCCATGCATGAATGTTAGAGTATTTTACAGACTTTGTTTTACCCAGTGATAAAATGTACTGGGATAGGCTCATGGTTAGCAATTGATGCATAAACTATTAATGGCGAGATGTCATTTTCCTAAGAAATTAACACTTTGCAAACTTGGTATGCAAACTTGTGTTAAGAGCTCTAAACTGGATTAATCTATCCTGGCCAAGCTATACCCCCACACTTTACTTTTCTCTCCTGAAAAAGAGGCTATTAGGACCAGTTGAAAAGCAATGAGGTATTAATGAAAGAGAGGTCTTAAAATCTAGTTTTTAGCTTTGTATAGAGTTTTGTTGGCACCTCCCAACACTGGCGATTAACCTACTGTGAGTTTTATAAGGGCCAGAGATGGAAGAACTAATTAAAAGGCAGCAGGCAAAATTCCTAGAGATTTTATTGTTTGAAAGAGGTTTTCCTATATAGGCTTAAGTATAAATACCAACCTATATAGGCTTAAATATAAATACCAACCATCGGAGGATGGTTGAGAGAGAGTTAGAAACAAAAAGACACAAAAAATTACTGTACTTGAATCTAGAGTTTATGCCAGAACCTACTTGTCTAAAATTAACCATAGTCTTGTTTCCAACCATTAATAACATGCTTCTCATTTTTCTTAGACTTGGCATCATGCATATTTAAATTTACATTTAAAAGTTCCTGGTAACCTTTGGCACAAGGGTTCCTGGTTTGGAGATAACTCACATGTTGGTGGATTCATGCCCAATCCCTCTCACTACTGCATTTCTATCTGCTGGTGGATCAAAGCTAGTTGCTCATTTTCAATCTTAAATCAATCCATTTTGTAATTTTCAGGTGTGAGTGAGTTGACATCAGGGTCCTTTTTGATGAAAGATTTCCTTGAAAAAATAAGCAAACTGTTCAAATCAAAACAAAGGGTGTTTTGGGACTGTCTCAGAACATTTCATAGAAATTAAATTCTGTACCTTCTAGGTTAACGTGCTGTGGTCCTCACGATGTGTTTGGAAGGCTCAACTGGAGAGTTATTCTCCATCAGTCCTAGATTTCTAACATTTCCTGTTAGTTTACTTGCTGGAGGATTAAGGCAAAACTGGATTAAAAAGGAGGAGTTGGGGAATTAACTGTTTCCTGGCAAGATTAGCTTTCCAGGCACTGATTCCTGAGAAGAGGTGTTTTTTGTTGTTGTTGTTTTTGTTTTTAACTCCATAATGTTGCCTGGACACTAGAACAGGATTCCCCTTCCCCCATCTCATGTTTAATCTGTAGCTTCCCCAAAGTACCTTGTGTTAGTACTAGGGGGAGAATGACTCACACGTTGAATAAATTGTTATTAAAGCATCTGGGCTCAATTGTGAACATACTAATAGTGAGGAATTGGAAAACCAAGTACTGGTGAGGGTTCGGCTGCTGACTGGCGAAATCACTTGCTGAATGTGAGGCCCAACATCCTCTAAAAATAATAAGAGTTAATATGTGCCGAATACGTCCTATATCCCCAGAACTATTATTAGCACCTTGTATACCATCTCATTTAATCCTCATATTTCCAATGTAGAGCATGACTATCATCAACTATGTTTTGCAGATGAGGAAACTGAGGCACATAGATGTTAAATAATTTGCCCAAGTTCATACAGTCATTAATGGCAATTTGGATTGAAATTCTGGCAGACAGAGACAGCTTGCAGGCTCTACCCTGGTGGGTTCTACGATATTACCTCCTAAGATGAAGGGAAGGGACTGGAGGATCATGAGGGTCCTTCAGCCCTACTAGTGTGTGTGGAATGGGGAGAGGAGTATTCAGTTTCTCTGTTGGGAATGTGCAGCATTCAGCACCACCTCATTCCTTCCCATCTATGAGAATCTTTTGGGAATAGTCCTCACTATTAGGCCTATAGGTAGCATTGCCAACTTGGTTTAGTTCCCGTGCCCCATAAGAATACTTATCAGGGCCATTCTTTTCTGAGCATGTGGGTTAAGTAAGATCTCAGTGGTAGTGGGACCTTGGAGAAATGAAGCCTCTGAAATGTTGGCCACAGAGAAAAATGCTGCAGTGAGAAGCTGCAAGCTGCAAGCTGCAAGCTCCCAGCTAGCTGGCTTGATGGGGACCACAGTAAATCAGGAGGAACAGTGGAGGCTGGTGTGGGATCTCGGGGGCCAGAACCTGGCCAGGGGATGTTGACCCAAAAAAAAACAGCAGCAGCAGTAGAAACAACAACAGCAAGAACAACAATAGCAACAAGCCAGGTTCAGGCTAAAAAAGCAGGCAGTGTGCCAGGAAGGGGGCCGACTGAGCAGTGTGTGGAAGCTGTCGTGGAGGTGACCGTGGGGGGATGAGAAAAGGGGAAGGAAGGAACAGACAGCACCAGAGGGACTTGAACAAAGGGAGAAGGGGGATTAAAGTCAAATCACTGTCAGCAGCCCAGGAGCAGACAAAACCACCAGAGTAAGCCCTGAAATGGAAATGAGAGGGAAAAGAAGCAAGCCGCTAACAGCTACCAAGAAGAGGAGGAAGTGGGAGATGCGCTGCTTCCTGTAGAAAGAACGTTGATTGAAGACAAAGCTGGGTGGGGACTAGTCCCTGGGCTGCAGCCGCTGCTACACATACTCACAACGCTGCCGCCGCGCTCCGTGGGCAACTCCTACTACTGCTGGGCTGGGCTGGGCTGGGCTGGGCTGCGCCGGAGCTCGCCTGCACAGATCAGCTCCGGAGAGGGGAAAACCACGCTCCTCGGACCAAGCCTCGGGAGCTAAGGTAAATGAAACGTTTTCCATGTTGCTCGTTTTTAATTGAGAAAAACGACCGTCGCTTGTGGTTTTAAGGTCCGATTTCTAAGGGATGATAGAGACATCGCTTCAGGACTAGGGGAAATGATTAGATTCTTTTGGAAGGGTCTTTGAGAATAACCACATTTATGACACATTTGATTTAAAAAAACCTCATCATCAGTGCTTAGATTTGATGACTAAACAGGCCAACATGCTAAATACAAGAAGCTGTTTGTATAGTTCTCTCGGAGGAAAACCAGGGCTGAGTCGAAATCCATCTGGGGCTGTGAAGCTGTGGTCTGGTCATCGGAGCCCGGCAGTCCCCTTGTTTTAGGGGAGTGAGTGGTGTAAAATATTAATTGCATTCTCTTTCTTACACATTGCACTGGGATATCTTCTGTTTTGCAAAAATAATGGCTGTGATTTGGCTTTTGGGGGAGTTAAATTCTTTTGTACTTAGATTTTGCCAACAAAGGCTTGAATTGCGTATGTGAGGGGCAGTATTTACCATTAAAAAACAGTGTCTTCCTCCCTCAGCTTGTGCAGCTGCTTTCAGGATAACCTCAGACACAGCTATCATTTGCCAGTAGGTCTTATCCTAAAGTTGCATCCTTGTTCAAAGGAGCGTGGCGGGTTTAAGGCCAGTAACTTGTCCAGAATCAGATACTAGCATATGCATGGATTTTATGTTTATATGCATTTTATTCACCTCTAGGTCAAGGTGCATGTTAGCCTCGGTGAGGGACAAAATAAAAAAGTGCAGCTGGGTTGTTTCCTTACGCGAATATCTGGTAGATAGACTGAAGTAGTAAAACCAGAACATGATTTTTATTCTTTGATTTTCTTGAGCAAAGGATGTTCTTAATGAGAGCCTGGGTCTATGACTTGTTCATATTTATGAATGATATGTAAAAGTACACTAAATAGGTCTAGCAGATGAGAACTGAGATTGTGAGATTCCTCTGACAGGATATATTAGGGAGTTTAATACCCTCATGCAGCACGATTTAAAGAATTAAGCTTTTTTAATCTTCAACAGAAAGTACAGTTAAGCAGTAAGTAGTCATTGATAAAAGGGTTTTTCTTCTAGAGTTTCTATAATGAAAGGAGATAATTTTTCAAAAGAAAGAGAAAAAACTGCTTATAGTGGAGTAAAAATTTAAAAAAAGTCAATATTTTGACACTCACAGATTCTTGAAACATAGGTTCTTAGATACCAAATATGCTAGTTGAGAGTGTATGTATGTATATGCCTCCTCCTTTATCATCGTTCTCACTTGTTAAGAGCTATAGGGCTATTTTTAATGCTATCTTTATGAAATCGATATGGCTTCTCAAAATCTGTGGAGTAGCAGCACATTTTGAGAGATGGGAAGCTTTTATAGCTACTAAAGAAAAAAAAAGTCTATTTCTCAGAGGTTTTTTGCTCATTAAAGTAAACCTGCACCATGCCTAAGAGACAAAGTACTGCTAGTATTGAAACCATGGAACTCCTTGAAGGATTCACTGAATTTAATCAAACTTGTGGGCAAAACAAGTCGTGACATGGATTTTGCAGTTCCACTTCCTATTTGCATCTTAAAGGGAAGTATGTAAAGATCATCTTCTTAGAGAAGAGACCTAGGATAGATCTTCGATCCAGAATGACCCAGTGGAGTTCTAGAATCAAGCTGTGCATCATGAAATGAAGTAAAAAGTTGGCAACCTGAGCTGCATGGATAAGGACAGGCTTACCCTTTGGTACTTACTCCTCTGCAGGCTGTATTCACTAGATAATGCCAACACCCTACTTTGTTTGGGGAGGCACAGACAATCTGCATTAGTCTTCTGTGTGTGTTTCACACATGAGTAAGAAAATGAAACCTTGCCCGACGGGCATAGTAGAGTCAAGAGGGCCTTGCTATCTTTCTGAAAACAACTAAGAGGTGCCTATTTTCTGCACAGCACAAAACATTTCTTAATCGTTAAATTCCAGCTTGAAGCAGAACATTAGTGAGTAACAGCAGATCAGTAACTATGATGGTAGAATGTTTAGGAAAAAGATGAATATGCTTCTACATTGTAAAATGAAACTATTTCCACTTATTCTGGCCATATGGAATATTGAAAGACTTAATGATTTTTCCTGGGGTATTCACTGGCTTTTGAGGAGTAGACCAACACAGAAATTTTAATTGTGCTTTTTTTTTTTTTTTCTGCCATATGGCCAATGGCTGAATGGAAACATGACTCCATTATTTCATTGCCAGCCTTGGGCCTCATATGGTGGACATGTAGTGAATGTGTTTGTTTGACTGACTTTGTTTAGCCTGCTTCAGAAAGCAGGCCCAACTTTTAAGTCTAAAAGCTGTATAGTCAAAGTAGAAAGCCTGTTCATAAAAGACTTCTGTGGGTAGGAGAAAACACTGTGGAGTGAAAAGAACGCAGGCTTTGGAGCCAGGCAGATCTGCCTTTGAAACCTATTACTGGTTCTTACTACTTACCTTGGTACATTAACTTAGGAACCTCAGTTTCCTCATTGTAAAGAAGGGCTAGTAATACATAATCAAAGTTGTTGTTTTGCTTTGTTTTTGCTTTTGTGTGCGGATAAGTGAGTGATTTCTACATAGAAGGTACTGAAATGTTATTTTTTTCTTCCTTGGTGGCATAAGGAAAAGTTAGCATATTCTTGGTCTTTACCACTGCCTCACAGGTTTAGGGAGACTTTTTTTATAGTGATAAAATATACATAACATAACATTTCCCATTTTAACTATTTTTTTAAGTATGCAGTTCTGTGGTAGCGAGTACATTGATGTGCTGTCATCACCACCGTCCATCCATAGAACTGTCTTTATCTTGCAAAACTGAAATTCTATACCCATTAATCAATACCTCCTCTTTCCCTCCTTCTCTCAGCTCCTGGAAACCCCCATTTTACTTCTGTCTCTATGAATGTGACCAAGTATCCCATATATGTGAAGTCATACAATATTTGTCCTTTTGTGACTGGCTTAATACACTTAGCATAATGTCTTTAAGATTCATCAATGTTGTAGCATGTGCTAGAATTTCCTTCCTGTTTAAGCTGAATAATATTCCATTGAATGTATAGACTATACTTTGTTTATTCTCTTTTGATGGACACTCGGGCCATGTTTTGGCTATTGTAAATAATACTGCTATGAACACGGGTGTACAAATATCTGTTAGAGTCCCTGCTTTTACTTCTTTTGGGAACCCAGAAGTGAAAATGATGGAACACAGTAATTATATATTTAATTTTTGAAGAATTGCCATACTGTTTTCCATAGCAGCTGCACTATTTTACATTCCCACCAGCAATGAACAAGGATTCCAACTTCTCCACATTCTCATCAATATTTATTTTGTTTTTTATTTATGTTTTTGATAATAGCCATTTTAAGAGGTATGAAGTGGTATCTCTTTATGGTTTTGATGAGCATTTTCCTAATCACTAGTGATGTTGAGCATCTTTTCTTGTGCTCATTGGCCATTTGTATATCTTCTTAGAAAAATGTCTATTCATATTCCTTGCTGATGTTTTTCCCCAGAAATACTGTGTTGAGAATATTTGCAAATTTTTAATCAAATTTTTGAAGAGACATTTGCAAATGGCAGGATCTTTTAACATAATGTGTCATTAGATAATAATCATAATCTTCGTATTTAACCTCCTTTATACAACAGTATTATCCCTGCGTAAATAAAATACTCCTCTCAAAAGTAACATTTGAAATCAAAAGGACAGAGTAAGAAAATGTGCATAGCTTCTGCTAGTTGGTGATGTCCAGAACCTGATAGTGAAATTCAAACCTTTATTGTAGACAGTCACACCAGTGATTCTGCTGGTCAAATCTCAGACCAGGCTACCACTACGGAGGCACTGGAGAGCTGTTTCTTCAGTGCTTTTCTGGTCCCCTCATTAGAGAAAAATGCTCAGTAGGTATCATGGCCAGAAAGGGAGGGGAGAAACTAAAGTACTAAATTGCTCTGAAATCCTTTATAAGGGGGAGCAGTAACTTGTGGGGAGGGGCTACAGTAGTTAAACAATACAACAAGTTTCTGAGACAACAAGTTTCTACTAATGAAGTGTGATCCTAACCAAAATTTCACTTTTAAAAATAATGAATCCTCTGTTTCCTTTTCCACGACAGATTTTACTCCTAATCCTTAAACTGGTGAGGCAGGGTATGGTGAGGCTGAGGAGAGCTGGGCAGAACAATTAGCAGGGACCCTATTGAATAGCAACAGTATCTGAGCTTTACGATGTGGGGTCAGACGTTGACCTTGAATGGTTTGAAGAGCTCCTGAATAATTAATGTTAACTTTCTGTAATGCACTTTGTCCATGTGCTGGGGGCCAGGGGTGGAGGGAAGTTTGCAAATAATGACCCCTAATTTTATTTAATGTGCACATCTATTCATTCTACAATTACTGGGAGAAGCCAGGTGCCTGTCTTTACTAGATCTGGGTGGGAGAGGAGAGTTGCAGAGCTGTGTCGAGATTTAGTCTCCACCCTCCCACCCTCACCTCCAAGATGATGACTATGTTAATTAGCCTGATTTGATCATCACAATGTATACATGTATCAAAACATCACATTGTACCCCATAAATATACACAATTTTTATTTTTCAATTAAAAATATAATAAAAAATTTATAAAGGACTTAGTCCCTGGCCTAGGACATGCTAGAATGGTAGAGCTAAAAATGATCTGGGGGGTGACCTAGCCTATATTGACCTCTTCATAAGGGATAATAAAATAGGCCTGGAATTTAGAGTTAAACAGTTCATTAATTCCTCACCTCCCAGTTACAACTCCATTTCACTTACCTCATATTAGGGCAAAGTCTTTATATGTTGTCACATTTAAAATTGTTTGTAAGACTAAAATATTTTGTTTAAAAAAAAAGAGTAGACGGTTTACATTTAGTACCCTATGTAAATATGGAGTTTCTGTGTACAAACTTGTTCAGGTGTGAAAGATGCCACTGTGGAATAGAGATTTAAATTTTCAGGTAAGAGTATTAGAGATATCTGTAAATATATGGTTCTTGAAAATTCTTATGTTAAAGACAACAAGTTGTATTTAGTGGGAGTCAGTGTTCAGACAATCTCTAGAGGACTTCATTAAACACTGAAAAAAAAAAAAGGGAGCTCAATTCTCAAACTTTAGTGATAACATGTTTCTTAGAAGTGGTACTACTGTATACAGAGGCTGGAGATAAGACAGGATCAGCCCCTTTATCTCTTGGCAAATATGTGTAAACAGTCAAGCTGTTAATGAAAAAGCTTTGAAAAACCAGTCTCTTGACCACTTCTTCCCTGTTCCCTGGCCTTCCCTTGCTCCCTGGCCAGCCCGGGTGTGGGGTCAGGCATTCCCCTGATCCTCTTCCCAGGAACCCAGCACTCAGAGGTAGAGGAGAGGGGCTGAAAACTGGGCTGACTGGTTCTACTCTAGATTCACTGCATCTCCGCAGGGCCATTGCTGTTCTTTCAAAATTCTTTCCTTCTTCCTTTTTTATTTCACTTTTCACTCTGTCCTGTGCATTTTCAATGGAAACCATTCAACCAAGTCCCTACTGCCTTTGTGCGTTAGAAGTGACCTCACTTTCTGTCTTTCTGAGAAGGCACATATTACAGACTTCCTCAACCTCATTCTTACCACCTTAGAATTTCCCCACGTCTTCCTTTATTTTAGATCATTTGAATTGCTGTCACAAATTACCAAAGATGAGGTAACCCAGAAACAACAGAAATCTTTTTTTTTTTTTACACTTCTATGGGCTGGAAAGTCCAAGATCAAGGTACTGGCAGATTTGATGTCTGGCAAAGGCCGTGGACAGCACTTTCTGTGTGTCCCCACATGACAGAAGGGGCCAGCTGGCTCTCTCCAGTCTCTCTTATAAGGGCACTAATCCCATTCATGGGACTCCATACTCATGACCCAATCACCTCCAAAGGTGGCCTCATGTCCTAATACCATTGCACTGGGGATCAGGTTCCAACATATGGGTATGTAGGGGGACAGAAAGATCTGCGTCATTCACATCATTCATTCTCCTCTTCCTCCTAAGTCAAATTAACATCATCTTTCCTTTAAGCCAAGAATAAACCCTCTACTTGGACTCTCTATCCCATTCCCTTTTACTTTCTAAGGGATTATGTTGTGACAATAATTCTGTCTTTCCTACATATTTAGTTTCTTCTCTTTCTTGGTCCTTTCCTCTTTCCCTGTAAACATGCTTAGTTTTTCCATACGCACACAAAGTAATTAAGAAGTAGATGAAACAAATCTCCTCCTACCTCTCTGCGGGCTCCAACTTCACTAACTTCAGTTCCTGCTCCCCAAATATGAGTGTTCTCAAGATACGAGTCTTTGGCCATTTAATTTCTCCCTCTCCCTAATCAAATTCTGTCCTGTGATTTTAGTCACTGTTGCTGTGTGGGTCAGTCCCAAATCTGATGAAGCATCCTAATCATTCACCTCCTCTCTCAGCTTGTACAGCAAGCTGCCTGCAAATTCACCAGAACATCCAACCCACAGAAAATGAAACTCACATGTCCAAAACTGTGCTCACCATCACCTTTCCCACTCCTCAAAACCAGCTCCTCACCTGATTTCATAATTGTTAATGACACCCCATTTATCATTACCTCAGTTATGACAATTCAACTTCACTGTCTTCCTCACCAAGCACCTCTAGTTGCAGGAAGTTGCATGGCTCCTTGCAATTGTGATTGGGAAAATATCTTGATACTGACTCTTTTCCATGTTTATAGCCGGTGTCTTAGTTGAGGCCCTCCTAACCTCCAGCTGGGCTGACTTGTTTTTTGAGTTCTTTTCTCTCCGCCTAGGATAAGTTAGTTCCTGCTTCCCCTTCCACACTTTGTCCCCACAGTCTTACTTCTCTGAATAACCAAATTCCATCTGTCCTGTAAAGCTCAGTTCAAATGCTGCCTCTTTCATGAAGCCTCCCTTGGTTTCTTCCCTTTTTTCCCCAATAAAAAAACAATGCTCCTCTGAAATCTTTTGTTCTTTCATCACAGCATCTAGCTCATTCTAGTGTGTATAACAGCAATCTGCATAATTTTTTTTTTTGACCACACTCCAAGCTCTTTGAGGACAGCGGTCACATCTGGTTTCATCTTTGTCTTCCTTATACCACACAATGCAGTTTGTTTATCATTCATTTATTTAATGAACATTCTTGAGTGACTCATTTTTTGATGCAGAGTGGGCTAGACATAGTACTTGTCCTCTAAGAGCTCACAAACTCATGGGGAAAACAGACAAATACAGAAATATAATTACAATAGAATTAATCGATGTGTTCAAAGTCCTAATGTCTGCAATGTGCCATGTGCTCGTCAAGATGCCAGGGAGACTAGGATGAACAAAACTGGTCGGTTGTTTTCTTGAAACTTACATTCGAGTATTGAGAGAGACTCAGTAAACACATAAACCAGTGGTTTTTAGGTCTAACTGCACATTAGAAATCACTGAGAGGGTAGTTTGAAAAAAATATCATGTCCCAACCTCACCTCAGAGTAATTAAATCAGAATCAACCAGGATTGGAACCATTGACAGAAATGACTTACAATAAAAGAAAATGTCAAGTAGTAGTGAGTGCTTTGATGGATTGAAGTAGAAACAGGGTGAATGGTGGGACTGTGCCTATGCTGGCAGGGGTAATTGGGAGATTACTTTGTTGAGTAATCCCTGAAGGCCTCTCTGAAGAGGTGACATTTGAGTTGAGACCAAAATGATGCTGAGGATTCAGCCATGTAAAGATATTGGGGCGAAGGGGGCTTGTGGAGAAGGTTTTGAGCAGAAGGTGCAGGTGCCTTTCTGAAATAAGAATGAGGTGAGATTTCAGAGGAAATGTGTCCTTCTTCACATACATGTTCTGTAATCTACAAACTATGTCTTTTTCCCTACAGAAAGCAGCTTTTCGATAAACTTTGTAGACTCCAAATGCAGAACACTTGGCTGCTGTGTTGATTACTTGATCTGGGTTGGATTTTATTTAGTTCAAATTGATTTACACAGTCAGGAAGACTACTCTGTTTGATTACATTTTTTTCTCTACACTGCAATCAGCACTACACTACTTGTCTGAATTAAATACCATTCTTATTGTTTAAAATAACCTTAGGTACTTGATATTATCTTTATTTGAATAAAGAGGAGAAAGCAATGACTTCTGCCCTTATTCCTGTTTTGGGGAACCAGGGAAAGCCTCCTAGAGGAGTCATTCAGACCACACAGAGTAAAGAAAGCACTAACTAATTTGAATAAGTGAAGACTAACATATGTCAAGAATTAAGTTGAGAATGAACATTTGTTAGGCATTCAGTTTGTGCTGGATACTTTAGCTAGTTTTAAAAATAACCCTACGAAATAAGGACAATATTTTTCTATCAGGATATTTCTGGCTGCTGATAAAGGAATGTCCTACTAAAATGGCGTAAGCAATAGGAAATTGATCGCAAGACCTCTGATAGGAGGGTAGCTTCAGAGTTACTTATGTGGTAGCTGGATAATGTCCTTAGCAACCTGGATTCTTCCCTTCCTCCCACTGTGACACCTTCAGCAGGTTGATTTCCCCTCACTGTGTGGACATGGCGTCTACAATTTTGGAATTATAGGCATATTTCAATACGTAGAGGCATATCAAGGTGCAGCAGATTTCTTATGTGGCTCTTTCTGGTTTGTTGAAACAGGGCCTCGGTCTGTCACCCAGGCTGGGGTGCAGTGGCATGATCATGACTCATTGCAGCCTCAGCCTGCAGGTGGGAGGCTGATCCTTTCACCTCAGCCTCCTGAGTAGCTGGGACCACAAGTGTGTGCCACCATGCCCAGCTAATTTTTGTATTTGAGTAAAGATGGGGTTTCACCGTGTTACCCAGACTGGTCTTGAACTCCTGAGCACAATAGATCCACCCACCTCGGCCTCCCAAAGTGCTGGGATTACAGGCCTGAGCTACCTTGCCCTGCCGCGGCTCTTTTTAAAGTCACAGAAAATCTGTGTCCAGTGGAATTTCCACTCACAACTCACATGCTATATGTATGAGTAAGTAGGCAGACAGAACCACTGTGATTGGCTAATTTAAGAGTTTCCTCCCGAGGCCATGGAGCAGCCCAGGCTCGCTGAAGAACAAAGTCATCAGACCCCAGCAAAAGGGTCTGGTTCTATTAGCAAGGAAGAGGGGGTTAGTGGGTAGGCAGTCAATAGAGTTGGCCACTATTATTATTCCCATTTTATAAGTGAAGATATCCAGACTAAAAAGGTTAAATAACTGAGCAATATCATACAACATTGAATTGAACAAAGTTTCCATGCATTTCCCTTTGAGAAAAACACGAACAAAAGCCTTGTTTTTGGCTATATAACAAACCTGCACGTGTACCCCTGAACCTAAAAGAAAATATTAAGAAAAAAAAAACAACTTGTTTTTGTTGTTAGCAATGATCTAGGTAGGCCAGAGGAAGAATCCTGGCGAAAAACACAGACTGGAGAAAGCTAGGCAAAGTAAAGAATAACCTTCTAAACAAAATATTCCAGAAGGAAATACATCAGGTCCTATAAAGCAATAAGAATGGCATTTAATTTAGACAACCAGCCCTGCATTTCTGCATTGTAAAATATATATATAATTAAATTGCATTTTCCTGACTGGTCATTTAAATCAATTTGGTCTATATAAAAATCTACCCTGGGCCAAGTAATGAGCTAGAGACGCCAAGCATTCTGTGTATAGTATCTGTCAGACTTAAATGAAAACCTTGTTTTCTCTAGAGAGGTAGGTATTTTGTTGATTACAGTACCTGTAAAGAAGAATGGATCATCTCTGGAATTTCTGATTATGAGTTATTTAGAAAATAGTTTCCACTTTCCAGCTCCGGAGGCAGCATATACAGTTCCATTACTGTCGCATTCTCTTTATGGTTGCTGCTTCCTACTTTGGCATTATATTTCAGAGGCTATGCACATGAGGCAGCAATAGTGAAAAAGGGAAATTTCAGTGGAATTGCTGTTATTACAGTGTTTTGACTACTTGTCTCTAAGGTGTATTTCTGTGCATGTTCATCATAACAGACTAAGCATTAATGGTAGGAGTACTTTTTAAAATAAATGATGGAGTGCTTCCTACTCTTAGATTTGCATTTTTAAACAGGAAAGTAAGTTAATTCTAGACTTTGCCAACAGAGCTCTGTTTAAGGAGAGTATTTATCTGATCTATGTTAGAACCATATAAGAAAAATTGTGAAAAAATTTAAACCGAAACCCTCACTTTCATTTTAAAGGCTTTATTTGGGAGAATTAAATTGGTCCTTTGCCGTTTTTTTAAACCTCATGAATGACGGTTGTGTTTAGGGAACATTGCTGTGTATAGGCATTAAGGCATTTCATTGACATTTTTATTTTTTCTTTGGAAAAAAGTTGATATTAAACAGTTCTATGTCTTTTAAAATTAAAATAAGAAAAATTTAAGTAGAGGTGAAAATTCCTAGGCAAAAAAAAAAAGGTCCAACTAGTCTTTTCTTATTCATCTTAAAATAATCATAAAATACTGAAGTGTAGAAAAGTAACATTCAAAGATAACATGTAGGAGAGTGTAGCAGTTAAAGGACATTGGTTTAGAGTCAGAATTACTTGGGCAAATTGCTTAAGCTTTCTATGCCTCAGTTTCTTCATCTATAATGGGAAATAAGATAATATCTACTTCACAAAACTGACAGGAGAAAAATACATAATAAATGTGAAATGTTTATTTAGCAAGGTGCCTGAATTGTAGTGTAATTATTCAAAATAAATATATTATTAGTATAACTTATTGTTATCACAAATCTGCAGTAGAGTATCTTTTATTCTATCCAAGGGATTTGCACCAAATTCTGCAGAAGTGATTGTTATGGCCCAACATTAATCATAGGTGCTCAGACCTTGGAATAAGGCATCCCCTAAGGAAGCCTATTATTGTCGGATGTCGTTTTGACTTCATGAAGTAATAGTCTGGGTTTGTGCTGTTTGTTCAGGAATCCATGTGCTTAGCCATCAATATCTCCAGTTTTCCTTTCCAGCTCAGGATAGGCTTCCACTTCCCAGTCTGCTTTGGTTAGGTGTGGCCACATGCCTTGCCTTGGCCAGTGAAGTGAACAGAAGTGAGGTGCATCACTTCCTGGAAGAAGCCATAAGAACCGGCAGGTGAGTGCAGTGGTTGAAGGATAGAAGTGTTCTCTGCACTCTTAAGCCTGGGTCATACTGTCAAGACAACACAAAGAGCATCTCTGCTAAACCGCAGTGGACATGGAGAGAAAGTGAGAGATAAGCTTTGCTCAAATAAGCCAGAGAGTTTTTGAGTTGTTGCCACAGTATAACCTAGCCTATATGGATTGAAACTCTCTGGTTTTCCCTTCAAACTCTAGAGAAAAAATATATTCTTGGTTACAGTGCAGTAGCTATTTGGATACAATAATTTTAAATGACTATTTTGTGTGTGTGTGTGTGTGTGTGTGTAATGTATTATATGTTAGCATCGAGGGATTTAAGCGAAATAGATTTATATAAATTCCACTTACATTTCTTTTAAAATAGGGTTTATTTCCACTTCACACAGAAGAAATCAACATATCAAAATTACTAGCATATATATGTTTTATTTTTTGTTGTTGTTTGAGGGAGTCCACTGTGATGCCGATGTTAGGACTCTGAACTGCAGGCCTGGTATAATCATTAGGTAATGTTCCCTCTCACTGACAGCCTTACCCAGAATGGTGCCTTGTGAAGCAAAGGAGCTTCCTAAGAGAAGATAACGCGCTGAGCCATGCCCATGGCCTTTGCCTCCCATGAGAAAATAGTCTTCCCTAAGCCCTATTGTGATGTTCCAGTTATAAACAATGGTGCTTAGTACATAGAAGGTCTAAAATGATATTTATTGAATAGATGAGTGGAAGCAGTGCACTGTTCTCCAAATGTCTGGACTCTTTCATGTTTGCATTTTAAAAATAGATGCTGTTGTTTTGTAGATTTGTTTAAAAACATCTTGGTATTAAGACTGACATCTATTCTTTTATAACACTTTACATGTGGTCATGTACCCACAGATTTAGGCTGTTTTATTTTATAGTTTTCACTACAGTTTATTTCACCTGATTATTTCATTTGGGTCTCTAAAATCACATTATGAAATACCTTAATTATTTAAATTAGGAACAGATTAATTATCTCCAGTGTACAAACTCAAATTAATTTCATTATAAACCTGAAGTTTAAATTGATTAATCTTGGAGTGTTTAAGGAATAAAATGGGTTTTTCTTCATCCTTAAGGAGAAAGGCATATTTGATTTGATGAGTCTCTCTTCATCACACCAGTTATGATACTAGGCACAAGATATTTGCAAGAAAACTTCAGATGGATTTTATAAACCAGCCAGAAACCTGTGTGTCTGGGGCTTCTGGGGGAACAATCTGTGAGTCATTTTAAAAAACAAACACACTCATAATCACGGTGCATGTTGTTACCATGGTAATTAGGCCTGTTGAGTTGGCTTGCTTATGTTCCTGCAAAAGCAAGAGGGGGAGAGAAACTGAGAATTCAGAGCTTTGACTATTAGCTTCAATTTGCCTACTGCAGGAGAGAGTGAAGGGGTTTCTCAAGAATGCACTGGCACAGTCATTCTGAGAGGGAAGTGAAGAAACCCTGGCATCCTGCCTTTGTTATTGAATATAGGTTAGCCATATTAGTGTTGGATATTGTGGTTCACAAGGGAGAAAAGGATCATTTGGCATTCTCTTGGGAAAAAGGGGAAAAATAGTTTCTTTCTCTGATATATGACTTCATGTAAGTCTCTAAGGTCAACCTTGTGGAGTGTCTTGTGTGCCTATGCACAAGGTTTTAATGATCCTCTAAAAGGCACCAAATGCTGCTGATGAACATTATTGCAGGTTTAAATGATCTCAGCATATTATTCTAATCTGGTTAGAGGCTAGTTTTAATGAGGCCATTGTTTCAGATCTGATTCCCAAGTAAGCAAGATATCTTTTCTCTGTTTTATGGACTAGGTACGACTCCTTTATCTTGGACAGTCATCTTGTAATGCAGGCCTGTGGGATACAAAGGAGACCAGGGAGGTTATGTGAGCTCTGCCAAATCTATTACTACTCCAGGGGAAAATAAAACCAAATTCTTGGGCTAGTGGAATTACTGTAGGAGAAATCCAGTATGATTCCATGTGAAGAACCAATAGCACCCTTAAATTAAAGGTATGAGTGTACACACAAATCTGTTTTTAAGACTGTTTCTAAATTCACTTTAAGAAGCCTGGGGCCAGGCACAGTGGCTCACGCCTGTAATCCCAGCACTTTGGAAGGCTGAGGTGGGGCGGATCACGAGGTCAGGAGATCAAGACCATCCTGGCTAACGGTGAAACCCCTTCTCTACTAAAAATACAAAAAATTAGCCGGGCGTGGTGGTGGGCGCCTGTACTCCCAGCTACTTGGGAAGCTGAGGCAGGAGAATGGCGTGAACCCGTGAGGAGGAGGTTGCAGTTAGCCAAGATTGTGCCACTGCACTCCAGCCTGGGTGACAGAGCGAGACTCTGTCTCAAAAAAAAAAAAAAAAAACAGTCTGGCTGGGTGTATTTGGCTTACGCCTGTAATCTCAGCACTTTAGGAGGTTGAGGCAGAAGGATTGCTTGACCCCTGAGTTTGAGACCAGCTTGGGCAACGTAGAGACACCCTGTCTCTACAGAAAATAAAAAAAATTAGCTGGGCGTTGTGGTGCACACCTGTGGTCCCAGCTACTACTTGGGAGGCTGATGCAGGAGGATTGCTTGAGCCCAGGAAATTGAGGCTGCAGTGAGCCACGTTCACACCACTGCATTCTAGCGTGGGTGACAGAGCAAGACTCTGTCTCAAAAAAAAAAAAGTCGGGTATCCTCTGAAATGAATAATTATAATGCATTGACTAAAGTTTTACTGCTTAGAATATGCCTCAATCAGATTTTAAAGCAGAACTTTTTAAACTATAGATTTCGTTTTTCCTCTCATATGTGGAAAGAAGATACATGTTTCCCAAACTTTATTCTATATTTAATTTTCTTAACATTAGTAAACAAAACTTAACTTAGTTTTTTTCTGATCATCAAAGTAATTCATACTGATTATTGAAAAATGTGGAAATTATTGAAAATTTGAAAGAAAAAATAAAAATGGCTCCATCTGTTAATTAAATTGTTAGTTGAACTGCATGTAACAGTGGCCTGATTTCACAGTGGCTAACATAAGTTAGAAGTTACTTCTTTTTAATGTAACAATCCGGACGTGGATGGCCCAGGACTGGTAAGGTAGCTGTGCTCCACAAGATCATGCAGGGAGCCAGGCTCCTTCTATCCTGTTTTTCTATCATTCCTATGAGGTTTCTCTTGCTTTCATTGTCTAAGGTGGCTTGTCACAAAGGCTCTGCTATAACCGGCAGGATGGAAGAAGTTGGAAGGGGAGGCCCTGACCCAGAAGTTACACATACCACTTTTGATGCTGTACCATTGAATTTTGTCACATGACTGCATACCTAGCAGCAAGGGAGGTTGGGGAAAGTAGCTATTATTGATATGTAGGTGCTTAGCTTAGAATTCTATTAAAACCATGGAAGAAGACGAGAGCAGATGTTGGGGTATATCTAGCAATTTCTGCCACTTTTGTTATTCTGTTGAACAGAGGAAATATATTGTTTAGATTTTGATGTATTTTCTTCCAGTCTTTATGTATCAGAAAGATACTATGTATAATTATACTAGAAAATGTGTTATATAATACAACTTATATTATGTATATAATACATGTTAGTGCATATATATTAGAAAAATATATTAAGACATAGAAAATATATATTAGAAAAAACATATGTAAATATGTATATTAGAAAATTGTTGAGTTCACACTATATATAATATTTTATATTTTTTACTTTAAAATTTAAATGACAATGCATTTTACATTCTTTTTACTTTATAATAAAATAACCTTATTTTAAGTTACTTTTTAAAGTAACAATATTTATTAATTTTAAAATAAAGTTAAGTAAAAAGAGAATATAAAATGCATTTTTTCATCATTTAAACATTTTTTTCTTTTTTCCGAGACAGACTCTCACTCTGTCACCCAGGCTAGAGTACAGTAGCATGATTATGGCTCACTATAGCCTCACTCTCCTGGGCTCAAGCTATCCTCCCACCTCAGCCTTCCAAGTAGATGGGACCACAGGTGTGCATCACCATGCCTGGCTAACTTTTGACTTTTATTGTAGAGAATATGTCTCGCTCTGTTGCCCAGGCTGGTCTCAAACTCCTGGACACAAGTGTTCCTCCCTCCTTGGCTTCCCAAAGTGCTGGGATTACAGACATGAGCCACTGCACCTGGCCCGTTTAAATTTCTTGTATTCATTGTTTTAAAATTTTATCATGTGGAGTTTCTGTTTTACTTAATAGGTTGAATTATTGATATTTAGGCTATTTCTTAACACCTTGATAATTCTTCTTTGTCCACATTGTGGGTTTGTTTTGGTTAAAGTCATGGAGTGGCATCACTAAAACAATGACTGAGAACATATTTGGGTCCCTTGATAAACAGGACCAGACGGCTTTCCAGAGTAGTTGTGCCAGCTTCCACTATCACCAATAACAAATGAGTGCCGGGCCCAGAACCCCCTTGAACAGGCTTATTTTGCCTGTCCCACCTAGTCTTTGTTACCCAAGGGTTCATTCTCCGAAAATAAGTTGTTTTTAGCCCTTGGCTTTTTTTTTTCTTTTTGCTGTCATTAATCATGAGATAATGGTTTTCTAATAACTTTAGCCCATTTAAAAACATATGGCCCCTATGGTAGTCTGGGAATATAATTGGTTGGGTTGAGATTGTAGCACACAGGCCAGTCTCAAGTAATGTGAGGCCTCTGGAGACACTGATGTTCGTTTGGCCCTAGAACCCCTTGCGAATTTGAGTTCCACCCTCATTCATACTATTCTAGATGTGAGATATCTCTTTGTTCTCAGACACTGCAAAATAGGAATGGGAAAGTGTTCCTTGAGGCTTTAGCAATTCCCTTTGAGCTGAGTGCTCTAAAGCTTTTCAGGAATAAAGAAGCTCATCTACACAGGAACTTTCTCCCGTAGGAACCACACTCGGCACTGGACAAACGTAGGCCACTCTGCCTGATAGCCACAGAGGTCATTAGTGGCTAAGGGCATAGGTGTCTTCTACTTCTAAACAGCCTATAGAAGCTGTGGGTGCCAAAGATACTCTTATAACCACCAACGTGTCCTCCACCCTCCTAAAGGGCCAGATACACACAAACTGTATGCACTCAAACTCTGTCCCTAATACCTGGAGCAAGAGTGTGTTGGTCTCTGCTGCTTTGGTCATGCTCGGAGCAAATTAGATTAGGTCAGGAGGAAAGATTGTTCTTATTCATTCCATCGGTATACAGCCTCTCCCACCAAGGACTCTGCTTCCTCTAGGTTCCTAAGTGGCCTTTGTGTTTTCATGTTTTCTTGCATGCTAGGAGATTTCACAAAGAAAGGGACTCCAATTTCACAAATCTATTTCTTAAAAGAAAGAGAGTTAATAAAAGTTCATTTCTAGGCTCTGAAATGTAAACCTGTGAGACCTCCTGCCCTTATAACTATATTGCCATTACCACCCACCCCCGTTTCAGAAACTTCATTCATTCTACTTATCCAGCTCTTGTGTATCATGTTATTTTTCCTTTTAAAAAATTCGTTTTTCTCTCTGCTTTCTCAACAGCCAGATCTGCCAGTGAGCCTCAGGCTTTAGGAACTGAAGAGGTAAGAATTCCAAAATATTTTCTTCTAGAATCTTGAATTTAACCAGAACTTAAAGAGGAAAAAAAATGTTAAGTGGTCTATAGATGAAAGCATGTGATGTTTTATTGAAAGAAACAGTCATAGAGTCCTTATCAATATTGACATGACTTCAGAATTTAAAGAAAAAATGGCTGTCTTTAATGATAGTTAAAATTGATTTTCATCCAGAATTTTTTCATTTTCTTCTAAAAACCTGAGTTGGAGAGCCTTTGAGGCTGCTGTCTTAACAGAATGTATCCTCACGGCACAAACATGATTAATAGGTGGCAGACATTGAGGGCATACCCTGTGCAAGATAAAGCCTCAGATGAGGCTGATTAGGTCAGGGAAAGGTAAACCCTGTTCTTAACAGATGGTTGTAAACATTGTAAGGGCTTTTCCAGCAGCAGCAGCAGCAACAACAACAACAAGAGGTCAATCTAATGCTATTGGGGTTTCATCTTGAAGAAGCTTACTTAGCTTTTGGAACTAGCTATAGCATTTGAATCTTGTTCTAGACTTGAAAGATAACCATAATCCTAGACAGGTGATAACGTGTTTGCCCACTCCAAGATACACAGTTTTCTCTAGTCAATGACTTAGATTCCCCTCCCCCACCATTTTAAAATGTAACTTCATTATGAAAAATGCCAAGTGTGTACCAAAGTAGAGAGAATAATATAATGAACGCCTACATCCCCATCACCCAATTTCAATGGTTGTCAACTCGTGGCTGGGATTGTTTCATTTCTACCTCTACCTACTTCTCTTCTTTCCCCATTGGATTATGGGTGCTTGCTGAATTGTTGGGCTTTTAATTGTTTATTTACATAACTGTTTAGGGGATACAGCAAATGCTAAAAAAAAATAAAACCTACTCATAACCTGACTTGCTTTACTGGAGCTAGTCATCCATCCATTTACGCATTCAGCAGGTATTTATTTCATGTTTACTAGGTATCAGTCCTTCCTTAGGATAAGAGGATCGATTTTCCTCAACTCATATTTATAAGGTCTGCAAATTTGGACTTTGGATATCTCCAAATGAGGTGATCTGTCAGAGATGTACTGACCTATACATGTATAGCTTTTGCTGCCCTATAGTCAAGTTCTTTTGAATTTAAGTACCTAATGTCTTTCAGGTGAGGGCTGAGACATCCCATATTCTATCAAATGTTACTAATAATGACTCTTTTATAAGCATCTGATGTTCTTTGAGTTGATTTCTGTCATGCTAATAAGTATGCTTAAATTTTTCAAATCAATCCAAGCAGAGTTTGTCAATGGGGTTTGCTGGCACGTCCAATGGGACAATTCTTCATTATCATCTTTGGTATCCCTGTCCTTGGTTCACAAAAGGCTGTGGCATCTTCCAGTCATTGTGACATCCAGAGCACTCTAGGGAGACGTTGTGAACATTGTGAACTACCGTGTCTTTGCACACAAATTTAAAGAGGTTATTTGGCATATTCCACTCATCTAAAAGCATTTTTCCTTCATACAAAATCAGTGGTTTCAGTTATGCTCAGTAGTTCCTTATGTAAGTAGTCTCTGTGCTAACAAACGCAAGAAGCTAAACAAAGTAGACAAGTAAAAGGAAGTATTGTTCTGTACTGTCAGGGGGATTTTGAGTATATTTGGTCTAGGGCTAAATTTAGTTTTCAAAGTATATACATGGAAAAAAATTAAACATGAGGTAATGGTCAAATATTGAGGTTAGAAGCAAAATACCAGCAAGGCATTATTGAACAGCAACTGTGATTAAAGGTGTATTAGTTTTCTATGGCTGCTGTAACAAATTATTACAAACCTAGTGGCTTAGAACAACACAAATGTATTATCTTACCATTCTATAGGTTAGGTTCTATAGGGATTTCACTGGGCTAAAAGCAAAATATCAACAAGACTGTGTTCCTTTCTGAAGGCTCTCTGGGTTGGATTTATTTCCTTGCCTTTTACAGCTTCTAGAGCTTCCTCCATCTTCAAAGCCAGTAGCATTGCCTCTCCATGCGTCTTTCTACCATAGTCCCATCTTCTTAATTTTTAGCCAGGAAAGGTTCTCTGATTTTTTAAGTATCTGTGTGATAAGATTGAACATACCTGGATAAGCCAGGCTAATCTCCTCATCACCAGGGCCTCCATTTAATCACATCTTTGAAGTCTCTTTATCTGTAAGGTTATGTATTTACAGGTTCCTGGGATTAGGACTGAACATATTTGGGGCCTATTATTCTGCCTACTACAAAGTCAAAGAGACTAATCCTTCAGAAAGGTAGAAATGCTTCAGGTAGCAGACCATCTAATGTCTAATTATATAGGATTAAAACATTAAGGTTTCCAACTTTGATGAAGCCAATTCTCATCTTGACTCTACAGTTCTCATTTTGTAGGTCCAGGTACTGAAGACTTTTGGTTTTCTTGAAGTGTCTGGCATTGGATCAAGGGGACTGGTTGAAGTCCAATGGCTCCTTTCTTGCCCAGACTTTTGGGTACTATAGGTATGGCCCCTAGAGAGTATGCTGCTTTTGTCATTTCTCCAACTCTGGAGGGTTTGCCTACAGTGTACAGATTACAAGGTCTTGAACAGAACCAAAGAAATGTGAGGTTTTTATTTTATGCTGTTATGTCTGGCTGTTATTTTATGTATTATTTATTAGGCTTTAAAATGTGGAAATTGGAGGAAAAAATAACATAATAATACAGAACCTCACTAGAGTGGTATTTATTATAGCCAATTTCTAGGTATGGTATAATTTCCTCCATACATTAAGTTATCCCCACAAAGTAAGAAACCATTTCTTGCCGGGTGTATGAAATAGATCACTGGGTTATTTTTTAAAAATCATCTTTTGAGTAGAATATGGCTGGAAATTTATGGTGAAGATTTAAAAATTTTCAGCTTTTTTTTGTTGTAGCAAGTCCTCTTAAAATCCACTTTTAGACACTTCAGCAATACAGACCTGAAGTCCAAACCTAGAGCTAGCAGCAGGGCAACAAACTGCCCTTATTTGCCAAGACAGGGCTTTCCTGGGACATAAGACTATCGGTGCTAAAACTGGGAGAATCCGGGGCAAATCAGGACAGTTGGTCACTCCAGATGTCTAACAAAATGACTCTTAATAGAAAGTAGCTGTCACATTGATGCATTGTTAAAATATAAATTTTGAGTGAACCAAATAATGACCATATCCCATAATATTTGGGTTGAAAATGGGGGTTAATCCAACTCTTGGAAAATCTGTAGCCATATATGCATGTTTGTTCAGACCAGCTTAAAAAGACAAAAAAAAAGAAAAAAAAAAAAAAAAAAAAACCCTGAGATTCAGAACTGAGAAGCAGCAGCCACGTTTATAGTCACAAGCCCTAGCTGCCCTTTCAGTTCTCCTGTGTTACCAGCAGGCTCCTGCACTTTGCCTCTGATGATGGAAGCTTTAATAACTTTGTTACTGAGGTGACCACAGGACCTCGCTGAATCTTTTTCAGCAGTCAGCCTGCATGGAAGTTATAAAATCCAAGTTTGCCAATGCAGCACAGAGCTCTCTTAGCTTTAATCTTGCCTTTCATAGAGCAAAATCGAACTTTTCCCCCCTAAGAGACAGCACAGACTGTTCAAGAAGAGGTAAATATTAGGAAGACTATCTGGAATGCCCAGTGGGAGGGGATTGGAGTGGATCATGTCTTGGAGTCTCATTTGGTTCTAAGAACATGGCGCTTCCTGACTCCCAGCGGTGGAGCATGAGCCACTTACCCCCATGTAAAGTTGCTACATCTGGGTAAAGACGCTTGCTGGGCCTTTCCCCACTACTTCTGCAGTACTCTGCCAGCATCATCCGTAGCAAAACCACACTGAGAAATCAGGGAAGCTGAAGGTCCTGGGGCCTCATCCCTTACATTTCTGTGGCTTTTATTTTGAGAATTTTATTCTCTAAATCATTAGGACTAAGCAAAGAGAGCTGTAATTGTACTTGAAAGAACAATAAATTAGCTTCCCTAGAATAGGCATTTGACTTTTAGGAGCTGGAAGACTTTTTTTTTTTTTTTTTTTTTTTAACGTATTTAATAGTTTCCTGTCTTCCAAAATTTCCTACTTGGTAGATCCAAAGCATTCTATTTCAATTCTTTTTTTTTTCTTTCCAAAAAAGATTCAGCACTATCAGTCATTGAAGTAGAATCTGGCTTTCTGACAAGGATGGGGCCTGGACAGAATTGTGAATTATTTTGATTTTTTCCTCAATCTCTTTTTGGGTTTCTTCCTTCCAGGACTTTCAATCCTGGTTTCATTTTGCTAAGACTCGCCTCATTTCAGCTTCAAATCTTTACCAATTTTTGTGAATCAACAAGTTGCAGAAGAAATGAAAACACATCAAGTTCTTATGCTGTAATTTAAACTTAGGTTCTTTTATTCTTTTTCAAAGAGAAATTAGAGAGTAAATGTAAATAAGGATCAAAATAACTACTTATCTGGGTACAGGGTTTCCTTCCGGGGTGATGGAATATCTTGGAACTAGTTAGCAGTGATAGCTGCACAACACCGTGAATGTACTAAATACCATTGAATTGTACACTTTACAATGGCTGATGGTTAATTTTATATGTGAATTTTACCTCAATTTAAAACAAAATGCCGATTGAACTTCAAGAGGAAAAAAGAAAAGGACTGTTTCCTCCTACCTTCAAATTCTGGAAAAAGTGTGAATCCGTTTTAATACACTCATGTTAAATTTCTACACCAAAATTGTTATAAAATTGTTCTATTCTGTTCCATTACTGGGAACAGATATTTGGATGTCATAGTGTCTGCAAGGTAGAATTAATTAGGAAACCCTTGAAGGGTAAAAGGGGAACATCTCTGAGAGTTAAGATACTAGTTGTTTATTCTTAAGATGTGTAGTTTTTGTTACTACGTTGTAGACTGGCCTGTACTTTGCAGAGCTGGTCACAGTAAAAATTTGTTTTTAAGTTTAAAAATTTAAAATACTGGACTTTCTTCCACCTATCGTGGGACAGAATTTGCATCAGCTAGGTTGGAAAGTTTTTTAATAGCCTATAGTAGCAGACTGCAATTGGTAGTGATAAAATGGAGAGTCCATTTGGGAGGCCGAGGCAGGCGGATCACGAGGTCAGGAGATCGGGACCATCCTGGCTAACACGGTGAAACCCAGTCTTTACTAAAAATACAAAAAAATTAGCTGGACATGGTGGCACATGCCTGTAGTCCCAGCTACTTGGGAGGCTGAGGCAGGAGAATGGCTTGAACCCAGGAGGCGGAGCTTGCAGTGAGCAGAGATCGTGCCACTGCACTCCAGCCTGGGTGACAGAGCGAGACTCCATCTCAAAAAAAAAAAAAGAAAAAAAAAAAGAAAAAAAAGAACAGTCCAGAAGTAATAACTTTAATGAAATGAGAGCAAGGTAACAAATTTCATATATATAAATACTTTTTATTAACAGTCTCCTTAAGACATCCCCAAGCACCATTACCTGACGGGGATTTGTTTCAAGGCATGACTGCATAGGGGTTTGCAGGTAATCCTTGGCTTAACTATGAAACTTTAGGACTTTAAATTTCTTCTAGGTTTAGAGACAACCATTTTAACCTTTCTGCAGAGATGTAACTAGGCAACCAGTATAGCACTTAACCAGTGCATAGCATTCAAACTTCCTAGCCATTTACATCATTTTTAAAAAATACTATTTAAATATCTCTGTTAGCTTTGGCATATGCTGCCATGTAACCTTTAATTTCTTAGAAAATATCATGCAAACCCGCAGCTGTAAAATGGTATGCTTCCTAGAAGCCCAGCATCCTCCAATGTTAATAAGGAAGTCAGCTTATAAGAAGAGCAGTAACAGCGTTGAGAGGTAGCCACATGTACTGTGTTTAAAATTGAGAATTTAAAAAGGAGGTTTCATGTTTGGTGTGTGAATTTATGAGTTTAAAATCATATCCTTGGCAGATGGTAATGAGCATTTCTTACAATATGATTCATGGAAAAATATACATTCGTAGAGATGAAAACTAGATTTTATTTTAGCTGATTAGGTGGTAACTAGGGATATCTAGTTTGATCAATAAGCACAAACTTATTGAAAGCTTTTTATGTACCAGACACTATATCAGTTATATACTATAACTGCTATATACTGTATACTATAACTAGCATACACTATATACTGTGTACTATAACTGGTATATGATCCTTTTTTGTGACAATTATGATTTTAGTTAGGTTTTTTTAATCATGAAAGAAATTCATGCAGAAAAAAACAATATATGTGAAATATTTAAAAATTCAAGTAGTAGGGACAGGCATAAATGAAAAATAAAAGCGTTTTTTTCCCACCAACTTGTAGCCTCAGTGCCTAGAGGTAACCACTGTGGAGAGTTTCTTGTGTCTCTTCCAGAGATTTTTTCATCTCCTGGTTAATCTGTATCAAAAAGGTGAATATAAGTGCCATTGAACCATCTGTTCATAAGCTTTTCTTCTGAGCTAAGTTTTACATTTTGAGACACTATTATGCTTATTTTTAAAATGTGCCTTTTAAAACTGAAAGAAAAAAAATGTCAGAACCAAAGTGATGCTAGCAGAGAGGGCTGGTGGTAGTGAGAACTACAGCTGAAGGATGTTAATGTGTAGTTTTAGCCTCTGTTAACATTTATATGCGGAACTTAAGTAATAAACCTTAATGTAGTTCTTTTATGATTTTCAAAGTCATCTGGGGTATATTATCTCCCTTTATCCTTTAGATGACCCTGCAACGCAGGAACTGTTTATTTTACAAAGGAGGAAGCTGTGGTTCCCAGAGGTTAAGTAATGTGCTTAGGGTCACACAGCTGAAAAGTGACAGAATCAAGTCTTTTCCAATTAGTCTTGAGCCAGACCACATGGTAACTGTGAGGAAGAGAGAGGCACAGTTACACCTCTGTGGCTCCTGCAGTAAAGGCTATGAAGTGAAGGAGACGGGTGCAGACCGAAGATCTGGGCAGTTGTTTTGATTCTGCCCCTTGGACAAGTTATTTAAGGCAGTAGAAACAAGTTAAGGTGGCTGCCTCTGTCCTCCTAGTCTCCTCAGTGGCTATTCTGTTCCGATTTTCTTAGGTTGTTTAGGTAATACTGACCACAGGGGAGGAGACTTGACCCATGCTGAGGAAGCCTCAGTATTTCATCACCAGACCACGATAGTTGGTTCAGAGGGTGGGCCTGCCATCAGCAGGGGCCAGTAGGTTCTTCCTCTGGAATTTTCCAACTCGAGTTGAGAGGAGAGGTCTCATCCTTTCTGGTCCCAAGGCAGTAAGAATCATGGAAAGCTGTGTTTCAGTCTGTGGACAGAATCAGGTCCAATGCACAGAGGGGAGGCGGAGAGAGTCAGAGAGAGAAGGGAAAGAAGGAGAGAGCCCAGTCATAATTGGAGTCCATGAATCCAGTCCATGTGAGCCAATACATTCCCATGTTTTGCCCAAGCTAATTCAAGTTGTGACTAAAAGAGTTTTGACTTATACCTCCAGGCCTTAGTTTCCCCATCTGTAAAATGGAGGTTATAATATTCACCCTGACTATATCTGAACTATGTAAATATCAATTGAGATAATGAATAGGAATATACTGTATAAATTGTAAAATATGACACAAATGTAGGATGGTATTCACTGATATGTCACACTGAGTTAGGAAAAGTTGAAAGAGTGAAATTACCACTTATTTGGAAAATAAGTGAGTGCTTTCTAAGAGCCATCTGATGTTATACAGAATTAAATGAAAGCTGCCAGGGTCCTCCAGATTTTCTTTTGAGACCTTCTTTCAAATACTCTTTTAAGTTCTAATCAATACCCATAATGAATACAAGGATAGAGCTTTTACCTTGCTGGCCTAGATTTATTCAGTGGGTTTCTGTTTTCTATCCCCTGCCGTATTCTATAACACACACACACACACACACCCCCGCCCCCAAACAAAAAAACAAAATGTCATTATTAATATTTCAACATTTTAGCCTTTTTACTTAAAAGACCTTTACAGATTCATGTTAAATATTAATAACATTTTGGCTTCATTAAAGAAAAATCATCAAGGAAAATAAATCTTAAAGCAGCTATTTTAGATACACTTCATGGGAATGATATAGTTGAGGTGATTCTGGAGATAGGAAGTATTTGTTTTGGGCTCAGATAGGATCAAGATCCATCTTTTCCTTAATGGACTTATGTCTTTGCTATAAGCTCTAAGTAATCAAAATCTACTTGGGATTATAATTTATTCATGACAGAAAAAGCATCACTTCACTTTTATAGCATTTTTCACTATATATGATAATACCTCTCAATGAGGAAAAACAGATGGTACCTCTCTGAAAGCTTAGATTTGCCATTTAGGCAGTTTTTATTGTAGCAAGCATCTCTTTCTTTATATTTTATAATTACAACCAAAAAATGGCTTAAAGCTTCAATCGAAGTGGAATACCATATGCAAAAAAGGTTGATGTCACCATGGAAATATAATTTATAAGCATGAAGAAGCATGACATATCAACCTGAAAATGTTTTGCTTTCCTCACATTTTAAAATCTGTGTAATGTATCTACCACATTCACTGTTCTCATAAGTTCTGTGACTATGCCTTCACCTTACACAATTGCCAGTGAGCACTGGTGTGAGGCTGAATGGATGCTGTCTGACCACTCTACTCCTCATCTAGCCATTGTTAATCTTTGCCTGGGCTTGTTATTAATCCCATGAATGTCAGTGTTTTCATATAAACTGAGAACTTTGAATAAGTTCATATTCTGAATAGGGCATACTCAGCCCTCAGAAAATGCCAGCTGTATTGGAAACAATTGGCATCCTCAAACTGGTTAATTTCAAGAGTACTTAGTAAAAAGAATATTTCCAAGGATAAGGGCAGAGTATAGGAAAACTGCAAGGGAGAATGCAGTTTTCCAGGGCTCCTATATTATCCTTTGGCCTGAGGTATGAGGACAGTGGGGAGAGGACCTCCTTAGTGGAGCTGTGGCCTCCAGGAAAGGGATATAGCCAGATTATAATGATCCTGCAGGCAGAGACCCCAGGAAACAAATAACCTGAACTGATTCTTCCACTTATTCTGATCGCCTGCTCATGCTCCTCATTGGCCAAACCCAACTGGGAGGCAAAGAGCAAGGAAGTCTGCCACTGAGTTCATGCGGTTTAGTTTCCTGGGGTATAAGCCAGGTGGAATAGGATGGAGAATGGATTTGGAGAGGCAAATGGAAGATATACAGCACAGTTAACCTTCATCACGGAAGTCTTGCATGAAGGAATGGCAGTATTTCCAAAAAGCGTAGATAACTTACAAAAACTTGTTTAAACCAGCTTTCACATTTTTATTAATTTTACTTAGTCAAGGTTATAGCCCATGTTCAAATGGACCCAGATACAATGGTAGTATTTGGACAGAGTTCAGTTGTTTGTGTGGTGAAAGATGATCTGGAGGAGCTACACAGAGAGAGAAAACCACCCTATGCTTTCCTTATTCAGAGACAGGATGTCAACCTCAACTTACGGTTCAAGTTTGCTACAAAAACTAGCTGGACCCCTCAGAGCAGCTTTAGATAGCCACCTTCTTGGGCCTCCCGACATCAAAGGAAATGACTATTATCCCAAAGAAATGTAATACCTGGCTAGTGGGTTGAGTGGCCAATTTTTGGTGTTTTTGCAGCTTACTTTGAATCTCAAGTGAATTATTTTCATTTCTTTGACCCAGGGACCAGGATTACTTGCCTTGATCTAATCTAGATTAACCACTCTGATCCACTGAAAATGAATAAATCCACTGAATCAGATAAATTGGTTGGGGAGGTATTTGTGGCAGCACAAAATGATGGACAAAACAAATGTGGAATGCTATCCTAAAGCATCAACCTCTTCTGTGGATGGGAAAATTCCCTGACTTGGGAAGTTCTGGGACGGGTTGGGTCTATAATAGGAGCAGTGAGAGGCAGTGTGGTGTAGAGAAAAGAGCTGGGGCTGTGGGGTTAAAATGAACTGAAGTTAGCGTAATACTGACTGTGACCACCTTGGCAAATTACTGAACTTTCTCAACCTTAAGTCTCCTAGTATGAAAAATGAGAATAACTTTACTTGCTATAAAATTAATTGAAATTATATATGCAAAATGAAGGCAGTGTTTTCCACACAGTAGTCATGCAAATACCTTTTTAGGATGTATACACGTGTTGAAAACAACCATATGGAAGTATAATTGAGATTTTAAAAAGCTGCACATATTTGATGTATGTAATTTGATGAGTATGCCTATGCTCCTTTAAAAAATTATTTCTTAGCAGCTTTATTTAGGTATAGTTGATATACAATAAATAACACATATTCAAAGTGTATGATTTGATGAATTTTGACTGCATACACCCATGAAACCATCATCACCAACAAGATAATGAACGTATTCATTCAAAAGTTTCCTCATGCTCCATGATCATCTCTCCCTTCTATCTCCATCTCAATGTAATTACATTGAGATACATCCATGCTGTATGCATCAACTATTTATTCTTTTTATTCTTGGGTAGTATTCTATTGTATTGGTATACCACAATATGTTTATCTGCTTACCTATAGTAGCAATTACTCAATTATCGTTTTGTTTGTTTGTTTTTGTTGTTGTTGTTGTTTTGAGACAAGGACTTCCTTTGTCACCCAGGCTGGAGTACAGTGACATGATCATAGCTCACTGCAGCCTTGACCTCCTGGGCTTGAGCGATCCTCCCACCTCAGCCTCCCCAGTAGCTAGGACCACAGGTGCACACCACCACGCCTGGCTAATTTTTAAATGTTTTTGAAGAGATAGGGTCTCGTTATGTTACCTGGGCTGGTCTTGAATACCTGGGCTCAAGTAATCTTCCTACCTCAGCCTCAATTTTTTAAAATTCCATTTTCTTTCTTCTTTCCTCATTAATAGTGTAAGAGAAATTTTTAGAATTCCATGTTACCACAGCTGACGTCTCCATTAACATCCTCCAGGAGTAGTGCAGTTTACAAGAATTGGGTATAAATGCAGATATAATAGTAATTGTGTTTGTTAATCCCTGGTTTAGGTTGAGTACGCAGCTGGAATCTGGTTCTTTCTGCTTCCTAGGCTTGCTTTTGTTTCTTATCATAAACAAGCAACCTGGAGGAAACAACATAAATGTGGTGTATCTATACAATGGATTATTCAGCCATGAAAAGGAACAAGGTACTGATACATGCTACAACATGGATGAACCCTGAAAACACTATGCTAGGTGAAAGAAACTAGACACAACAGGCTACATATTATATGATCCCAGGCACTGAAATGTCCAGAATAGACAAATCCATAGAGACAGGAGGTAGATTAGTGGTTTCAGACTGGGGGAGAGGGAAGAGGGGAAGGAGAAGTGACTGCTAATGGGTATGGGTTTGCGCTTTTTTTTTTTTTTTTTTTTTGAGATGGAGTCTCGCTCTGTCGCCTAGGCTGGAGTACATTGGAGCGATCTCTGCTCACTGCAACCTCCGACTCCTGAGTTCAAGCAATTCTCCTGCCTCAGCCTCCCAAGTAGCTGGGACTACAGGTGTGTGCCACCACGCCCGGCTAATTTTTGTATTTTTAGTAGAGACGGGGTTTCACCATGTTGGCCAGGATGGTCACAAACTCCTGACCTCAAGTGATCCGCCTGCCTCGGCCTCACAAAGTGAGCCACCATGCCCGGTCCTTGGGTTTGCTTTTTTGGGGTGATGAAAATATTCTGATATTTGATAGTGGTGATGGGTACAGAATTCACAGTCTAATCTGTGACTATACTAAAAACACTGAATTGTATACCTTCAAAGTGAATTTTATGGTATTTCATTATATATCAGTAAAACTGTTATTTTATAAAAGCAGTCTGAAAAACTTTGGGAAAAATAAATATTCAAGAGCAGCCATTAATTTAATTTCCCTTTTTTTGTTTGCTAAAGGGAAAACTTAAAGCTTTTTAACTCATTGGTTGTACTGCACCTATATTTCCAGGTGTTGAGCACAATGTAGAACTTTCTAGCATTAGAAAATAAAAATGTGACATCTAGAGATAAATTGTGTTCGCAGATACAAGGTAGTTCAGTGCCGTACTGTTTTGGTTTATTGGAGATAATAAAGGCCCTGTAGCTACTTTGGCTTTTTTGTCTTTTCCTTTACTTTTTAAAAATAACATGCATTCAGATTATCTAATCACTCTTTCCTCTAGCCTTACTTAGTTAACTAGATACAGGATATCCTGTCAGTAAAGCATCTTAGCTAAATCAGATTATTTATCAAACTCCTAACCACAGTAGATACAACTGAGTGAGTAAAATAGAAGTCCAAGTACTCAAAATAATCCTTGGAAAGGAAAAGAAGCCGGGAGATCAAAATGAGTAGTGATTCAGTCATGGGTACAACTTTGGTTTCAGGCAGCTGTGGAGGATGGGAATAAGGACAGACTTCCTCCCTTTCTAATTGTCTTCCTTCACCTGGTGAAACACTGCCTTATTTAGAATGCTTTTAGCCGCTCAACTGCTGTGAATCAGGACCAACATTGTAATATCTGGAAATAGAGCTCCACCTGGTCTATTCCCAACAAATCAGTGTTTCCTGAGTACACGAGATTTGTGGTTGAGAAAAGGCATTTTTTTCCCCTGCCCTCAAAAATCTTACTAGCCAAGGTTGGAGTTTTGGTGTCATTTAGTTTAAATCTTAAAGTGAAAGAAAGGTATTCTTAACCCAGGGTAAAAGTAAAACCAATGTAACTCTACTCAGAAATATTACCTTTGCTTTTTGCTATAACTTGGCAAATTATTTTCCCAAGGTGACTTGGAAATATTTATGTCACAGTGTGTGTTTAGCTTGGGTTTTCTGTTATATTCTCTCCAGTTCTGGCATACAACAAAAAATTCCATAAGATAACTTTCCATTTTACTTTGGCACTGGAAGAATATGGCTCTCAGCAATATTCCTTTGAGTATTACTCTAGAAATATATTTATTCAGTTATGTATTAAGAATCTACAACACAAAGTATACCTGGAAGATGGTTAAGTGGCTTCTTCAATAAGCGGATGGGCTTTGTAGGGGAATAAAAATAAGTTTTTCTTCAATATTTATAGGTTCTTAGTTGGAATGGCCCCCTGTAACAAAAGACAGATTAAAAAGCAAAAAACAAACAAGTTTATTAACATGTTTATTTCATATACACATGGTATATGAAATTGAGTAGTTCCTAAAGAGATGGCTTTGAATTCCAGCTTATAGAGCATCTTCAGCAAAGAACAGTACATTCTTTAGAGAAGTGACAAGACAATGGAAAATAACTTTCAGTCTCTAAGTGGGTCAATTTTGGGGAAGGCAAATAAATGGCAGATAAAGGCAAGTTAGTAATCCTTGTTCATGTAGATTCCTCTCATACCATCTCCAGGCCAATAAGGGTCTTAAGTTGTCCTCAATGATTAGCCTTCGTTCTCCCCGGTAGAGAAGGAGGGGAGTGCGGGGCGGGATACCTTTTTGTCTTTAATAAATCTGTGTCCTACTTTAAGGCAAATAGAAGGAGGTAAAGAATTTTCTTGCATCTGCTTCTTGGTAGCCTTCAGATCAACAATTCCTTCCCATTTGGGGGTTGCATATTCTGGTCTTTCGTAGCTTCATAGGCATAAAGCTGTGAAAGCTAGACATAGACCTAAAGGCATTCTTTCTGTGTCTATATGTGTATGTATGTGTGTATATGTAAAATATCACACATCAAAATAATGAATACATGTGCATACATATATATATTAAAGACTGTTAGTAGAACAAACCCACATACATTCCCCATCTTTTAAGTACCACCTTTAAAAACTCCTGTATGCTTCTCTCCAATTCCATCCTCCTTTTTCTTCCTTCCCAGAAAGCCATAATCTGGACATTTTATTTATCACTTCCCTGCATATGGTTTAGTTTCACCTGTTTTAGAACTTTAAATAAATGACATCATGCTTCTTCTTTGGCTTGGATTTTTAACCAACATTATGTTTTGAGATTCATCCAGGTGGATGTACATAGCTGTAGTTTACCCATTTTTACTGCTATCTAGCAATAATTAGTGTATCATTCTTCCACTGTGTGAAATATCACACACTTTATTCATTCTACACATGTTGGGCATTTGGGTTGTGTCCACCTTTTTGCTCTGATGCACGATGCTGCTGTGTGCATTCTGTTCATGTCTCCTGGTTCACATTCAGGAGTTTTTCTAGGACGTATACTTTGGAGTTCAGTTGCTAAGGCATAGAACATTGCAAATATTCACCTTATTAGGTTGACCATTAGTGGTTATACCAATTTATTCTTCATTAGCAGTATAAGAGTTCCTCTTGCTCCACTTGTCAACAGTTAAGTGTTGGACAGAACAGTCATTCAGTTCTCTGAATTTTAATTTTTGCTAGTTTCATTGCAAATATATTCTGGAAGTCTATTTTTTTAAACAACTCATTTTTAACCATCTTGGTGAAAGAGACAAGGACGTAAATTGTTTTTTATTATGTTTGATAAAGTGGGCCATTACCGTAGACATATGTAGATATATGTTTTCAAGCAATATCGAGCCTGAGAGTCTTTTTTCTTTCTTTTATTTATTTTATTTTATTTTTTTTTTGAAATAGAGTCTCACTTTGTCCCTCAGGGTAGAGAGCTATGGCGCGATCTTGGCGCACTACAACCTTTGCCTCCTGGGTTCAAGCGGTTCTCCTGCCTCTGCTGGGACTACAGGCATGTGCCATCATGCCTGGCTAATTTTTGTAATTTTTTATAGAGACGGTTTTGCCATGTTGGCCAGGCTGGTCTCGAACTCCTCACTTCAAGTGATCCTCCAATCTCAGCCTACTCCCAAAGTGCCAGGATTACAGGCATGAGCCACCAGGCCTGGGCTTCTTTATTTTCTTTATCAGGTATTTTTAATTTACAAATGTAACACGCTCTTGTTTTTACAAGTAAAAAGATATAGGAAGAAGCTCATTTCCCCCTTTCTCCCTTGCCTCCCTCCTCCCCCATGTAACCAATGTTAATGCTTTGGGGTGTATTATTCCACGTTTTTCTTCATGCTCATAAATGTGTAATAAACATATGTTGGGTTGCAATTTATGAAATTGTTATTTTATTAGGCCAAAGTAGTTGAAATCAGCAACTGCATACAGTTCAATCACATGCATGCATATTAGGTAGTTGTCTGGAAATTTTTCAAATATAAAAGTTAATGTGCAGCTATCTTTTATGTGACAAATGTCACAGAATTCACCTAGCTTGTAGTTGTGGATCTAACAGATTCATGTTAATGATTATATCATCTTCACTCCACTGTCGCCTGTGGAGTGATATTAGTTTTGTCTTCCTTGGTTGTGGTTGTGTTTCTTCTAACTAACCTGTCATACATCCATGCTTTACTGTGGTGGAATCCCAAACAGGGGGATTGTTGAGTAAAAGCACTTAGGTCTCTTACATTTTAATATATATTACTAGATTTCTTTCTTAAAAGGTTGTAGCAATTTGGATGCCCATTAGTAAATATGAGCCTGCCTGTTTTCTATCTCCTAGTCATCACTGGAAATTACCACTCTAATGGGTGAGGAATGGTATTCTATTTTAATTTGCATTCCCTTGAATTCTGGTGAAGTTGAGCATATTTTCATATGTTTTCATTGATCTTTTGCATTTTCTCTTCTGTGAATGTCGTTTTGAATCCTTTGCCCATGTTTTTATAAGGTTATTTGACTCTTCCCTCAATTTATACAGAATCCTTAGTTTATTAGTGATAGTAATACTTTGTCCGCTTTATATGCTGCAGTTATTTCTTTCCCAGCCCATCATTTGTCTGTTTTGCTTATAGTATCCTTTGTCATACTTTTTCTTTTTCTTTCTTTTTTTAAAAAGTATTTATTCACATATGTCTGTGTTTTCCTTTATAGTTTTTTGGCTTCTTGTCTTGCTTAGGCATATTTCCTCTATCCAAGGTAATATAAATATCCTCCTTATTCTTCTTCTAATATTTTAAAAAACATTTCTCCATGTTATGTATTAAATCCATCTAGAATATATTTTGTATATGATGTGAGCTATAAATATGTTCCTCCAAACAGCCAACTCCATGACATCATTTACTTTAAAAACCCTCTTTTATCTACTGAATTGGAACACTACTTTAGTCATATATTGTTTCCACATATACTTGGATCAATTTGGATCAATTTCTGTACTTTTTATTATATTTCCTGGATTTATTTTCTATTCCAATGTCAATGATGCCATCTTCATTATAATAGTTTGATTTCAGGTTTTAATATCTAGAAAAGTAACTGGGTCCCATTTTATTCTTCTTTTTAAACATTTATTGCTATTGTTTGACATTTTTTCCATATAAAATTTAAACTCATTTTGTTATATTGCAAAAAGGGGAAAACAACCATTGAGATTCCAATTACAACTGCATTAAAATCATGTATTATTGGAAAGGACTTTTTTATATTTTGCGGTTTCCATCTGGAAAACATGCTTCTCAATTCAAATATATCGTAGTTTTATTTTAAAGTGCATTTCTCGATATATAAAGATTTTTGCTTCGTTTGGAGTTGGAAATTTGGTAAAATGGCTGGGTGTGTGATAAATATAAAAATAAATAGCTTCTCTTTTCTTAATGCTAAAACTTGTTCTCAGACTAACATACTGAGGAGTTCCTAATTCAGATCTCCAGGGACAGATGTCATAAGCTTGACTTAAGAAATGTTAAAGCAGAGCTTTGCGCCACTTGACTTAATTCCAACTTTGCTACAATGGATCATATTATTGTGGATTATTATTATGGAGGAAAACAGTACTTTGAGCTCTGTGTGGTTAGGCAGGATGTTTCTTCTTTTAGTTCTAGATCAGTCATGATGTTAAGAGTAAAATCCTAACAGAGGAAACTAATTATTTACATTTCAGTTTTTTTTTAAGTATAATTTTATCTGTTGGACAGAGGCTCATTTGAAGATAAAACCTCAAGATATAAGCTTATTGGTACATAAAAGTACATAGAGGAGTCTCACTTATTGGAAGAATTTTATCGTTAGTTTAACAAAACCTACAGTACTTCTGTACTTATTTCTAAAAACTAGAATTTAAAGTAAAAATACTGTTGCTTCTGGGAAATTAATGGCCTAAGTAGCAGTATAGATAGCCTTCTTCATAGTAAACCCATTCAAATGCCAATGACATTTTCTCAAACAAAAATCTTCAATAACATAGCCTCAGTATCCAAAAAACAAAGAAGAACTTTTAAAATAATTCAGCTAATTTTTAAAAGTTGTAATTCCAAATAACAAAACTATAAAAGAATAGGAAAAAAAAAACAATGAACTTTAAAATTGCCTGACATAACTAAAGCCAGGAAATAAAAAGCCATTTAGTGAAAATTACAGTATTACATACAATTAAGAATATTTCCAGAACTAGTAAAGAGAAGAGTTTACATGGAGAACTACTAAATAGTTAATTAGGGAAGCATATTTATTAACTACAGAATCAAATAAAAAATTGGATAGCTTAAATAAACATGTATAAATAATGCCAGGCCAAAATGATCCACTTCTAGAATGGAACACAGTGTTTTAACTTAAAAATAATAGGTGAAAGTACTTGAGCTAATAGAATAAATAAATGTTAACGAATCAACAATTTAAGGTAGACAATATTTCCAGAATTCATTAAAGATGTGGCCTATGTATTAGGAAGTTAATCTGGAAATTTACATCCAGAGAAAGATGCCAAGATGTTTACTTATAACATTTTCAAACTTCAGTGAGGAAGAAATCCTAAACATCTGGAAAAAAGGCCAGATAATATTCCAAGTACTGATTTCAGATGTAGCTGAAATTAAGACCATGAACTCCCCAAGGAAATGAAACAACATCTGCAGCTCTTTTTATGGAAAAAAATTATCCAGGCAAGATGTCATTCATTTGGAAAAGCTAGAGAAAGATTTTCACATATCCCACTGATATGGTTTGGCTATGTGTCCCCACCCAAATCTCATCTTGTAGCTCCCATAATTCCCACATGTTGTGGGAGGGACCCAGTGGGAGATGATTGAATTATGGGGCGGGTCTTTCCTGTGCTGTTCTTGCGATAGTGAATGGGTCCCACAAGATCTGATGGTCTTAAAAATGGGAGTTGTCCTGCACATGCTCTCTTTGCCTGCTGCCATCCACGTAAGACGTGACTTACTCATCCTGGTCTTCCACCATGACTGTGAGGCTTCCCCAGCTATGTGGAACTGTAAGTCCAATTAAACCTCTTTCTCTTGTAAATTGCCCAGTCTCGGATATGTCTTGATCAGCGGTGTGAAAACAGACTAATATACCCACTAACCCTAAATAGTCAATGACCTTACACTTTGGATTCAGAACAGGAATTTCTTCACACTGTGGCCACCTTATGAAGTCCTGCTGTCAAGATGGGATACTAAAAACATTAACTAGGAGGATCAATGCATAGACCATAGACCCGTTGCAGAATAAAATTGTGATCTAAAACGTAAAAGGAAGAGAGGAAGGGAACTAATATTTAGAGAACATCTATAATTATCAAGTTTTTTTATAACACATTATTTCATTCAGTCTTCAAAAACCCTGGTGGTATTGTCCTCTTGTTTCAGATGAGAAAATAGTCTCAAAGAGGTTAAGTGACTTGCTTTGTTAAGTTGTAGAGTCAGAATTGAATAGGTGTCTTTCTGACTCCCAAGAAAAGTATAAGTTTCCAAATAACAGTCCAAAAATTGAGAATGAGATAAGATGAGGAAGAACTAAAACCAATAGCCTAAATGTTCTTTTTTACCCATAGAAAGAAGCCTAAGAGCTTTGGGTTTTATTATTGCTGTAACTAGAAATCACCAAAATATGAATTTGATAATTTTAGTGACTTGTGTTTGTATGTGTTTGTGTGCAGATTTGATTTACATAGAAATAATTTTACTTAGAAGGGAGTATATTTAAGGTGCTTAATTAATAACTATGGCATTTATAAAGTGAAAATAAGGAATAGCGAAAATAAGAAAGATAGATGGCCAAAATATAACAATCATTATAGCCATAAACTTTAAAATGCCACATAAAAGATACGCACTTTAAACAAAAAGTCATACACTAGAATATAAGGCAGGATTATAATACATGAACTAAAATCATAAGGAAATAGAATAATGTGTCATTATTGAACATAACATAAAGCCAAAAAAGATGAATATATGAATTATATAATGATGACAGCCATCACAAATAATAAAGTGAGTAAAGGAGGAATAGTGTTGAAACAAAAGGAACAAGTGAATAATGCTACTATGCAGTAGAATCATATTAGAGTAGATGCCAGTCTCTTTGGGTGGCGTCCTTTTAGCCACAATCCAGGAGTGAATGTTGACTTACCATGGAGTATATTCCAAGAGCCCTCAGGGCTGAAGAAGAACTTTGGCCTTTGGAAATTTAGGAATATATGTTGTATACTGCCTGCTTTGTTAGCACTAACTAGAGTTGGACAGTCCAGGTCAATCTAGGCTGAATACGGTAGAGTCAAGTCATTCACTTACAGTTAGGAAATGTATGGGTTTCCTTAGTTTGATCATCTAGGTGAAGAATGAGACTTTGTAATGTCAGGCAGCTGTAGAAGTGATGGCCCCCATAACTAAGGAGGCAGGTTGTCATCTTGGACAATTCCGGGGTGGGGGCATCATGGGAGTAAACCTGTGACGTAAAAAGGATAATGTTAAAATGAAGAAGTGTCACTTGGTAGGCCCCACAGATGGAACCAAATTTCCAGTTGAACTGGTATTCTAGCAGTAACTTCAAAAAAGGAGAGATAAGTTGAGGAGTTTGATGAAAAAGTTATTAAATGGGTGAATCCATGATCAAATTTGCTTTCCAGGGACATAAGCCCATGTTTAATGTTGCCTTCATTTCCTAGTAGATTACCAAGTAGTGTAGGGTCCCTTCTCACCTGGTTCTGGGAGGGCAAGGAACTTATGTGATGGGAGGCTACGTGAACTTACGTGATGGCCAAGTAGACAGACTGTCATTGGCTCTGCCATGTTGGAGCCAGGGTCCCATAGGGGCATAACAGCTGTGTGCCCCACAATGTTTTGAGGGAATAATGTTTTACAGCAAGTTAGTGGGAAATATCTGCATAGTACTAACATTCTTTTCAAGTTCTGCCTTAAAATGAGATGACTGGGAGGCCTGCTAGTATGAAAGGGGCTCTATCAGCAGAGAAACCCTCTGGCTATGTATTTAACACCCCGTAACTGTTCTCTAGAGGGTTCATGCTCTCTGGGTATTGTTTCCCATTTATTTTACTTTCCATCTATGGCCTGGGCTTCTCAAGTGAATTGCCTGTGTCCTGTGGTTACATATGTTAGAGAACATGAATACTAGTTTACAGATCTCATTTTCTAAAAATTTTGGAGTGGCATTATTCCAACCATGTCCCCAAGCTGCCTTTGAGGCTAATATTATTGCTTAAAAATGATTATGAGATATTTAAATTATACAGGAAATGACAGAGAATTATTTTTTTCCTTTCTTAGTGGTTCTTTTGAATGACTTGCAAGAACAATTTTAAGGGTAGAAGTAGCCCCTGCATTTTGATTTTGCTGGATCTGACATATGGTTCTGATGAGCATTGGGATGGATGTAGGAAGGCACACCACAGACCTGGCCAGGAGAAATGATGGGATGGTTCTCAGAGCTCTTCCCTTGCTTCCTCATCCCTGTTTAATAAAAAGTGAAAGATACAAGCAAGTAACATGAAACAAAGCTAAAAAAGATCACTTATTAAAGAAAGAAAGAGGAAACTGTTAAATAACAGCTCCAGCAAAAGCCCAATGGAACAAACAAACAGCCACAAAGGACCAGGGAAGGCTCTTTGTCTGAATTAAAAATAACTAAAAATGGTACAATGTGCACTGAACGCAAATGTGCAACTCATTGCAGAGCCCTCGAACTCTGTAACGTTCCAACCTCTGAGATGAGGAATGTCTCTGCCATCCATAGGGAAGAGCTTCCCGGCCAACTGCTCCTGGAACCAAGGCACTGTCCCCTTTCTTTGACAGCTAGCTACAGCACTTGGGTATTGTCAATTCTCCCTTCAGTGCTCCTACTGCAATACCATGAGGATTTGGTGGAAATCAAATGCTGAGGTAATCCAGACCACTCATTAATAAAGACCATAAGATTCTGGTGTATTTCCCTTCAGCAGCAGTGAGGAAAGATGGAAAAAGTGGAAAGAAAGAGCAGCTGTGAGAAGATCTCTGTATCTGATAGTGCCTTGTTGAGCTTTCTGGGACCCCCATCTCTACTCTGGAATTGACCTGATCTTCAAGGACCTATGTCCTGGTGTATGATTCTCTCCCTTTTAACACCACCCTGTCTCTACAGCATATTTCTTGTCCTGACCCCTTTCTGACAAACAGTTTGCTCTAAGGCTTGTTTGGAGAACTTGATCCTTTCCCCTCTCCCTGCCTGTTTCAGCCCCCGCCCCTACCTCCATCAGCTCTTGACTGGCTTTGCCTCCACCAGGTTCCAGCCACTCTCTAACTGATGCCACAGTCTCTGAGCCAGCCCTACTCCCTTGAGGGTTAGGCCATCCCTAGCTGGGATGGAACTGAAGTAATAATAGTTCCGACATTAAACAGAATTAGGACTTGTGTTCAAAATTGAGGATAGAGAAAGGAAAATAAACTTTTTAAAGTATGGTAAAATACCTGTAGCATAAAACTTACCATCATAACCATTTTTAAGACTACAGTTCAGTGGCATTAAATGCATTCACATTGTTGTTCAACCATGATCATCATCCATCTACAGAGCTCTTCGTCTGGCAACACTGAAAATCCAACACAGTGAAACCCCCATCTCTATCAAAAAATTTTTAAAAATTTAAAACCTGACACTCTGTTTTAAATAAACAATAGCTCCCTATTCTGCCCTCCCCCCAGTCCCTGGCAGTCAGCATTCTGCTTTCTGTCTCTATGAATTTGACTACATACATATAAGTGGAATCACACAGTATTTGTATTTTTATGACTGGCTTATTTCACTTAGCATAACGTCTTTAAAGTTCATCCACATGGTAGCATGTGTCAGAATTTCCATTCTTTTCACAGTGCAATAATATTCCATTGGAAGTATTTGTCATGTTTTGTTTCCCCATTCACCCATCAATGGACACTTGGGTTGCTTCCACCTTTTACCTAATGTAAATAATGCTGCTATGAACACCAGTGTACAAATATGTCTTCAAGACCCTGATTTTAATTCTTTCATGTATATACTCAGAAATGAAATTGTTGGATCATATGATAGTTGTATTTTTAATTTTTTAAGGAAGCATCATACTGTTTTCCATGGCAGCTGAACCATTTTACATTCCCCCCAACAGTACCCAAGGGCTCCAATTTCTCCATATCCTCACCAGTACTTGTTATTTTCTGTTTTTTAAATTCTAATTCTGAAAGGTGTGAGGTGATAGCTCATTGCCATTTTTATTTGCATTTCCCTAATGATTAGTGACTTGGAGCATTTTTATATACTTATTGAAAAAGTTAAGAACATGAAATCTCATACAAATATGTAACAAGCACATGTAAAAGATTTGATTAACTCACTGAAGGAAACACTGAGTGAAAAAACCTGGTTTCAGGAATACACGAGACTGAATTATATATAATCAATGAAAGAAGAAATGTGGAAATGAGATTGCCAAGTTATATTCAACACTGGTTAATGTCCCACAGGGCAATAAAACCATAAGCTTTGGGGTTATTTTTTCATTCAAATAAGTGTCCTCCTACAGTGTCAGATGAACCTAGGATCTAGTATGACATTGAAGGGCACACAGTAATCTTTCTGCCTTCTTTCTGAGCTTTGGAACATTTTTCTTAACAGACTCAATACTTTTACTCCCAGAAACCAGTTCTGTGTCTTCTTTCCATGTTCTCTGCAAGAGGGTAGAAATGGGCCTGGGGCAGAGCAGAGAGAAACTTTGCTTTCCTAAAGTTCTTTCCAGCTGGCCTTAGTGAGATTTTGGATCTATTGGTCGTCTAATTGCCAGAAAGAGTAGCTCAACAGTCATGATTGAATAAAAGTAATGGTGTAAATGTATCCATCCTTTATATGCTTTCATCAGCTGACTTTGGGTTTTGTTTATTTAGGTTAGATATTCAGTCTATGCATGCAAAGCTCAAATGTGGAGAATTTGAGGATGATACCAGTGTGTTCCCACACCCTGCCATATTGACCATCTAAAATATTTGAGAATGCTTAGGATTTGCTATCTAAGTAAGTGTTAAATCTGCCAGAATTATGTTTCTGAATTATCATTTTATATAAAGCATTTGTTTTGGGATATCCAGAGTTGGCATGCACCATTAGAGCTATATTGGGTGTTAACATACTGAAATGTTTTCATACCAGTTGGTAAAGAGAAAGTATTTCTTTTTTTTTTTCTTTTCTTGTTTTTGGAGACAAAAAAAGTTGCCCAGGCTGGAGTGCAGTGTGATCATGGTTTACCAGAGCCTCAACCTCCCAGGCTCAAGCAATCCTCCCAGCTCGGCCTCCCAAAGTAGCTGGGACCACAGGTGTGCACCACCATGCCCAGCTAATTTTTTTTTTTCTATTTTTTGTAGTGAAGCAGTCTCACTTTGTTGCCCAGACTGATCTCAAAACTCCTGGGCTCAAGCAGTCGGCCTGCCTAGGCCTCCCAAAGTGCTGAGATTACAGATGTGAGCCACCACGCCCAGCTGAGAAAGTATCTCTTTATTGAGATTATAAGGCATCTTATCATGCCACCCATCAGTGACCATGGCGGGGTAGTGGACATGGGAGGACGGCCAGCATAGATATTGACAGCCCCAGTAGCCACTGAGTGGTCCGGGAGGTGAGAGTGGAGGTGTGCATAGTGCCCTCCCTCTGCTCTACGTTGTCAGGGATGACAAAGCAGGCAGTGGAGCAGGTGGCATTGGTGGCAGTGTTTTGGAAGTGGGGGTTGGGGAGAATGGGGGTGCAGGGGCAGAGTCAGTTGGAGCATAGGCCCTCTGGGAGGCATTAGCATCCAGGTATATAATAACCCAGTAGTGCAGAGCCTGCAGTATGCCCAGGAGCAGACTGTCAGTATAACAGTGAAGTTATTGATGTGGTTATTACATGGTTTGAACAGGAGCATCACTTAGCTAGGTGATAGCTACATCAACTAAGATCACAATAACAATCTGTAAAAAAAAAAAAAAAAAAAAAAAAAAAAAGACCAATGATTTGGAAATTTCCAGAATATTTTGGAAATTATTTTCTCCATAATGTAGCATGTATATTTTAGGATATAGTTAATTCAGCAAACAAAAGAAATTTTAAATAGATTTTGATTAAATATTTTTGATTTTATCACATATTGATATTTTATCTTTCTAATTATTAAATATTTTTATTTTGAGTATGACTGTTATTTCTGGCTATATAAAAATTATAGTTATTTAACCAAACCATCAAAACTAAGAAAAGAGTAAATTGGGAAGATATTGAAAATATAATAGGTACATATTTGTTTTCTATATTACATAAAGTGCTTATTCAAGCTAAAAAGATGGCACAAGCCTCCTATAAGCAGATAGTTGAATTTTAACAGGCAGTTTGTATAAAAGTAAAGACAGGTGGAGGAGAGGTTCCCCCAAAGGCAGGGACAGTGTCTGACACAGGCCTGGTTTCCTGGTCTGCCTAGTAGGAGCTTGATAAATGTTAATTAATTGAATGAATAACTGAGTCAATGTATGAACAACTCTTCAACCTCACCAGTAATTAAGTAAATGCAAACGAAAACAAAAATGAGATATAGTCATATCTATTAATTTATTAAAATTAAAGAAATAGGCTAGGCATGGTGGCTCATGCCTATAATCCTAGCACTTTGGGAGGCGAAGGTGGGAGATTGCTTGAATCCAAGAGTTCAAGACCAGCCTGGACAACATAGAGAGACACTGTCTGTACAAAAAATTTAAAAAATTAGCCGGGCAGTGCACAACTGTAGTCTCAGCTACCCTGGAGGCTGAGGTCAGAGGATCATTTGAGTCTGGCAGGTCGAGGCTGCAGTGAGCCATGATTGCACCACTGTACTCCAACCTGGGTAACAGAGGGAGACCTCATCTCAAAAAGAAGGAAAAATAAAATAAAATCCAATGCAGGAGAAAGAAAAATTCAATGCAGGAGAACTATTGTGGAAACAGGAAAGCTAGTCATCACTTTCTGAAAGGACCTACTTAGTTTATTATAAGCAATCAGGGATACTTACTTTCTTCAACCTGTTTGGGGTATTTATCCTCAGGAAATGATGGTAAAGAAAATGAAAACTTTCTTTAAAATTGTTTACAGTAGAGCTATTTATAATAGTAAAAACTACAAGCAATTTACATACCCAATAGTTCAGTGAAATATAATGCTTTATATTTGAAATGATATATTTCATATGTAATCATTTCAAGTGATTATATTTACCTCCAGTTTAATGTTAATGAATCAACAATAGATATTAAATAAGATGTCTTTTAAACAGAAGCACACAGAAAACAAGGTTATATGTTGATTGGTTGACCAAAATGTTTAACAGAGGCTCCAAGCAACCTAACCCCATATTTTTGCTAGATGCAATGCTCTGTGTTTTTGGCAATTTATAGAACATAACTACCATGAATAACAAGAATTGATTATATTTAATATGTGGTTTGAGCAAGGGCGTGGACTTATGTGCTCACAGCTGCTCAAATATTATTGGTGATGTTCAAAATCTTGGGCAAGGCAGAAAGAAATCTGTTTTTGGGTTATTGTATTATTTTAAAAAAATACTTTCCCTATGGCAGTGAACACACACAGTTCCAGACCTCTACGATTTCCAGTCTTTTCTGGAGTTTTTCAATTCTCTTTTTTTCCTCTAAGATCAAGAAGAATATCATTATTTGAGTAGCATAGACCTGCACGATAAATCCTTAGAAGATGGCAGGGACTTTCACAGATGTACTCAATATTTTCCCTTGTGTCCCTGCAAGGTCAGAAAATGAAAACCACCACCAACTCTATGGTTTGGGAAGAACTCAGACAGTGACAGGGTAGCTGTGACCCAAATCCTAATCAAATAACCTTTGCTGCAAATAACAAGGACTCCAACCTCAGAGAATTTTGTTCTGTTCCCAAGCTGTATCCACCATGGGCATTCTTATAAAAGCAGTAGTCAGCAGCTTTGGTGAACTTTACCATAGAAGGAATTTCTCAAAAGGCATGCAATGCTCAGAGAATCTCAGGAGAGCTAGAGAATCTTCAGACATGCAGGATGGGTAGACAGAATAACACTCAAATCACACCACAGAGCTGATCCTAAGAAGGTACCTCGCCTGCCTCTATTGGATGCAAACACCACAGCTCACACAGCCGACACCTGACCCTGGGTGCTCAAAAACTGCCACTGGAATTGCTGCCACAGCTGTCTCTGAAAGCCCAGAGTAGCTGCCATCACACCCACATGTACCATCACTGATTCTCCACATTACCAGCTTCCAGTTCAGGGTCTGGCAGGAGCCTGAGTGTGTACCTGTACCGTAGCTGCAAGGGAGCCTGGGAAATGAATTTTAGCCTCTGCCTCAGAACCTAGGAAGAGAGAGAAAGGAGGGGCAAAGAATAGTAAAAGTGCCTTACCATCTTGCATAGGATGTGTTAGAATTCTTTACAGAGAGGGATTCACTTGGGGTTACTCAGAGCACCATACGGAGATGTTGTTGGGATGAACTGCCCTGGCCCACCCACTCCCAGCTAAGGCAGCTGCAGCATGATCTGTGCAGGGGCCTGGGCTTCACAGACTGATGTAACTGCTCTGTATATATACCCCTTTCACTCTAGTGTTGAGAAAGAGGGAAACTAGATGCAATGATTAAAAATATTTTAATACCAAACTTCAAGCTTTTTGACTCACTCATGCTCCAAAAACAAGCGCAACATCAAGACTAAAGGTGTTTGTGTCCACACCCATTGTGAGATTCAAGTTGAGTTTTCGGTGTCATATTTGTGTCTTAGCAAGTTGTCGATCAGCTTCATTTCTTTAAAAAATTATTCTTCGGAAAGCACTTTGTGCCCATTGATATATGAGACATCTTCAAACAGTCGCTACGTCTGCCTGATTGCCCAGTCAGCTGGGGACACACAGGACATTACGGTTTGGATATGTAGGTTCTGACAGATCTTGACAGATAAATGTAAATGGAAATATATCTACACTTAAAAATATTTTTTCTTTTGCCATTGTATTGAATATTTTTTAGTGTCAGTTTCTTGTTATGTGAGTGTGAGGAATTGTGGGAGATGGAGGAGTTTATATTCTCTGCAACTTCTGACTTGGTTGGCTCGCTGCATCCATGCTCCTGAATCACCCCATCACTCAGGGATTGGAAATAGTTTGTCCCAAATAACTATTTACCTTTCACTGTGGCTCCAATCTTGAGAAAAGTCTATTCTTGCTTCCTAGACACTTAAGATTCAATAATATTTGAAAGAATTATTTGTGGAAGTATATTTGTTTTACGTTTTTATTGTGAGATAGCTGTGGTTTTCAATCTTTAAGGGGGTTTATATTTTCTGTTTACCATATAAACGAAAACTACAGTAGATAAGTATCTTGAAAATAAAAATGATCATCTGTGTTAAAATTGCAATAAAATTTTCATCCTAAATACCTCACTACATGGTTTGGCTGAGCTTTTCTGACCATACCTTTAGATTAACAGTGAAAAAATAAAAATAAATTTAGGCACCTTAGATCCACCTTAGTTACCTTTACTCTTTCAGTCTGAATGACAAGACAAGTTCCAAAAGAGCAGAAGCTGAATTTGCCATAGAAGTCAACCATGGCAACAGAGGGGATATTCTTTGGCAGGGTGATATGGTTTGGCTGTGTCCCCACCCAAATCTCATCTTGAGTTGTAGTTCCCATAATCCCCACGTGTTGTGGGAGGGACCAGGTGGAAATAATTGAATCATCGGGGAAGTTTCCCCCATCCTGTTGTTATGATAGCTAGTGAGTTCTCACAAGATCTGATGGTTTTATAAGGGGCTTTCCCCAATTTTACTCGGCACTTTTCCTTGCTGCTGCCATGTGAAGAAGGATGTGTTTGCTTCCACTTATGCCGTTATTGTAAATTTCCTGAGGCCTCCCCAGCCGTGCAGAACTGTGAGTCATTTCCTTTATAAATTACTCAGTCTTGGGTATGTCTTTATTAGCAGCATGAGAACAGACTAATACACAGGGTACCCTTCGGTACAACAGAGAACTGAAACAGATAGCATTTTCCTTCTTCACCCTTCTCAGCTAATAAACTCAGGGGACTATTGCTATCACTTTATTGCACAGAAGTTGCTAGAATCTGGGCTTCCCAAATGAGGCAAGAATTTTTACTCTCTGCCTTTCCTACCACCTGACCCTCAGGGGCCCTGCCCCTTTCCTCCTGCCTCCTTCTTTATTTAACTATTTCATATTAAGCTTTGTTTTTTTAAAAAACCTACTAGGAATGAAGACATTGTGATACATTTTATGTACCATACTTACTGATATATAATGAGCCTATTCTCTTTTTTTGTTTAAAATTAGTATTCTGTAAATGTAAATTTATTCCTGAAGCATGATTTGGTTTAATCAATTTACTGAGTTTTTACTTTTACAGAGTGGTAAAACTGGATTAGAATGCCATTATATCTTAGTGAAGAATAAGAATTTTTTAACCTTGCATTGGCATCTCTAGAACAATAATTCCCAACACTTTGAATTGGAAAAGATTTCTTTTTAAAAGCATTTTATAAATCTCAATACATTATAGGATAAGAGATGTACTTTTAATATCCATTGGTTGAGAAAGCTATTAATTGTACAGTATTTTTAAATGAATTTGCAATTGATCTGTCACACTGGCATCTCCCTATAATCACGAAAATAGAACATATGTGTGTAGAATATATTTTGCATGCAGCCTGCTGGAGAATCTCTTTTTTTTTTTTTTTTGAGACGGAGTCTTGCTCTTTCGCCCAGGCTGGAGTGCAGTGGCGCAATCTCGGCTTACTACAAGCTCCGCCTCCAGAGTTCACGCCATTCTCCTGCCTCAGCCTCCCGAGTAGCTGGGACTACAGGTGCCCGCCACCACACCCGGCTAATTTTTTGTATTTTTAGTAGAGACGGGGTTTCACCGTGTTAGCCAGGATGGTCTCGATCTCCTGACCTCGTGATCCGCCTGCCTTGGCCTCCCAAAGTGCTGGGATTACAGGCATGAGCCACCGTGCCCGGCCGCTGGAGAATCTTTTACAGGGACTCCGTGACTTTATCACTAAGCCACGCTGGCAGCACAGGCATGACGGCTCCTGGATTTTATTCAGGCTGACAGCCACTGCCAAGTCTCCTTGGACCGAGCTAGCAATGAATTGATGGTGCTATGGGAGAAATTGGTTCCTTCCAGACATGCTGGCCATGCTCCTCTGACCTGTCATTGATTTGTGAAGTGCTGATTCATTCAGACATTTTTTAGTTATATAAAAATACATGTACAAACCATTTTAAACAGAAAATAAATCATCCTACAACTATTTGAACAGATATTTATGGCTGGATTCAAAAGCATTGAAATTAAGGGTCTTAAGTAGAAGTATAACAACGGTAATAGCAGAAGAATTTCTGCAGTGAGAATTCATTTCCCTCTCTGCATTTGGTGTTCAGCAAAACTAAACCTGTATTGAAAAGGAGTCCATTCCTCTTTCATCAGAGATTGCCTTTAGCAAGGAAACAATGGACAGCTTTTCCCAGTGTTCTCTCCTTTTCTCATTGTCAGGGTGTTCTTCTGTGACATTTAATTTGAACCACTGCCTGTCTCAATAATGTAACAATTTGATTGGGTCAGATAGAAAAGGTAGAAGTCTTTTTTAAACCAAAGGATTTTCATTTGAAGGTTTGATAACCAAATTTGATTTCTGGATCCTATGATCCCGGTGATGTCCCTTGGATTCAGTCCCCCTCTCCTCATCATTAGTGGTATCCTCCTGAGGAGAGAACAGAATACCCTACACTAACTTTAGTTGCTGGTCTTTACCGATTTAGGTTGGTATAAAGACAGAACCAATGTGAGACTAGGCTTAGAGTATAAAGTTAATATGTGCAGGTTGGGAAATAGGCACTAAAAATTATAGAGTTGACTGGATCCTGTATTAGTTATCTATAGCTACTTAACACATTAACCCAAACTTAATGTCTTAAAACAACAAACATCTATCTTCTAATAGTTTTGTGGATCTGGAATCCAGGATGGTTCTGGCTCAGGCGCCCTCACAAAGATGCAGTTAAGGTATTAGCCAGGGCAGCTGTCATCTGAGGCTTAAGTGGGCCTGGAGGATCTGGTTCTAAGCTCATTCATATGGCTGTAGGCAGGAGGCCTCAGTTTCTCTTGGTCGGGGCCTCTCCATAGACTGCTCATGACCTGGCTTTTCCCAGAGCAAGCGATCCAAGAAAGAGGGCCCAAGACGGAAGCCACAGTCTTTTGTAATGTCATTTTAGAAGAACCATATCATCATTTCTATACTATTCTGTTGGTCACACAGGATGTGAATACCAGGGCAGGGTTTATTGCAGGTCATCTTGGAGGCTGGCTACCACAGGCCCAAATGCCTAGTTTTTCTAGAAACCATGGAGAGCTGCATTCTTTTAAGTCTGGTGCTATGTCTAAGGACAGACTCTTGGTCAAGTTAATAAAAATGATCTGTCATATTTTAAAGATCTATCTATCTATCTATCTATCTATCTATCTATCCATATATATAGAGAGAGAGAGAGAGAAGAGAGTGTCTCGCTCTGTCACCCAGGCTGGAGGGCAGTGGCGCGATCTCGGCTCACTGCAGCCTCCGCCTCCTGGGTTCAAGCAATTCTCCTGCCTCAGCTTCCTTAGTGGCTAGGATTACAGGCGTGCGCCACCACACCCAGCTAATTTTTTTTTTTTTTTTTTTTTTTAGTAGAGATGGGGTTTCACCATGTTGGCCAGGCTGGCCTCGAACTCCTGACCCAGTGGTCTATCCATCTCAGCCTCCCAAAGTGCTGGGATTTTAAGGCATGAGCCACCGCACCCAGCCTAAAGACAATTTTTTACCTTTGCTTTTATAATGTAAATTTGATTGTTATATTTAAGTAAAATACACTTATAAAGTATAAATAATACTAGGGTACAATATAGAAATCAAAATTTTCATGTAAACTTCTTATATAACCATAGTTATTAACAGATATTTACCTATCATTATAAAATAAAGAACTGCACTATTCTGAATCTCATTGTTTTCACTTAACAGTATATTATGGATATCTTTCAATGTCAGTATATAGAATTCATTCTGTTTTCTGGCTACGTAATATTCCATTGAGTGACTCTGGCAAATAGAATAACTTTACCAGAATTATCTAGCCAGTCTCTACTGTTGGATAATTGAGCTTTTTCCTTCAGCTTTTAATAAAATATGAATCGTGTTTGTGCATAAGTCTTTTTGATCTTTTTGTGCTGTGTGAGAATTCTTCAGGGCAAATCTTCAGAAGGTGAATTTTCAAGTGAAAGGGTATAACATTAAAAATTCAACAGATATTGCTGAATTATCTGCTAAAAATGTTGTACCTAATTACACTCTTTCCAATGGTGACAAAAGTGCCAATAACCTCTTCCTTCTAAAATCAGCCTCATTTGACTTGGGTATACCTTACTATGATTTTGAGGAAGGCATGGTGTTGTACTTGGCAGAGGAGTTTAAGACCAAAAAGGAAAATAAAGGGCCTGCTGTAAGATCATAGCAACCATCAGGGATTGCATAAAGGACCCCGTGAGTGACTGATTCGTAGGCAGAGGCACCCACTTCAGAGCTGCATGTAACTCCAGGGCCCAAATTTGACTTCTCCCCCTTGAGTATGAATACTGAGGAAGTTTGTGTAGCTCATTTGTTAATAAGCTAAACTCTGACATCTTCAGACATCTGTCTGTGCATTGATGAAGGCACTAAAGCCAGAAATGAAGAGAAATGGATTGTGGAAACCTGGCTTCTTGCAGTTCTTCCCAACAGCCTACAACCATTCCTTTCTGAAAATCCCACTGTTGCTTTGGTTGATGCCTCAGACTCAAGATCCTTTAAGCAGCATACAAACTGAGAAAAGAAATGCATTGAGAGACCAGGACTCTGAAAGAATGGAATTGATCCATTCATTCATGGATTCATTCAACAATGAATAAATATTTAGTACCCAGCGTGGGGCGGAAGCTATGATAAGCCCTATGTATGTAATTGTGAACCAAGACAGGCACCAACATGGAGGTTCCTGTCTAGTGGGGAAGATATACAATAATATAATCACAAATATAGATTTGGAAACTGTATTTATGTCTAGAAATTAGCAGTATTCCAGGAAGCCAGGAAAACGGAGATCTGCAGGATGAATTTGAGGTCATTAAGAGAGTTGCTGGTAGAGTCATGACAGGCAGAAAACAAATGAACAAATGGCATGTGTGCAAAGGCCCTGAGGCAGGAAAGAGGGGGGCTAGCTAAGGAACTGAAAAAGGCCAATGTGGTCAGAGGGAGTCACAGCAAGAAATGAGGCTGAAGAAGGAGCTGGAAGCCAAATCATAAAGGACCGATACATTTTCCTGGAAGCATTTTGAGAAAAGGAATTCAGGATATGGAAGTGTTCAAAAGCCCAGGATGGAAGGAAGGGGGAAAGTGACAGCCACTGGGCAGGAAGCGAGAGATCTCAGCTGGGGCAGGAGGTCTCAAGACTCTATTAGCCATGTACCTTTTGCTCCTCATTGTCTACCTGGGCTTCATGGGCAAACACTGCTGTGCCCCATCTTTGCACATGGCACACACTCCAGAAGCTGAACAGCCTTGTCTGAGCCTACTTTTACCCTCATGGACTTAAAAGTCTGTGCCCCACTTTGCCTTTCATCCACCTGGGAGGATTTCAACAAAAGTCCATGTCTTGTTCTGTTAATTGAATTACAAAGGAAAGGCCCTGGTGCATTCAGCAAACCTTAATCTGTCTCCCCATTACCCTAAAATGTTCAATGTAAAAAGCCCATGGCAGAATGCCTCTAGAACAGCACTTAATTGACATAATATGGGTCACCTGTCTACATGGAATTAGCTGACAGAGCTTCCAGAACAACCTACTTTCCTCCCGTTTGTCTTTAGTTTTTGAACTTCCAAAATGCATCACTGCTACTCACGTCAGTTTTGAGCCATTATTTAACAAAGAGGTGTACAGTTGGGAACTGTGCTCCTAGCTCAGAATTTGTCTAGTGGTGCACTTGGCGGGTGAGAGGGGAGTGTGGTCAGGGCCCTGGAAGCTGGGGCAGGGGCTTGTCAGTACCATTGGTCGGCTTTGGCATGTGCAGCAATGCAAAACAAAGTGTAAAGTGGCTTGGTGCCATGCTTTAATGGAATAAGCCTTATAAATACCCTATGTACATGTGTATGTATGTGTGTGCTTGGGGTGGGAAAATATGAATAAATTCTGTTACGGGGTAGGGAAGGGAATGGTTATCAAGGCCTATGAGAATGAAATAGTCCCTAACCAGTAACTTGGAGTTCTTGTGTCCTGACTTGGGAAGCCACAGAGCTGAATGGCCAAAGATGTGACCTTGGAGACCCATTGCCTGAGTTCAAATCGTGGCCCCTCCACTTACTGACTGGGAAATCTTGGAAATTTAGTGAACTTCATCTGAACTTAATTTTCCTCATCTGTGGAATGAGAATAATGATAGCTTTTTTTTTTTTTTAAGAGACAGAGTCTTGCTCTATTACCCAAGCTGGGGTACAGTGGTGCTATCATAGTTCACTGTAACCTCTAACTCTTGGGCTCATGTAATCCTCCCACCTCAGCCTCCTGGGTAGCTAAGACTACAGGTGTATGCCACCAAGCCTGGCTAATTTTTTAAAAAAACATTTATAGAGACAGGGTCTCACTATATTTCCCAGACCGGTCTCCAAACTCCTAGCCTCCAGTGATCTGCCTACTTTGGCCTCCCAAAGCACTGGGATTACAGGCGTGAGCCACCATGCCCATCCTGATAGCCTTTTCTTATGTTTTTTTTTTTTGTTGTTATTGTTAGATTAAAGGAGTTGAATCATGAAAAGGGCTTTATATAAAGTAATTGCTTAGTAAATGAAAAAAAGTATAGCTAATAGTGTCAGGCACTGTTCTAGGTACTTTACATATATTATTTACTCTTCACAAGCTCCCAGGAAATATGTGGTGGTGTTATCATCCCCACTTTCAAGATGAGGAAATGGAGGCACACAGGTTAAGTAACTTGCCCAGCATCACCTATTGAGTAAATGGCAGAACTGAGACTCAAACTTGGGCAGTGTGGCCCAGAGCCCAAGCTCTTGACCACTTTGCTGCACTGCCTCTCAGCCATATATAAATGTTAGCTTTCATTATTCTTGGGAGATGGGGAAGAAAGAATGGGGGAGATATAGTAAGAATGGCCAGAAAAGGAAGAGAGCACTAAGATTCCCTTGTACCTTAGGCAGGACTGTGAGCTGCTCCCATCTTCTATCCCCACACCCCAACCCCCAAAATCCCTTAATTCCAGTGGCTCAGCCTAAATACTGAATGTGTCCTGATAATGTTACACCCTCACTGATTCCAGTTAGGTGAGGAAGAGACTGTCACTTCCTGCTGTTGCTACGGCTGCCCTGGTTGGTGAAGGTTGAGCAGAGGTCTTTCCAGAGATGCCTAACACCATCTCCAGGACAAAACTCCTCTGTGGGTGGAGTCCTGTCCACTTTCATTACTGCTGGGCTTCTTCAGACAAACCAGAAGTGCCCAGGGGTAAAATTCCCAAAACAATTGCATAATTGACCAAGTCTGACATTCTCGAGAGAGCTATTCCCTACAAGGTTACCAGCCTGGATGCTTTCTTCTAAGATGTCAGTGATTCTAATATGAGGCCAAAGGCCCCACACAGGTGAACAACATTGTGTGGGCAGTCCTTATAAAAACCTTACATCAGATATTATGCTGCAACGTGTATTTCAGCTACTGGCTTGGTTTTGGGGGTGGGGGTGGGGGTGTGTGTGTGTATGTGTGTGTTTTGTTTCTTTGAGGTGGAAGATAGCCCAAGAAAAATGAAAACAAATGTTTAAGTAAAACTGCTGAAGCTCACTAAATCGGCTAGAAATTAATTAATTGAACCTGTAAGCTTATGTTTCTGCTTTCAAAGGGATGATACTGTGAAGTGTTCAGGAATGAAGTCTCGTGATGTCTGCTACCTAGTTTCAAATGGCAGGAGAGACAGAGGGATGGGGAAGCAAAAGTGACCATTGTTAACTCTAGGTGGTTGGTAAGTGGGTGTTCCTTGTTTTATTCTTTCACCTGTAATGTATGTTTATGTTTTTTAAAAGTTAATAAGTTGGAGGATGATAGAAGCATTAAAAAGTAGGCCGGGTATGGTGGCTCATGCCTGTAATACCAACACTTTGGGAAACTGAGGCAGTAAGCTCCCTTGGGGCCAGGAGTTTGAGACCAGCACAGGAAACATGGCAAGACCTCCTTTCTCAAAAATTTTTAAAAAAGAAAATTAGCCAGTGTGGTGGCTTGTGCCTGTAGTCCCAACTACTTGGGAGGATGAGGCAGAAAGCTTGCTTGAGCCCGGGAGTTAGAGGTTACAGTGAGTTAAGGTCGTATCACTGCACTCCAGTCTGGGTGACAGAGTGAGACCCTGTCTCTAAAAATAAACAAATAAGTTTATGGGGGAGAGCGGAAAGAACAGGTGCCATGGGATCATAGGATGAGAGGGCAGTACAGGATGAATGGTCCTTTCCCCCATTGTCATCACCTTTGAGATCAGGGAAGAAGCAGAGATGTAGAGAGGAGGTCTAGAGGTTGTATGGAGGAGCAACTGATCAAAAAGCTGTGCTCTAGATAAAGGAATAAGCACAGAGCTCTTAGTACTGCTGTAAAACTAGAAGTTACTGTGGGAGTGGAGGTGACATCCTTTAAGTTACATTTACAAGTTCTATTATTAGGATTAAAGTACTCTATATTCTCCCTTAAAACTGACCACCAACAATGAAAATGTTGCATGTATATAATTTATGCATATGTTGCATATATAATGTATGCATAAAAGTTACATATATCCAAATACCTTTTTCATACATATGTTTCATTTCATATATATGAAAAACAATGGGAAGAATATCACTAAAATTTTATCTGTAGGTAAGAATTTCCATGTGTGCTTAAAACTGGGAGTCACTGTATCCAATATAAAGTTCAAGGTGTTTTGTTTGCTTGCTTGCCTTTTTATCTACTTTTGCAGAAGATATTGAAATTGCAATCATCTTGTTTTTGGGGGAATGGAGTCATTCCATATTGGCTCTTGAGTATGTCTGCCACCACTCTGATTCTAGCTGGAGGCTGCCAGAAATGACTGTGCCATTGAATGGAGTTATTAGGCAACATAAAACGGACAAGCCAGACCAAGGTAGAATGGAAAAGGACTGCCGTCTCAGGCCATTTCATTATGTCTGAAAGAAAAACTGATGAAGAAACACAGGCCACAGTAACCATAGCTCCTGCTCTAATCCTTTCTCCCTGAATCTTCTTGAAGGATCCTTGTGCTAAGGTTCCCAAGGTGCGGGAGGGATTAGAATGAATGCTGTTTTGGCACGAGGTTTGGTAAATCATCTTGGGTGTTAAGTCCCGTGTAGAATTACCTAATAGTAATGAGGTGTCGGCAGTTTTGTATCTATTTAAAGCTTTAACTAGACCACATGAGTAATGTGCTTTCAGGTGCTTATCTCTAATTAATTAATTCATTTGTAAGTGAAATACCTAATTAAAGCAGTCTAAGGGAGCTCCTTTGCGGCCTGGATCTGGTAGATCCGGTAACAAAGAGAGGTCTTTGCTGATGCAACTTGTTGAACTGATCCTCATGGGCTATTAGCTTCATCAGATTTCATTTGAAGAGTTCTTTATGTTTTTTTGTGTTTTCAAATGTAATACAGACCAAATACTGGTCTTTGATGCTGACGAGAGTCACTCACTTACGCATAACTTTGGAAGAAACCTGAAGATGGTACGATTGGGGTCTCAATTGGGGGGAAATGGACAAAGATGATACATGCCCTGCCATCATGCCTTTCTGTCATGTACACTGTCATCAGGCAAGGCCAAAAAGCCTGTCACTCCATGACTGCTTGCTTGAGTTTAAAAGTTCAGGGTCATTTCTTTCTACTTAGGCATTTGCTTTGCCTTTACTTTATCAGAAAACTATGTAACCCAAAGTATTTACCATTTCACTTCAGCTACTAAGAGATGTTGGCCACGTTTAGAGCTTAAGTGTATGAATCAATTCAGTTGTCTCTTCCCTGTACTCCCACTAACCTTCTTTGTTCTTTTCTTAGAATAAGGGCATCATCCTTAAAGGTAAAAAGCCAAGGCCTTCTGTGAAGGGCAGTTTACTGGTTCATAGATAAGGATGGCAGCTTTGGATTGAGAAACTTCTATTTTGTCATATTACACCTCTGCTACATTATGAGGGAGAGGATGCATTTCAGTGTAATAATTATGACTAACTTATAATGTGTTTTGCTTCTTGTAAACTGTTACTGCCCTAAATAGGATGAATGGAACAAAGAGCATAAATGAATTCACAAAAGACACCTAAGCTGCTCTGAGGATATGGGAGGGACTTAAAGAGGCAGCAAGGAAACAAATCGAATTTGGGGTAAATGGAAAATTAGGGAGGGGAAATGGGTAAATATGATACGTTAGAAGCCATCCGTTCTCTTTTATAAAGTGACTTTTTATTTAAAAGAAGAAACAAAAGTCTTCCTCTGAATTTCAGCCCAGCCCTTAAACGATTTCCCCACAACAGAAAATTGGTATTTTTCTAAAATATTTTGTGACTAAATGCTATTTGGAAAAAAAAGTGGTATTTCTTTAAATTAGTGCTTTGAAAGGAACACATACTTAGCCTGAATCACTTTTGCCTACATATGTGAATTATGGGTCTGTGTTTAGAACTTAGGAAACAGCTGCTGTACTCTGTTCCCAGACAAAGACACACTGCAGAATGCTACATCCAGGTTTGTGGGTTCTCCTGAGACTGTGGTGGTAGGTTTCAGGTAACAATATTTGCTGTGAGTTAAACCTGTAATAACTGTCATTTTCAGGACGGGAGGCATTACAGTTATACAGTAAAACTATAAAAGAATAAAAAAGTCAACCTCAAAGATAAACTCCTTGAGAACAGGAGCCTATTCCTGTTTGTTTCTTTATCCCTTACTGTACAACATACTACATAGAGTAGGCACCAAAAGAATAAAGAATTATTGATTGAGTAAATGAAATCATGCATCATTCTACCTATGTAATCATTTTATTTCTGTGTAAAATTTCCTTGTGTTGAGTGGTAGCTGATAGTGTCTAACCAGAGGCTAATTTTAGACAGAGAGCCATATTTTACATCTATTATTATTTCAGCTAGACGAAAACACAGAAATTGAGTGGGTGCTGGAACACATCCATTATTTGCCCCGTAGAGATAAATGGAGTAGTTGAGAATAGTGCACCGTTGGCAGAATATGGTGGGAAAACGTGCACATTGGCTTCCCACGAGGACCTATTTTGTACTAAGTTATTTCATATTTCGGTCTCTAGGATGCCAGTGTTATAACATCTCAAAGTGCTAAAAATTTTCCACGAAAATAATCCTGAAAAAAAAAAAGAAATGGAAATTAATCCAATTAAACTTCTCTCCTGGGACAGCGGATTTGCAGCTGGCGCAGCTTCAACAGTGGCCATTGAGGGGGAGGAAGCCAGAAGTAGAAGAAGAGCCAGGTGCTGGGAGGCCTACCTGCCTGCGGTGTGGTGGAGCAGTGCCAGGCTGCTGTGGACCATACCCAGGTTGGTGTAGGTATCCAGGGGTGCAGTGTGATGGACAGGGTATGTCAGGTAGTGGATAGTGTGAGGGTTCCAGGGCCATTTGCCAGCTTTGAAGCAGCCTCCCATCTAATAGCATTTATTAAAATTCAGAGAAGAAGGTCTGGCCACTGGAGATTGAGGCCTGGCAGAAGAGCCAGCCAAAACAGTGGGATGAAGGTAGCATTATCTGGGTGATCAGGTGTTTCCTAGGTCCCTGGCTATGAGACTTAAGGAAGCAAAATCTATTTCAGACCTCACCCATTGATGGAGATCTGATTTTATCTACACTGCCAGGCATGTTCAGGGCTGGCTTGGGCACTGGTGGGCAGAGCCTGGTGAAAGCATGACTGTGGCTAGAGGGGAGGATGTAGGAGTTAGGAAAAACGCGATTTAATGGACTTTCCCTAAACTTTTGGTAGCCCTTAGGCATGTAAGTACATCCTAAGCTACTCTTTCAAAATGATATCTCATTTCTGAAATTTCTTCCATCATAGTGAAAAGTCCCCAAATGTTCTGGAGTCAAAATATCCACCAGTCAGCACACTTCCCAGTGAATCCCAGCCGCTGCCACGAAGAGGGATAGGGAAGAAACAATTTTTCCATAGCTGTACTTACTGAGCCCCAAGTGTAAAGCACAAGAAAATCGCATCCCATTTGTCAGACAGCAACGACATGGCTGGTTGCCTTCATACTGCAATCGCCTCTGTAATCTTCCTGTGAGACGTAGCATCCTCCAGGGAGTGAGTTGGAACCTTAGCCTAGTGCAGAGTTTATTAAAACCATGTCTTTTTTTAAATCACTTAACTTCCAGCAAATAGCATAAATCTTGCACACACTGAATTACCTCTGATTAAAGGTATTTAGGATTAATCAAGGGAGATGTGTTGTTCCCTGAAAGTAAAAATCAGACTTTTTTTTAATCATTCCTTTGAGATATTAGGTCATGATTATTTTAATCACAAAGGAAAATCTGAACTTTGGATCATTTTCTTATTAAGCATCAGAAACACTGTATTAAAAACTGATAAATGGCTGAGTGTGGTGGCTCACGCCTGTAATCCCAGAACCTTGGAAGGCCAAGGTGGGCGGATCACCTGAGGGGTTTGAGACCAGCCTGGCCAACACGTTGAAATCCTGTCTCTACTAAAAACACAAAAATTAGCCGGGCATGGTGGCGGGCGCCTGTAGTCCCAGCTACTCGGGAGGCTGAGGCAGGAGAATTGCTTGAACTTGGAAAGTGGAGGTTGCACTGCGCCGAGATCGTGTCACTGCACTCTAGTCTGGGCAAGAGAGAGAGACTCCATCTCAAAAAACAAACCAAAAAAAAAAAAAAAAACTGATAAAGAAGCCTCACTACATCCCTCAAAAGTGAAGACAAAAGCTACAGGATAATAAACCAGAAGCAACAGGGGCAAAACAGTGGGCTGAAAGCCATCCCAAAAGCATTTTTATTAGACAGTGTCAAAGACACCTGCGGAGGTGGTGACCTGACCTAACAAGCTTTGACCATGTTACCACGCTGTCTTCATGCCCGTGGTAAAGAGCTGCACTGTCTCCACTCTGCAAAGAGCTGCTTCTGGCCAATTTTGCTTCCTGGTTGTCCTCATGTAGACATGAGTCCCAGCTGAGAGCATTTTTCCAAAAAATAAAGTCAACTTTTACCTCCTTCATTTGAAAAAAAAAAAGCAGATTTTGCAGTTGTGTCTTGATAAAATACGGCAAAGGGTTGAATCCACATTTTCAAATTATCCCAACTTACACAAAGATATTTTCTAAAAATAAAAGAACAGTTGTACATCTATGGTGTGACCTCCATGAGAGAATACTTGCCTTGTGTTTGCAGGCCTTCTTTCCAATAATTAATGCTGTGAAAATAAGTAAAAAAATAAACTAACTTATATAACACAAAAATAAGACAATTTATACTTGGAGATCAGCTACAGAATAGAAACTAAAGCAGATTTATTACTTAGGCACAAAATAAACTACGAACTTGCATCTGTTTTCTTACTGCCTTCATTGTAAAAGGGTTGAAATAAACAAGGTGTTACTGTTTTTGGAGAAATTCTTGTGTATCATCATCAAGGAAATAGAATTTAGAAAATTTTGTTTTGTTTTGTTTTGAGACTGAGTTTTGCTCTTGTCGCCCACGCTAGAGTACAGTGGTACGATCTCAGCTCACCGCAACCTCCCCCTACCAGGTTCAAGCAATTCTCCTGCCTCAGCCTTCCTGAGTAGCTGGGATTACAGGCATGTGCCACCACGCCAGGCTAATTTTGTATTTTTAGTAGAGATGGGGTTTCTCCATGTTGGTCAGGCTGGTCTCGAACTCCTGACATCAGATGATCTGCCCGCCTCAGCCTCCCAAAGTGCTGGCATTACAGGCATGAGCCACCGCGTCCGGCCTAGAAAACTTTTAATGATTTTACTCTAAATTTTATAATTTTACTCTAAATTTTATAACTTAGAGAAAGTCTTCATTAATTTAAACTCTATTAATTCACACTTTGCTTTATTTCAGAAGTAACTGGAGTGGTGTTTAATATTACTCAAAAAATCTTTTCTTTGTGGATAATAATGGAAGTGTTTAATGCAATAATGTGAAAACAAGATTGTAAGAATAGTGCTTAAAATGTTAAAAGAATAATTTGTTTTTGAACATCTTTAAAGTCTTTAAACATAGCTCTTTACATATAAATTTTGCACATGCCAAACAAAAATTGTTTTATCTAGCCTTTCAAGCAGGTCCCCAGAAGAAGTGTTTTGTAGCAAATCCAGCTCACATACTATGAGTTACCCTCAGAATTTAAAAGTAATACATGTATCCCCAATTTTGATGTTTTAGACTGGTCTTTTTCCTTAGTTTGATGATTACGGTTTGACAACATAACCAGTCCCAGCTAGTGGGTTCCTGGACCCTGAATGAAAGGTAGATTTGTAAGGCAGCTGAGCTTTGGCTGATTGAGACTTGTTTGTTTGAACATGTTCCGCCCTAGTAATGGATATGGTCCAGTAACTGAATAAAGATAATGAGCACTGAACAACAGATGTTTATCAGGCAAAACGGAGATCATCTTTTAACACTCTGTTGCTGAGGCTTTGGTATAAGTTTATTTAACAAATTTTAACCAAACACCTGTTTATGTACCAGATTCTAGGTATTTATAGGCAAATAAAAATAGATATGGCCCCTGTCATGGAGTGTACTGTCTAGCTGGGGAGCAGAACTAAACACATACACAATTAGATATAAACCGTTGTCCCTCTGTATCTGTTGGGGATTGATTCTAGGAACCCCCTTGGAGACCAAAATCCATGGATACTCAAGTCCCTGTATAAAATGATATTGTAGAGCTGGCCCTTTGTATCTGAGGGTTCTGCATCTGAGAATTCAACCAATGTTGGATCAAAAATATGGTATTTGTGGGATGTAGAACCTGCAGATACTGAGGACCATATCTGGAACTAACGCAGGACTGACTGCAAGACTTGAGCATCCTCAGATTTTGGTATCCACAGGGGTCCTGAAACCAATCCCCTGAAGATATCAAGGGACAACGGTATTTGCATGTAACTTATACAAACCCTCCCCTATACTTTAAATCATCTCTAGATTATTTATAATACCTAATACAATATAATAATTATAATAATTATAATACCTAATACAATATAAGTAAATAGTTATTATACTATATTTTTAGAAAATAATTACAAGAAAAAAGTCTGTACATATTCAGTACAGACGTAACCATCCATTTTTTCCAAATATTTTCAATCTATGGTTGGTTGACTTTACGGATACAGAAGGCAGAATATAATTACAAATTATGATACAGAAGTACTCTGAACAATAGGAACAGAATGCCATGAAACTATGAGATACAATTGGAAAGACTGACTTTGGAGAGAATTTATAAATGGAAAGGTCTAGGTGAGCATCGGAGATTTTGAGCTCTTAGAATAATGTTCCTTGAATGGTTCTTATTCCCTCTTTCCATTTCATTCTATGTAGGCAGTGGAAGATGCCTTCACCATGAATTTTACCTGTGTTACTGCCAGTACAGATGTTGATCTTTCTCAACCAAGACATCATGAATTTCCATAGCCCCAATAAATTGCAACTGTTGGGGCCATGGAAACATGGGAGCTGGGCTGCTTAGGAGAACCTGAGTTCTTTGGGTGGGGTGAAGGGTGTGGTGTTTACACATTTCATTAGGATTAGAGTGATTTTGGTTCTGCTGCAAACATTGCCAAGAACTCATCATATTCCTCTGGATAAGTCACTTAATTTCATTGAATCTCATTCTTTCTCCTATAAAATTAGAGAATTAAGATGAGGTCATCTCTGAGGTCCTTTCATATTCAGTGTCCTAAAAGGCTGTATTGTATAGTGAAAAAAGGTACAGACTTGGGAACCAGATTGTGAGGGTTGAAATCCCAGCTCTGTCACCTACCAGCTATGTGACTAAGTACATTTCTTAACTTCTCTGTGCCTCCCGTTCCAAAACTGTAAGATGGGAGATAAGATAGTATGCACCGCATAGTGTTGTGAGAATTCAGTGAATTAATCTAGTAAAGTACTTAGGGCCTGCATTATGGTATGTAAGAAGTGTTAACTGCTATTACTATTCCCTGAAAGAAGGTCACCTCTTCTAAAGCCTGGACTCCAGAAGAGGCAGAATACTCGAGACCCTGGAGTGAACATATAAACAAAATAGTGTTTGGGAACCAATAATTGACATTTCCACAATTCTTACCAAACCTGCTTTGTGTTAGGCATGTTTTAAAGCACAACTTTTTATTGTTGGAAGAAGGCCCAAACCATAGAATGCTTTATTTCATGCCCACAGGGACTCTCTTCTTCCTTGGGACACAGGCAGGTAATTAAGCCCCTGAGGATGGGGTGCACACAGGATATTGAACTAGTGCTTACTTCATAATGCTTTCACACCTGCGGCCAGGACAACAAAGCAGGAGAAATCAATGCCATTACTTCAGAGGCTGAGAGGTGGATGCTCTTATGCCAATGGGTTTTTGCTCTACTTAAGCAACATGAGACCTCATAAATTAAACTTGAAAAGGATTTTTCAAATTATGAAAAAATTCATTAAAAATGTATAAGCATTAACTTCAGCTGACTTAGTGTATCACAGAGATTCTGTTTTAATTAAACCCATACAGATTTGCAATAAACAGCATCATTTTCTCTTCATTTCTTAATACACCCAAATCTCTGAAACTATCATTTTGTTCCTTTGCACTATTTTCTTTAGCATTTTCTTCATAAATGATACCACCTGGACTCTGTTATATTATAAGTGGTTATTAAATGTTTAATAAAGAATGAACTAATAAGACTTTTACATTTCTTCCACTTTCTGTGTGTATATGCGTGTTTGTGTAATCTTCTGACAGCTAAAACTCTGACAATTCAGACTATTGTGATTTGGGGATGTCTGAAATAATGGAGATTATGCTTTCTTATAAAAGAGAGAGAAACTACTTTTTCTGTGAGAAACTAGGATGCTATCATGGGAAAGAAATTGCTTGTGGATCTTGTAAAACAGAAAATGTAGCTTTTTAGATAAAAGGAAAAGGAGAAGAAGAAGACAAGAAATTAAGTTTACTTAGCAAAAATCTAGTTTCCTGAAACTTTTCTGGAGACCAGAGCACTAGAGTCTCTCAGTGTTTTTTGCTATGGATGACTCCCTCTTTTGGGGATGGTGGTAGTTGGCGAGGGGGAAGACTCCAAGGGGTAGTAGCAGCCAACTCCCCTCTTAGCCCTGACAACCACACCCTGACCCCTACCCCTACCAGAGGCTATCCAACACTGTCGCTTTTACCTTAGAAAAGTAGAGTTCAACCTCTCTGACAATTTCCATTGCCCCTCCTTTGTCCCTAGCCTATCTTCCTCCCTTGAGCCTTCTCCCTGTCTTCGGTTTCTTCTCTCTCTCCAAAGACTTTTCAGAAGGAGCTCAGTTTTTCCTAAAGAGTAAGAAACAAAAAAGCCTTTCTGTGGGAGTCTGTTTAAGACATAACGGACTCGTGCTTATAAAAGGCCCTTTCATTCTGTTTGCTGGTATGTGTTTCCTGAGCAGCCGGGGGTGGAAAGTCTCAATAGAGTCCAGTCAAAGATTGCAACTGCAAATTTCCAAGGCTGCAGGGTGGGGGCAGAGGAGAAGGGAAAGCCTTGTGTATAATGCCATGCAGACACTTTCAGCAAGACTTACTCAAGGCAGCCCCAGGAGCTCTGTCTTTAAACGTGCCAACATACGTTTTGTTAGCAAGGCAGTTCTTTCTAGCAAATAACTTTCTTTATGGTTTCCCACGTACAGGGTGGTTTTGTTTTTCACAAAATACCGTTATTTAAAAATGACAACTGAGCAGAGAAAATAGGCATTAAGCAGGAAATGCTTGGAGCCTGTCTAAGGCTTTTTTCTGTTGTGGACTGGCGAATTGCTGCCATGATAAGCTGATGTGTTGCCCTTTCTGTTGGAACCTTCAGGATGGTGCCCAGAGTGAGAGGGAGCATTTCAAAGAGGATTCCCTTTTGGTCTTAGGTCTTAAGTTAGAATTACATAGGGATAAGCAAATTCAAATCAGAAAGTTTGAGATTTGGATTTGAACTGTAGAGGTTAAGAGAGGGTTGGTGTAGAGATTCACATTTTTTGAAACTGTGAAATTGGATGGTTAGTGTTCACTTTTCCCCATACATACACAAATATATATATATATACATGTTTACATTTTATATTCTGTATTGGCAAATATATGTATGTGTGTGTGTATGTGTATATATATGTGTATATATATACACATATACACATATATATACAAACACACAATACACACACACACACACACAGACATATGTTCTTCATTTGATTTAATGAATAAATATTTGTTTGGCTGACCTTAAATGGATTTCATGCTATCTTAGCACTTTCTTAAATGGAGAAATTGCAACCATGTGCCAAGATTAATATGGTAAAAGTTTCACTTTATTTTATTTAAAACTATGTATATAGACATGGAATAGAATGTAAAATGTATATGAATTTAAGATACAAATGGAATACAACCCTTGCTTGTGACAGGAAAGGATCCCAGATTCCCTGGGGTAGGGGTGGACTCAGCTTTAGCTTCAACAGACTCTGGGACACCTCTGCCTAGGGCTGATCATGCGGGTCAGCAGGAACGGGCAACAAAACTCAGAAAGATTCTCTGCTCAGAGATGTTGGAATTTGTACTTCCTACCCCAGTCTTCATTCTGTAGTTATAAAATTATGATCCTTTTCAGGTCTCTCTTTAAATGTGCATATTTATTGATAGGCTTAAGCTATTGGTCATTCATACCTTATAAATTAAGCCACTAACATCATATTGAGATTGGCTTCACAGACCACAGAAGCAGCTTTGGGTTCCTAACTGAGGTCCCTTAACAGTTTTGTAGACTAGAGCAAGCCAGCTAATTCACTTGAGCCCGGTTTCTTAATCTGAAAATAGGAATGATAACACCCACCTAAATATCACAGAATAGCTATGAAGTCAAAATGGCATACTATACATGGAAGACCCCTATTAAATTGTGAAGTACTATTTATATATCAGTCATCACTACCAATCATTTTACCTGAAATTAGTAGTACATCATCAGGCTTATTCATTTGAGTTGAGATTAGTTAATAGAGAAGAATGGGATGGGAGAGGTAGTTTTGAAATATAAAACATTTAGGAAGATTGGGCCAATATGTGTTACCTCAGTGAGAGTCTTTGCTATTTGAAGGTATAATACAGCAGGTCAGAGGCAAGAAGGAAGAGGAAGAGAGTCAATGCCACAACAAACTTCTGCTCTGAGATTCAGCAGAGGAACCTTGAGGAAGAAACAGCCCTTGACAAGCTAAGTTGCTCTAAGGAGAAAATTCCATGATGAGATTCATCTTAACTTGTTAGGCAAGCCGCAATACATAGACTGAGACACAGTACTACTATATTACAGTTCTGAGCATGGTATTTTCCAAAGCCAGGACCTACTGAAAGTGTAAATAATTGGAGGTAAACACTGGTCTCACTTAGCATCTAGAAAACATCCTGTCCTCGTGCACGTCTGACAATGCTGCCTGTCATCTCTGCTCTTGTGTTCATCATCCTAATAACACACAGCAGTTGTTAAGCTTGCGCTGTGTACAGGGCACTATTCTAAGCACTGGACATGAACCATCTTCTTTTATCCCCACAGTAACCCTAAGAAGTATATTCTTTAACTCTCATTTTATAAAGGATTCAAAATCACAGCTACATAGGAGGGATAAGTTCCAGTGTTCCATAGCACTGTAGGGTAACTAAAGTTCACAATGATTGATTTTGTATTTTCAAACAGCTACAAGAGAGGATTTTTGAATGTTCACAATGCAAAGAAATGATAAACGTTTGAGGTGATGGATATGCTAATTACCTTGATTTGATCATTGCATGTTGTATACATGTATGAAAATATCACTGTGTACCCCATGAATTATTATATCCAATCATGTAATTAATAATATAACACATAATACAATTAACATATACAATATAACATATATGTCAGTTAAAATTTTTCAAAAATGTTCCCATTTTACAGTTGAAAAACTGAGACTGGATGTTTAAGTAACTTGACCACTTAGTATATGGCAGAGGATTCAGGTGACAATAGACCTGAATAGATTCTGGGCCTCTTTGAGGCCAACCTCTTCCCAACCCATGGTATAGCCATTGTAGGTAAAGATAATTAAAATGTGCACAAATTAGGAAGCGCTCAGAATCTGCTCCTCTGAAAATCGGAGGATACTGCCTTCTTGAGGGCCTGCTCCTCAAATTCTCTTATGCAAGACCTGACATTGAAGTCTTTTCTTTTATATTATTTTTTGAGACAGGGTCTCACTCTATCACCCAGGCTGGAGTGCAGTGGCATCATCTCAGCTTACTGCAACCTCCGCCTCCCAGGTTCAAGTGACTCTCTTGCCTCAGCCTCCTGAGCAGCTGGGATTATAGGCATGCACCACTATGCCCGGCTAATTTTTGTAATTTTTTTTTTTTTTAGTAGAAATGGGGTTTCACCATGTTGGCCAGGCTGGTCCCAAACTCCTGGCCTCAAGTGATTCACCAACCTCTGCCTCCCTAAGTGCTAGGATTACAGGTGTGAGCCACCGCACCTGGCCTGAAGTCTTAAATATACTTGGAGAGGTGAGGATGAAGTAGGGCCAAAGAGAAAAAGGCTCCAAGGAAGTGATCAGTTGTTTTTGTGTTTAATTTGTTTTCTTTTCTTTCTTTCTTTTTTCTTTTTTTTTTAAGCTGAGCAAATGACTGAGAAAACAGAGTTCTAGAGACATTGAGACGGTAAAGTGTCCAATTTTTAAAAAAATTGTCCACTTTAATTTTTAAAGAAACAGTATTTAATAAGTTCTCAATCTGATGATGTCATTTTTCTGTCTTCCGAAGTCTTCTGAAATCATCAGTTTGACTTTATGTTTGCTTCTAACACCAAGCTTCACCAAGGCACATTTAAGCTTATTTAGGGAAAAAAAGTCATGAAGAACAAAGCAAAAAGCAGATTTTAGATCTTAACTTTCACAAATATTCCATCTCTTCCCTTCTAAACAAGTCATAGAAACTATGGACAAAAGTAGACTCGTGTGTAAGAAAAAACAAAGAGTTTATATCTGACTGTAGAATGAGTTTTGGACTAATTTTTTTCAGGAGTCAGAGTAGGAAGGCCAGGAACCTAGGCCACCTTTTTGGTGCTCAGCACGTGGTGAGAAACCCAAAATGACCACTGATACATGCACTTGCCTTCTCATGTTGAGACAGCCAAGCATAAAGAGACTCCCTACCGGCCTGCGCACTGGGCAGAGTGCACGCTGGGGTGGAGCCTCAGGAAGTTGGCGCCATTTTGCAGAGGGGAGGAGCCTGGCCTCTTCCTTTTCCGGTGTGGAACCTGGGATTCAGTCTGTGAGAATGGAAGCGTCTTAGCAGGACTGTGGCTTTGCTAAGGGTCCCTGTTTCCCTTTTTTTTCTTTCCACCCAACACACCCTGTCCTTCTCACCCTTCAAAGTGTCTGCAAGCCTAATTTTTCATGGTTGTGTGACAAGGACCCCGTTTTTAGCTGAACTAAGGAGAAAGCCCTACAACAATGTTTTGTCTTTCCTCGCCATTAGCAGTTCCATTTGGTAAGATAATTTCATTTAAGTGGACAGTCAGTCCAGCAACATGATAAATAGTTTTGTCTGGGATCAAATTTCTATTACTTATCCGAAGCTGATGTCATTTTGAATTACAGTCATCACACTTCTTTACTCTGATCCCATTCTCTCATTTAGTAGTACTAAAATTCTTCCAATTCACGTTTTCTTTTGTAAGTCAAGATCTCATGTTATTTACTGTTATTTACTCAAAAGTCAGGTCTTTTGAGGTCTCCTGTTATTTACTGTTATTTGGCCAGTGGGTCTACTTCAATTAAGACTCATTGGGTGAATAACAGTAAATAACAGGAGACCTCAAAAGTCAGGCAGGTCTGGTTCTTGATGTCATTGCTTCAAATTCTGATTCCCGTTTATCTTCATCAGATTGCCAAGGATCGAAAATCAATTTATATCACTTCCTTGCTAACTGAGGGAGTGCACTGAGCTTTGTATTTATTAGCTGGAGAAAAATTCTTATTCAATATAACAGATTGCTATATTTCACATTAGTACTATAAACTAAAATTTTCTTTCTCTCTGAAAAACAAAAAAATGCCTCTTCTAGGTGTTTCCACCATACCCTGGGCTTTCTCCTATCTTAGTACAAATCACACCATGTTGAAATTCCCTATTTATGGGTCTGTTTTTACCTTTGGAGTGTAAGCTTCCTAAAAATAGGGGCTGTGCCTGGTTCCCTGTTTTATCCCTAGCTCCAAGCACTGCCTGGTACATTAAATAGGCAAGCCTGAAATCGTTTGATGACACTGAGATTTGAAAAGAAAGTAGGCCCAGAGGGCTGGCAGGATTTCTGTTCAATTGCCCAGTTAGATTAAATAAGGCTACCTAGATGTTTAGAAACAGTGCTCTGTTATGTAAAGGAAGGCTGAAAATTTTTAAAATAAAGTCTTCTGGTGGTTTGTTGTTGTTGTTGTTGTTGTTGTTTGGCAAATGAGAAGAAAACATGAGCTGATCCCCTTGTGTACTTAGAATCCTGAGGTTTTTGTCATGACCCCAAAACACTTCCTAGAAATACCAAGTCTCCTCTGAAGTCTCAATTGGGTATTTGCCTTTCTCTCTCTCTCTCTTTTTTTTTTTTTTTTTTTTTGGAGACTGAGTCTCGCTCCGTCATCCAGGCTCGACTGCAGTGGCAAGATCGTGGCTCACTGCAACCTCCACCTCCTGGAATCAAGCAATTCTCCTGCCTCAGCCTCTCAATAGCTGGGATTACAGGCGTGCAACACCACGCCCGGCTAATTTTTTTGTATTTTTAGTAGAGACGGGGTTTCACCATGCTGGCCAAGCTGGTCTCGAACTCCTGACCTCGTGATCCACCCACCTGGTCTCCCAAAGTGCTGGAAATTACAGGCGCGGTGGCTCACGCCTGTAATTTCATGTTTTTATTACCGGTGAACTTAAAATTAAGGTGATATATTTTCTTCTGGCTGACAAGAACAGATAATATCATCCCAGCAAATAGTTTTCTAGAGGCACTGAGCCTCCTATAAACATTTTCATTTATCTAACTGGCATCAGAGCAGCCTGCGCCACAACTGTTGCCAGCCTCTTCTCTCAACACCAACCTCATATCGTCCTTGTGTGTTCCACCCTACCAAGGATAGAGGGATCAAGGAAGCTCCTGTGGCAAACGGATTCAGTTTTATCTCATCCTAAAAAAACACTGTAATGTCATGAAAAATCAAGCCAAAACTGAGGAGGAAGGAGAGAGAGACGTGACTTTTAGTTTTAACACTTGTCTATTCATTAACCCCACCCACCTCCAATCACTTTTGGCTCCGGGTACATACGGCTTATATTTATGACTAATGCCTGGTATTCTTTCTTTACCTTGGGCCTTCCTTGGAGGAGCAAATCCTGCTGGAGCTGCCTAGAGGGTTCTGTGATTTACAGGCGTGAGCCACCGCGCCTGGCCGGGTGTTTGCCATTTTCTAGCCTCCATACCATCACAAGAACTAGTGAGAACTAAGCCGTAGTCTATAATAAATGATGTGCTTTCGTTGTTCTCACCGAACTATAACTTTAAGCATTTTTAAAGACTTTTATTAAAGATTCTGTTCTGTCGTTTATCTATATGTGAAGCTCAGGAATAAGAAGTATTTCCCAAGCAACCGAGGTTACTGATCTTTGGGTTTGTAGGACCAAATCCTGGGAATTTGAAGTGACTCTCTAATGGTAAAGTATTAATTAGACCTCTGTAAAATGAATCAGACTCATTTGCTTAATCAGGAGTCACCTCAGTTAAAGGGCCAGCCAGCAAGTAACCTGGCTTAGATACAGTGCTGCTTGTTGTTTCCTTTCCAGCTATTTTAAATAGCTGCTGAAATGGGGCCACGGACTGTTTCTGTTCATCCCATTCCTATCTACCCCCGATGGTGGATGCAGTTCATATCTGCATGACTCATCTAACATTTGCTGCAGAAGTGAAAAGAATGCGAGGATGCTGAGAATCAAGAGGCACTAAGCAGCCTTTCAGGACACACAGGGTTTCTGAAATGGGTATCCATAAATCACAGAACCCTCTAGCAGCTCCAGCAGGATTTGCTCCTCCAAGCAAGGCCCAAGGTAAAGAAAGAATACCAGGCATTAGTCATAAATATAAGCCGTATGTACCCAGAGCCAAAAGTGATTGGAGGTGGGTGGGGTTAATGAATAGACAAGTGTTAAAACTAAAAGTCATGCCTATCTCTCCTTCCTCCTCAGTTTTGGCTTGATTTTTCATGACATTACAGTATTTTTTTAAGGATGAAATAAAACTGAATCCGTTTGCCACAGGAGCTTTCTTGATCCCTCTACCCTTGGTAGGGTGGAACACACAAGGACAATATGAGGCTGGCGTCGAGAGAAGAGGCTGGCAACAGTTGTGGCGCAGGCTGCTCTGATGCCAGTTAGACAGATAAATGAAAATGTTTATAGGAGGCTCAGTGCCTCTAGAAAACTATTTGCTAGGATGATATTATCTGTCCCTGTCAGCCAAAAGAAAATATATCACCTTAATTTTAAGTTCACCGGTAATAAAAACATCTATCTCTAGAAATTCCATAATGTTTCTATGCAGAGTACCAATCACCACTCCCTCTCTGTAAGGTGGCCCATTCATGTTAGCCTCAAGCCATGTGACACTGAATAACTCTCAGCCAAGCAAACGATGCCCTAAGCAGGCATGAGCTGGTCTTCCAATTCCTTTGTGTGTGCTGCTTTTGGCATATTTGGTTAATGCACTGTGCAAATATAGTCTGAACATGCTAATTTCTCTTAGTAGCATCAGCTTTGCTTTATTCCAGTGACAAAAAAGCCTTGTCCGGCCCATCCACATTTCTTGGTGAGGAGGGACATAGTAACCAGCAGCCTGACTAATCCATACTCACTATCAAAGCAAAATGATTTCAGATGAGAGCTCTATCCTTGGCCCTACTTTACAGAGGAAACTAGTCATTTTCACAGGAAATAACTAGCGTGAAAAAGGACTTTGTTTCCTAGGGTTTCTTAGTGCAAGCTCTTGTTCTCAGAGACACAAAACTCGGCTTCCTGGTCATCATCTTTGACCTTGGTCACGTCACCTGATCTCTCTATTGTCTCTTCATCTGCAAAATCGGTTTCTTGTTTGCCTTAGAAGTGTCTCTCCAAAACAGAAAGATACAATATGAGTCCTTGAAGGCGACCTTTCACTATTAAATGTATCACTTGTGTTGTTCCATTCTTGCATTGCTGTAAAGAAGTACATGAGTGGGGGTGATTTATACAGAGAAGAGGTTTAATTGGCTTATGGTTCTGCAGGCTGTAAGGAAGCATGGTGCCAGTATCTGCTTCTTGTGAGGGGCTCAGGAAGCTTCCAATCATGGTGGAAGGTGAAGGGGGAGCAGGCCCATCAGAGAGAGAGAGAGAAAGAGGAGAAGAGAGAAGACAGAGAGGAGGCCCCACACTCTTTTAAACAACCAGATCTCACCTGAACTCAGAGTGAGAACTTACTCATTAGTGCGAGGATGGCACCAACCCATGGTGGTGGCATGCGCCTATAGTCCCACCTGCTAGAGAGGCTGAGGTGGGAGGATTGCTTGAGCCCGGGATCCCAGGAGGTTTCAGTGAGCTGAGATCATGCCAGTGCACTCCAACCTGGGTGATAGAGCAAGACTCTGTCTCAAAAACAAAAACAAAAGAACAGGAAAGAGAGAGAAAAAGAAATACAGAAATATAGGTGGCCAGGCTAGTGTGATAGCAGTAGAACGAGGATAAGGGGTTGGATTCTGATTATATTTTGAAGGAAGAGTCCAGGGGTTTGCTGGTAGGTTGGAGGTGAGATGTGAAGCAAAAGGAAGCAGTAAGAAGACTGTCAAAGTTTTTAATCTGAGCAATCAGAAGAAATTGAGCTGCCATTGACTGCTATATGGGAAAGACTGTAAGAAGAGCAGGTCTGGAAAAGAAGAGTTTGGTTTGGGACATGTCAAGTGAGAGGCGCTCATTCACATAGAGAGGGTGAGTAGGCAGTGGATATATGGGCCTAGAGGTGAGAGCCAGGATGTGTAACTAAGATACAAAATCGGGAGATGTAAGCAAGGAAAGAGTGTTTACAGCAATGAGAGTGAATGAGATCACTGAGGTGGGTGAGTGTCAACATACAAGAATAAAGTGCAAACACTCTGAGACCTGGGGATCAGGGAGATGAATCAAACCAAGAAGAGAGACTGAGAAAGAAATGACAGGAAAGCAAGACAAGAATCCAAAAACAGAAAAAAATACCAAGTATTGGTGAGGATGTAGATAAATTGGAACTGCTGGTGAGAACGTAAAATGGTTCAACTGCTTTGGAAAACAGTATGGAGGTTCCTCAAAAAAGTTAAAAATAGAACATATGATTCAGCAATGCCTCTTCTGGGTATGTATCAAAAGAATTGAAAGCAGGATCTCAAAGAGATAGTTGTATAGCCATGTTCACGGCACCACTGTTCACTATAGCCAGGAGGTGGAACCAACCCAAATGTCCATCAGTGGATGAATAAAGAAAATGTGGGCCGGGCGCGGTGGCTCACGCCTGTAATCCCAGCACTTTGGGAAGCCGAGGTGGGTGGATCACGAGGTCAGGAGATCGAGACCATCCTGGCTAACATGGTGAAACCCCGTCTCTACTAAAAAATAGAAAAAATTAGCTGGGCATGGTAGCAGGCGCCTATAGTCCCAGCTACTTGGGAGGCTGAGGCAGGAGAATGGCATGAACCGGGGAGGTGGAGCTTGCAGTGAGCCAAGATCACACCACTGCACTCCAGCCTGGGCAACAGAGCAAGACTCTGTCTCAAAAAAAAAAAAAAAAAAAAAAAAAAGAAAAGAAAATATGGTATATATGCACAATGGATTATTAGCCCTAAAAAGAAGGAAATCCTCTCACATGCTACAGCATGGGTGAACCTTGAAGACATTACGCTAAGTGAAATAAGCCAGTCAGAAAAAGATAAATACTGTATGATTCCACTTTTATGAGTTATCTAAAATAGTCAAACAACTCATAGAAACAGGAAATAAAATTGTGACTGGGCTGGGTGTAGTGGCTTTCACCTGTGGTCCCCGCTACTTGGGAGGTGGGAGGATCACTTGAGCCCAGTAGGTCAAGGCTGCAGTTAGCCATAATTGTACCACTGCACTCCAGCCTGGGGGACAGAGGGAGACTCTGTCTCTAAAATAAATTAATAAAATAAAAATAATTGTGGTTGGTAAAATAAGAAAGAGCAGATCACCGAAGTCAAGTGAAGAAATTGTTTAAGAGAAAGGAAGCCATCCATTGTGTTAAATACTGCTGGGAGGTTGTAGTGGCCTGAATAAATCTCTAAAGTATCGGGTCCTAATCCTTAGAATCCATAAATGTTAATTATAAGGAAAAAGGATGTTTGCAGATGTGATTAAGTTAAAGCTCTGGATATGGAACAGTTATTCTAGATTATCCTGGGGGGTGGGGTGGGGGCGCCTAAATCCAGTCCTAAGTATCCTCATAAGAGAGGACAGAGGGAGATGACAAAAGGCAAGGAAAAGGCCACGTGACCACAGAAGCAGAGATTGGAGTGAATTGGCCAGAAGTCAAAGAATGCCAGTAGCCATCAGAAGCTGGAAGAGGCAAGAAATGGACTCTTCCCTAGAGCCTCTGGCAGGAGCATGGCTCTGCTGGCACCTTGATTTTGGCTCAGTGAAGCTGATTTCAAACTCTAGCTTCTAGAACTGTTATAGAATAAACTTACATTGTTTGAAGCCATCAGCTTGTGGGAATTTGTTACAGCAGCCACAGCAAACCAAGACAGGGGTCAAATAAGATTAGGACTGAGAAGTGATCATTGGATTTGGCCAACTGGAAGTTGGATTTGCTGGTGACTTGGACAAATGTCGTTGCAGGAAAGGCGCTGGGGGAAACTATTTATAGTGGATATAAGAAAAATTGAAGAAGAGGAAGTGGACACAGCAACGATAGGCAACTCTTTCAAGTTGTCTATAAAGGAAAGCAGAAAAATAGGATACTGGCCAGGACAGGGAAGCAGAATCAAGGGACAGGTTTTATTTTTGTTGTTGTTGCTTTTTATTTTTTTAAGATGGGAGATATTTTAGTTGTTTATATGCCAATGGCATTGCTTTAGTAAGGTGGAGACAAAATTAATGATGCCAGAAAGGACCAGGAAAAAACTGCAAGAATCGAGTCCTTTGGTGAGTGAAAGAAAATGAGAGCCGCTGCTCGAGTGAAGGGGCTGCCCTAAGACAGGGGCAGGAGTGTTCATTTACCACAAGGGAAGAGAAGGCAGAGCTTATGCAGACAGAAATGCAGATGCAGGTAAGTTGGTCATGGGAGAATATGGGCGTTCTCTTCTTGTTGCTGCCATTTTTATAGTGAAAGAAGCAGCGAGCTCACCAGCTGAGAATGAGGATGAGGAGAAAGGAGGTATCAGAGGTCTGAGAAGGGAAGGTGTGAAAATCATGAGAAGGTGACTCAGGAAATGTGGAAGGAAAGCTGGATAGCACTGAGGATCCACTTGAAGTTAATATCTGTGAATTTTAAATGAGACCAGCTTTCATGATGTGTGTTTATTTTGCACTGTAGTTGCTCCGGAATAGGTTTAGAGTTGGATCCGACCAGGATTGGGGATTTTATCAGCCAGTATGATGGAGAAAGAGGCAGGATTGCTGAGTTTAAAGGGAGTGGTTCCATGATAGGCCACGGACTCCAGGCCTGGTAAAGCAGCACGTGAGGGCATGAGGGTTTTGAGGGCCGGAGAAAAGGCAGTAAGCTCCGTAGATGGAAGTCCTGCTAGAGTCAAAGAATCACTAGTGTCAGGTCACAGTGAGAGTGATCCTGAAAGCCAGGAAATGGACACCCAAGAATGAAAAGCTTAAAATCCCCTTTCCAACCAACTGGGGTCTTCGAGCTTTTCTGCATATTCATCCACTTTCCTTGTACATTTCATTTTGGAATATGGGCTGAAACTTCACTCTACTGAGAGAGTCCCAGAGCTGTGGAACTCACTGATGCAGTGATAGGAATAAAACTACAATCGGCCTCTTGAACTGGCACAAAGAACTAGAAAGGAATCAAGCAGTCATTTATCTCAGCACTCTCACTTTACAGAGGGGGAAACTGAGGCCCGGGGGGAAATGACTCATCCGTGATCACTCAGCAAAGTTGAAAGTCAAAGCCAGACCTTCAGCCTCAGCATTCAGTACCCTCCATGTTACCCCACACTGACTCCCACGTTCTCTATGTGAACATTGGTTCAGACCTCGGGGTGCCGGTCAGTTCATTAAGCATCTTCATGTCTCTGCTACTTCCATGCCCCTCTGTCTTTCCCTTCACATTTTCATCACAAGATACCACATTTATAAAAAAGAGCTGTCCTCTAAAAAACTCCCTGGAGATCCACACAATTATCTGTTTCTCCCTTTGTACAACATTAAACCTATTTTATTAAAGTGCAGAGACGTTCTTAGCAAATACTATTCACACACTAATCAGGGAGCCTTTGTAGTCAAATTTGCAGGCTTTTTAGTCTCTGTAAAACAGTGCACAAAAATAATAGGTGGAAATTCCAGCCCAGTTTCTTTCTTTTTTTTTTTTTTTTGGAGACGGAGTCTCGCTCTGTTGCCCAGGCCGCAGTGCAGTGGCGCAATCTCGGCTCACTGTAAGCTCTGCCTCCCGAGTTCACGCCGTTCTCCTACCTCCGCCTCCCAAGTAGCTGGGACTACAGGTGCCTGCCACCACGCCCCGCTAATTTTTTTGTATTTTCAGTAGAGACGGGGTTTCACTGTGTTAGTCAGGATAGTCTCGATCTCCTGACCTCCTGATCCGGCCGCCTCGGCCTCCCAAAGTGCTGGGATTACAGGCGTGAGCCACCACGCCCAGCCCAGCCCAGTTTCTTTAAGCTTACTGCATCAGAATGCCTCATCAGTAGTGATCACCATAGGGAGGGGAGGGGTCAACAGGGACAGTAGGATATTACTTTTATTTCACACACTCCCACCCATCCATTCTCCTAACAGAGTTTCTCTAGTAGTGACCCTACATTTGGAAGGGAAGAAAAGCAACTTAGTGAGAAACCTAAACCTTAATAATGCTCCCAATTTGGGGGGATGGCAAAATGTTAGAAACATTCAAGACGGTGAAAAGTGCATCTAGCCAGGTGTCTTAAACCTGGGTTTAAGTCCTTTGTTCTGACACTGTGTTATGGCTATGTTTTCTTTCTCCTTTCTTTTCTTTTTCTTTCTTTTCTTTTCTTTGAGGTTTAATTGGCTCACAGTTCTGCAGGCCGTTGTAGGAAGCCTGGCACCGGCATCTGCTCGGTTTTTGGGGAGGTTGCAGGGAGCTTTTACTCATGGCGGAAGGTGAAGTGGGAGCAGGCAAGTCACATGGCCAGAGAGAGAGCAGGAGAGAGAGAGCGATGTTTTCTGAGGCAATTCATATAATCACTCTGTCCCTTAAGTTTTTTATTTGCAAAATCAGAGTCATGGTTCAGTGGGTTTTTAAATGCCTCATATTTAATCTCTCCTTAAGGCTCAGTGGCATAAATTTGCAGAGGAGCCATTTTTCTAACTTGCTAATTCCTAGAAAAATCATCAAGCCCCATCCTGGAGAGTCCTTCCTCTCATGAGTCTCCAGGGACCGCCAGAACTGGACCAAACTTGTTAAATAAAACACAGTGCCACTCTGGGCTCCATGCTTTGGGAGGAATTTTCTAAACCTGTATCACAAGTGATTAAAGTGTATTAAATCAGTGGTTATAAAAGGGATTTCTGTTTTGGATAGATGGTTCTGCAAGATACTTCTGGGTCCTGCTAAACACTTAGATTTAAGAACTCTGTGTACTCCATGGTATACATTAAGTAAGGTCAGTCAAGTTCACAGCCTTTCCTTTCTTGGAAGTGCTCTTGGTACCTGGGGACCGGTCTCAAAAATGTTCATTCTATGAGGGTACGCTAGAAAAGGAAGAAGGTGAGCAGCAGAGGTGGCTAAATAGCTTCTTAAAATAGCTTCTGCAATCATGGTAGCTTAGGAACTATATATACACAGTTGTCAACCTCTTCCATTGGCACACTAACTTTTTTTTTTTTTTTACTCCATTGATTTTTTTTTTTTAGTTCTTATTTTTTTAGAGATAGTGCCTCACTCTGTGGCCCAGGCTGGAGCGCAGTGGCATGATCACAGCTCATTGCAGCCTCAGACTTCTGGCTCCAGCGATCCTTCTGTCTCAGCCTCTGGAGTAGCTGGGACTATAGGGTGCATGCCACCATGCCTGGCTAATTTTTTTTGTAGAGACAGGTTGGTCTTTTTGCCCAGGCTGGTCTTGAACACCTGGCTACAAGGGATCCTCTCATCTCAGCCTCCCAAAGTGCTGGGATTGTAGGCGTGAGTCACCACACCTAGCTGTGAATTTTAATGTATATAAATTATATCTTGATAAAACTGACTTTAAAAAATAATATCTGTAAGATAAACTCCTGGTCATCAAGTCAACTTTTCAAACAAGCTCCTTTCACCCAAATAAACAGCCATTCTGTAAAAAGGGCCCTTTTCTTGGTTCTCCTCCCCACAACCCAGGGTATTTCTCTATCAGCATGGGCAATAGCTGTCTATGCCCTTGGTGAGCAAGTAAAAGGAAAGGTTGCTTGTCCCTTTATCTTTAATGTCTTACATTTTCCCTCTACTCCTTATTGTCAAAGGGATATTGGCATAGCAATTTATTTTAAGTACCTAGAGAAGTCATTTTAAAAACAGTATTGATTGAAAGACTAAAAAGTGGCTCTGTGCTATACATTATCAGAGATGTATAATAGCCTTAAAAGATGGAAAATAAAGTTTGACACTTGAATAATGAGGAAAAATTAAAATAACTTCATTCTCTAAAGGAAATGGAGCAGGATGGTAAATCTTGCAGTGTAGATCATGAGAAATCTTCCCAAAAGGTCAGCATTTATGCAGGGCCCCACAGATGATTATGTATATTAGTTAATATTTCCTTCCCTGCATGATATCAGACACAAAAATGTAAGCACTCCAAGGTGGGAAAAAGCACTTGAAAAATGGTTGCAAAGATTAACTGGGTTGTCTATAGGTGCTAGGGTTGTAGAAGATTTCTGTTTTCTGAATCTCTATGCTTTTCAGTTTTCCGAAAATGGCTATGTATTTCTTTACAAAAGAAATACATAATTTTTTTTTTTTTTTATTATACTCTAAGTTTTAGGGTACATGTGCACATTGTGCAGGTTAGTTACATATGTATACATGTGCCATGCTGGTGCGCTGCACCCACTAATGTGTCATCTAATACATAATTTTAAAAAGTGAATTGGGAAATAATATTTTTTAAAAGTGAATTGGGAAACAAGTGTGTTACCAGCCCTCCTTGTACTAAGCTGATAAAAGGAGACAGGTGCTCTGCTGAGTCTTTCCATATAAGATACAGGCCTGAAGGGGAGAAGGGAGCAGCCAATTATGGAAGCCTCAGGTGCTAGGCTTGCAAGTTTATTCTGTGGCCACAGGAAGCCTTAACGAACAACGAAAAGTGTCTTCCAGAATTAGTGAGGTAACGCACAGGCTCTCACATTCGTTCAGTGGCTGGTTTCTTTAGAAACTTATTGTAACATGTGCATGCACTTCTGGGTCACACACATTAAGCACGCAGTAAATCCTTGTTAATGAATTTTAAACCGCAATTTAGAATAGTCACCATCTCTTTAATAGGTTCTTCATGAAAGTTAGAAATTCCAAAAAAGGATTCACCAACCCTCCCTCAAAAAATTTCCCCCGCTTAGGATTGCTCATGAAGTTCTTGCTTAATAGAGTCACAGTTGGTTGTATCCAGAGATTTTTCCCTTTGCCATTCTTATTTCATGATTCTTTCTTCATGTTCTTTGTTATGAGGAATGGAGATTATGCATGTAATGTTTTAGGTCACAGTGTTTAGTAGTTGCTCAATAAACAGTGGTGGTCATTGTTTTCTGTTCATTCCCACTCCTTGTATAGCACTCCATAATTAACAATGTGCTGTCACAAACATTAGGCATGCATGTACAATCCAATAGTTGTTATCCCCACTTTAAGGCTGAGCAACTGAGGCCCAAAAAGATGAAATCATTTTCTCACTGTAAAACAGCTGGGAGTTTCAGAGCAGACTAGAATCCAGCTCTTCTGTCTCCTGGCACATGTTTTCTCACTATTATACCTAGTGTCATTTGTACCACTAGAAATATCCCCAGATAACACAGTGATGGCAAACAGTGAATTTCACACAAGGGGGTGGAAGAGGTCCAGTTCCTATTTGGGGAACTCAGCATCCTTTGTTCACCAAAGGATTTCTCATGTTATGATTTTGGAAGCCTAAGAGACCATCTAAGCAATGGCAAGGAAGCTCCACCAGGGTAGTCTCCCTGAACTACAGGGGTTGCCTGAGGTTTGAGAGACACTGAGGATTTAGGATGGAAGCAGTGTGAGTGGTTCGTTTTAATAAAGAAATTAATTAACCAATAGATAATTTCCTGCAAGGAGGCAGAAGGCTGCTGCCTTTCAGATCCCCCTTGCCTGCTGTTGCAGAGTATTAGGCATCCATAGGTTAAGAGAGCTATTTTTATGGAAACTAGTTCATTATTTCTCTTTTGTTGGAACCCTACTGGTTCATGGTCTGGGCTTCTGTATTAAAAAAAAAATCCAACATCCACAGTTCAAAGTATTAATCTTTTTTCCGTGGAGTGAACAAAGCCCACCTAGCGTCTAAGAATGCCAGCTCCCATTTATAGATACAAGCTGTTTCCTTATCCAAGTCTCAGATAAAAACTAAAAGCTTACATGTCATTTTAAAGTTGCAACATGGCCTATTCGTTTCATTTTACAAAATTTGTGAAATCCATGACTTTGAAGTCATTTTTCGAGGACTCTGTTTTTTGTCAGGGTTGTTAGAAACAGCTAACCAATGACCCTCTTTCCCAGAGGAAGGCTGCATCTTGTAAAGTTAATGTTTTCAAAACCAGCAGTTTACTGGAAAGCAGAGAGCTGTCATTTCAAATGATGGCTTCTGGCACCTGCGTGAGACAGGGAAGCCATGTTGCGTCTTACTCTCCACCCACACAGCATAGACGGCTCCCATGCTGATTTGAGGGAAGAAATACGTTGTTTTGTCTCTCTCCCACTTGGTAAGTGGCAACTTCCCAGTGAAACCGCATGGAAATAGTCCAGAGTGGATTTTAGGTTGCTCTGTCAATATGTTGCTCCCTTGGGTTATTTTCTTCCTTCTTGACCCCCACAGCAAGTTTGGTTGTTGGGGTTTCCACACTGGTCCTCATTTGCATTTGCTCTCCCTGTGCCATACAGGTCATAAAATTGCTGTTATGTATGTGAAAACGGCCAAATATACCATAGACCCCAGATTAGGATCAGTCTGGTGCCTCTGAAAATGTGAATTGAGAAGAACTGAAAGAAAATCTTTCCCTGGGGAGACTGCAGCCGAAACACCCTTCTGACGAATGTGCTGACCTAATCTAAGCCTCAATTTCCTTCAACAAGGGATGCATCGCTCACTTCCCTTGAGTTGTGAGAATGAAACAAGATAATGCGTTAAAGCCCTTGGCCCAGTTCCTGGCATGTGGCGAGCTCTTGGTCCATAAGCAAATCTTCGTATTAGTGTGAGTTCCTGGTCCTCCATGAAAGAACAAAGCTTTTGGCCTGTAAAATCTAATTTCTGGAAATGAGAAGCACTAAAAAGAAGAGGAGTGGGGACGGAGTGGGGAGGCACTTGGAAGGCTCCTGTTTTGTTTTGTTTTGTTGACAAATTCATTCTTCATCTTAGCCAGCGCCATGGAGTGAGTCCAGCTCTCTGTGTCTGGCCCCGCTGTGAACCCCCTGAGGCTATCCACAGTTGGATATCTTCCTGTTCCTTCCCTGCCCTACCCTCTTCAAATGCAAACTTGGGGGGGCTCAAGATTATTCCATACCCTTTATCTCCAAGCTAGTCCATGCCTGTTGGTATAGACATCTACCCTACACACACCTGCCCGCACCCTCTCTATTCTCATCTCCTTTTTTGTTCTTCATCTCAAACCTCCACACTGCTGCTCAAAAATGAACAAAGGTGAATGAGGAAACCAGGGCATCATGACACCTAAAAGATCTTTGTGACTTCCCAGTTGTTGAAAGACATGATTGGGAAAGAGTGACTGAGTGTGCAAGGTGGATTCCAACCCAGATCCTCCGGGGCTTGTAAGAGTTGAGAGAAAAGCAGTAAGTGTCCCAATAAATCTTTATTGATTTAAAATCTGCTTAGTGACTGAGAAGCCAAAAGAAATTAGTGTTTGCTGATTAGTAGAGATTGAAATGTGCTATTTTAGTATTTTCAGGTCAAAGTGATGAACTGGCAATAGAAAAAGGTGCCTGACAAACAACGACCCTGAAACCTGGCAGGCCGATATTTTGCAATTATTACTTGATTCACAATTCACATTGCAGCCACTATTGATAAGTTCACTAGAGTTCTGTTTGTGAAAGCCCTTTAGAGGAATGGATATTAACAGTATTTTAGTATATATTATCTAATATTAGTATATATACCAATCTAATTAATGTATATAAATATCAATTTTATGTTGTGTGTATATATACATCATTTAGTAGTATATAATATAGCATATGTTAGTATATATAATATCAATTTGATGATGGATTACTTACTTGCTGCAGAATAAATTAGAGTAAGGATCAAAAAAAGTGAGTGGCAAAAATGACCAAACTAAACATGGGTTATGGTATGAGCAATTAACAAAGACATTTATCCAGATGACTAATTGCAAAAGCTCTGACAAATTCTAAATTGGAACATCGTGAAATTAGTCTGCTAATTCAAAAGCAACTTATAAACAATCACCAAAGATGTGGCTGACTGACAAACAAGAATAATAAAAATATTAAGTGACTGAGAGACTATAAACCTCCAATTTGTATTCTAGACAGAAAAATTGTTTTATTGCCAATGTAATCCTAACTTGTAAATACACAAAACAAAATCTCTCAGCACCTACTGCAAATACCAAAACACAGTCCTGAGAAACATACAGTTGTAATTGAAATTACAGGCCTTAGGGAAGTCTGTCTGGATGCCACCCTTGAAAAACACCATTGAAGTATGAAAAGGATGGAATCCTCCACAATTAACCTACACACTCTCCACCCATTAACAAACCATTTATTTATCTTTGTGCCACAGAAATAAGGGGTTGTGTGTTTATTACTAAGCCTAAATGACAAGAAAATGTATGGTTTCTTAACAGAAAAGTTCCTTCTGAAAGAAATTAAAGTGCTGAATGTGTTTTTAGAAAATGAAATCTCCTCTAATGGTTATTGTTCCATAACAGGCCTATTTTTCATGTTTCTTGTTGGTTGGGTGGGACGGGGACTATAATCCTCTCATCAGTTGAAAAGAATAAAATTTCTTCTGTATTATTCTTCAGTCTGGAATTCAGGTGGGATAATTAGGGCATTCTTTCAGAATTCTATCAATCTCTTATACACAATTCCTATAATTGTTCCAGGGATTTTTGCTATTTGTATCTTTTTTGCTTACTGGCAAATATAACCCGGAATAATCTCATTCTGTCAGTAGACTGCATAAAAGAGACTCTGCTCTGTTTTAGATAAGCCGGGACCAGATATCGATAAAGCATATTGCTGAGAATTATGAATGCTTAACACTTATTCATCATCAGTGAGAAAATAATAGGGATTATAAGACATAAGAATATAAAAACCCAGTTAGTTGAAAGTTTGCACATGGAGTGCTTTCTTTGAGCAGATTTTTCATGATGGCTTTGTGGCTATTTTTTTAGGTATCCTTTCATTTTTCTCACTGGGGGTACTATGGGCCTTTGAGCAGCACAATTCATTGTTGACTGGCCTACTACAAGGCGTTAGAGTCTCCACTTCTGCACACTAACTGCCAGTAGCACCCCCAGTTATTGTCATAGCCCTAACCAACCCCACACATTTCCAAAAGCCTCATAAGAGGCAGTACCTTCCTGGTTGGTTACCACTGCCAGTGAGTCCAGTATGGGACCTTGAGAAAAGATTGAGTCCCATTAGAATTTCTGATTATTAGAATTTTATTTATTTTTTCTCTTTCTTTCTTTCTTTCTTTTTTTTTTTTTTTTTAGAGACAGGGACTCACTGTGTTGCCCAGGCTGGATTCAAACTCCTGGACTCAAACAATCCTCCCTTCTCAGCGCCCCCAAGTAGCTGGGATACAGGCATGTGCCACCAGACCCGGTTAGATTATTAGAAGTTTTAAAAGACATTTTGGCTATAGAATTCTTAAAGAATCAACCTTTGGTGTGAAAATTTTCCCATTCAAATTTAAAGAAGTGTAACCACATGTATTCCATGCTATACCATGGTTGCCATGTGACCCAGTACTTGGCAGGTGCTGGCAACTACTGGGCTCACAACAGCTTGTTGTACCAAAGAATGTCACTCTAGCACTATCCAACCTTTGATCATCACCCCAGCTGATTTCCAGAAATGTTCTGAGATGCCAGAAGTGATTTCAGGAATCGATTTTCCCCAAGAGAACCTACCCTGACTCCATTTACCTCTGCCCCATCAACTCCTAGAAAAAGTGAAGTCTACTGCTGGGCATGCCTCTGGGGTGGTCCTCTGGCAGCCCCAAAGCCAGTGTGGGCCCTACAAAGGTAAATTCCAGGGCATCACAAGTCACAGTGCATCACCAAAGACTAGGCCGATGGGGTGAGGGGGAGTAGTGTGTAGAAATGAATCACCCTCTTTTTAACCAAAAGGTTTTTTGTTGTTGTTGTCATTTGTCTTTAAGAGGTATGTATGTTTTGAAGCTTTGTCTACATGATTTTCTCAGCATATTTGTTTTAAAGCCATTTCAGTGGTTAATGAATTCAAACCTTTATTCTCTCTTAAAAAAACTTCCGCACAATTTGGGTTACATGTAAAATGAAAAAGGGACACTAGCAAAGAATATATGATGTGTGTCTGTGCTTCCCTGTTGAAACTGCCTAAGCATCTAATGGGACTCTGTCAACCCTTTTTATTGACCCCATTATGTTCACAAGGTGCAACATCCTTTCCTCAAGAAGACTTCTTTTTGTATGCAGTTACTTTAAAACTCATGTGAAGGTAGAAGACAAAAGCATTCTTCTCCAGTAAGAATCAGTGAATGTAGTATGTTTATTCACTAACAATGAATAATCTGAAAAGGAAATTAAGAAAAAATTCCATTAACAGTAGCATCAAAAAGAATAAAATAGTTAAGAACTAACCAGGAAGGTAAAAGACTTATTCAACAAAAATTTTTAAAAAATTACTGAAAGAACACATAAATAAATGGAAAAAGACATCTCATGTTCATGGATTAGAAGACAATAGTGTTAAAATGTCAATGCTAGCCAAAGCAATGGACAAATTCACTGCAATCCATTTCAAAATCCCAATAATATTTTTGTAAGAATAGAAAAATCTGTCTTAAAATTCATATAGATTCTCAAAGAACCCCAAATAGCCAAAGCATTCTTGAAACAGAACAAGTTGGAAGACTCAACACTTTCTGATTTCACAATTTACTACAAAGCCATGGTAGTCAAAACTGTAGCACTGGCATAAAGACAGACAATCCATATATAGAGACCAATGGAATAGCATAAAGAGCACAGAAATAAACCCTTACATATATGGTCAAATGATTTTTGAGAAGGGTGCCAAGACAATTTGTCTGACTCAATTTGGGCTGCTATCAAAAAAAAAATGCAATTGACAAGGTGGCTTAAAGAATAAGCATTTCTCTCTCACAGTTCTAAAGGCTAAATGTGCAAGATCAAGATGTCAGCATGATAAGGTCCTGGTGAGGGTTCTCTTCCTAATTTGGAAACGGCTGTTTTTTTGCTGTTTACTCACATGGCTGAGAGGAAGAAATCATTTCTCTTTTTATAAGAGTACTAATATAATTTATGCAGACTCCACCTTCATGACCTAATTACTTCCCAAGGGCTCCACCTCCAAATACCATTATATTGAGGGTTAAGCTTTCACATGTGAATGTGGGAAAGGACACAAACATCCAGGCCATAATTCAGTGGATAAAGGCCAACCTTTTCAACAAATCATGATGGAAAAACTGGATATCCACAGGCAAAAGAATGAAGTTGGCCGTAACACTGTGAACAAAAATGAACTTAAAATGGATCAAACGCCTAAACATAAGAGCTAAAAACTATAAAACTCTTAAAAGAAAACATAGGGCAAAAGCTTCATGACATTGAATTTGTATATAACACCAGAGACATGGGTAACAAAAGCAAAAATAGACAAATTGGACTCCATAAAATGTAAAACTTTTGTGCTTCAAAGGACAGTTCAACGGAGTGAAAAGACAGTCCACAGAATAAGAGTAAATATTTGTAAACCACTTATATGATACAGAATTAATATCCTAAATATGAGACACTTAAAACTCAACAACAATAACAACAAAAACCAATGCAAAAATGGGCAACAGAGTTGAATAGGTATCTCCGCAAAGAAATATGAATGGCCAATAAACACATGAAAAGATGCTCAATTCATTAATCATTAGGGAAATGCAAATAAAAACCAAAGTGAGATACTATCTCACACCCATTAGGATGGCTACTATGAAAACAAAACAAAACAAACAAACAAAAAAAACGGAAAATAACAAGTGTTACCATATGATCCAGCAATTTAACTTCTGGGTATAACCCCCCAAAATTGGAAGCAGGGTCTTTAAAAGATGTTTGGACTACCTTATTCACAGTAGTCATAGTAGCTAAAACATGGAACCAACCAAAGTGTTCATCAAGAGGTGAATGGATAAAGAAAATGTGGTATATACATACAATGGAATATTATTCAGCCTTAAAAAGGAAGGACATTCTGATAGGCTCAAGTGTGGATGAACCTTAGAGACATTATGCTAAGTGAAATAAGCCAGTCACAAAAAGATGAATACTATATGATTCCACTTCTATGAGATACCTAAAGTAGTCAAATTTATAGAGACAGAAAGTAGAATGGTGGCTGCCAGGGGTTGAGGGGAGAATTGGAAGTTATTGTTTGATGGGTATAGAGTTTCAGTTTTGCAAGGTAAAAAGAGTTCTGGAGATGGATGGTGGTGATGATTGCACAACAGTATACGTGTATTTAATACCACTGAACTATATGCTTAAAAATGGTTAAGATAGTAATTTTATATTGTGCATTTTATCACAATTTTTTAAAAAAGAAAAATGAATCAGTGTAGAGGTCTTCTTTTAGCATAAATGGAGGGGTGTGTGCATGTATGTGTATGTGTATGTGTGTGTGTGTGTGATGCAGGGTCCAAATACCTCAAGCTTAGAAGACAAACTCTTATTTGCACAGGTAAACATCGGAATGGGTTTTCTCCTCTTCCTCTCACGTTGCGTTGTTTGTTTGTTTGTTTGTTTAAGATTCTTTGTTTTGTTTGCAATAGTTGGCTTTATAAGGTTTGAACAAATTCAGATAAACCAGGAATAGAGGTACATCACTTGGCGTTTCAGGAAACAGCTAGAAAGCATGGATGCACATGTGTTGTCTTTTTTAACATATACAAAGCCAATACTTGTTCTAGAACAGCATGCATTTAACGTCTTGGGGTGTAATGTTTCGTTTGCTTGACCCTCAAATTCTGCAGAAGTCACAACATGAGCAAAAAGTCTACAAGGAAATGAGCTTCAGAAAATTATGATCCAGCAACATAGTATTCAAAATTGGAATTTTGTGATTCACGGTAGAGGTGGGGAAGATTGTCTATTGTGGACCACGGTCATGGATTGAAAAATAGATGTGGGCAAATCAAAAGCAACTAACAACTAATATTCAGATGTTGTCTGATGTATGAAGAAAGTGGAAGAAAGAGAATATCTTAAGAACATAGGAGGTAATTCAGCAAATTCCAATGAATATATAGATGTACATTCTACATTGCGGTCAGTTTAAAAGAGAAAGAAAAAGGAAGAGACTGATCACAAAGAATAAAAAACCATTGGGTGGAAAGGAATGAAGCATCAAAATGTGTACAGTTTCAGAGACGGGTGTAAATGGCTTAATTCACAATCTCACGCTGCTCCAGCTCCACCCCAGTGTTTCCAGTTGCGGTCATCTTCCTCTCTCCTCCTCACCAACACTAGATGCCATTGTGTCTCCTCCAGCCCTACTCCCTCACCAGTTGATTCGACTCTCTGGTGTCCTTCTTTTGCTCCTATTTTAGCTTCTGGCCTGTGGAGATCCCCCACTACGTGACTCTAAACCCAAAATGGATCCAGTATCCATTTTACATGAATCTCACCCTTCACCCAAATGCCACTGTCACCTCTTAGGAAAATAAACACTTCTTTGGAATGCTGGCCTAGTACTTTACAATTCTTTCAGTCTTCAGGAGGGGATTTTTTCATTGCTTTTACGAGAAATCAGCTGGATGTGAAAAAAAAGGGAAAAATGCACTAATTGATTCTAAAAGTGGTGCTCGACTCTGCCTGGTTCATACAGTTAAACAAGAACATTCAGGGTGTAGCTGCCTAAAACTAGGAGCACAAAACAAAGCCTAGGTTTACTTTTTCTCTTAAGTCCATTGAGGTTTCAAATGTGTTTTCCCCTCCTGCATTTCTAGACTACTGCCCCATGCCTCTTCTTTCCCCATCTCAATTTCCCACCTCCCTACTTCCCTTCCCTGCCTATACAGAGGACTTCTTCCATGATAGGCAGAATAACAACCCCCCAAAGATGTTCATGTCCCAATTCCCAGAACCTAGAAATACATTATGTCACATGGCAGAGAAGAATTAAAGTTGCAGATGGAATTAAGGTTGTTAATCAGCTGACTTAAAAATAGATTATCCTGGATTATCTGTGTGGGCGCAATGTAGTTACAAGGGTCCTTAAAAGTGGAAGGGGTGGGCAGAAGTCAGTCAGAGGAAGATGTGACTTCAGAGGAGGTCAGAGTGATGTGACATGAGAAGGGCTCCACTCACCTTTGCCAGCTTTAAAGATGGAGGAAAGGGCCAAGAGCCAAGAAAAGCTGACAGCCTCCAGAAGCTAGAAAATGAAAGAAAGTGAACTCTCAGAGCCTCAAAAAGGAACACAGCCCTGCTTGTACCTTGACTTTAGCCCAGTGAGACCCATTTGAGACTAATGCTCTCCAGAATTATAAGATAATAAATTTCTATTGTTTAAGCCCCTAAACTTGTAGTAATATATTACAGCAGCAATAGAACAAATATATTCTCTATCTCAGCCTCCTCAAGCCACTCACAGCTTTTCCCAGGGAGCATGAAAAGGCATTGAGACACAGACTTTCCTTGATGCTTGAATGACAATAATGGGTCATTTACTCAGTTAATAGCAGGTCTGTTGGCTAATGACAGAGAACCCCTCAATAATGGTGGCATCAATAAGATAGGCACTTATTTCTCTGTCACATCAAAGGTAACCATCTCACAGTTGGCATGGTGGCTCCACAAAATCAGTAAGGACCCAGATCCTTCCTGTTCACCCTAGTGTAGCAGTCATGCTAGAGGTTCAAGAGGGACTTCTGTGATCAATGCAGATGCCTCCCAGGCCAGTAGCAGGAGGAAGGAGAGACAAGGCGTATACCTCTTCCCTTCAAGAACATTTCTGCTTATATCTCATTGGCCAAAACTTAGTCATGTAACTATACCTAGCTGCAAGAGAGGCTTGGAATGTATCTTTCGGCTAAATACACCTAGCTAAAATTCAGGGTTCTTGTGGTCTCCACTAAGAAAAAAAGTGTCGTTACTAATGAAGAAGAAAGGAAGAGGGATTAGAAGGCAAGTTGTGATCTCTGCCACAGGTCACCCTGTAATCTGGTGTAGATTCAGGGCAGAAGAGTCACTGGCCAGAATCTCAAATGTCCCAATAAGAATTTGGTAATTCTGTGATAGTCTGCATTCCAGCCAGATGAATGAATTCCAGTTTGGCAGAAACATTCGCTTCACAGAACAGCATCCAGGGGCTTGTAGATTGTGGCTGCATCCAATATTGGATGAATAGAAGAGTTAGGCTACCCTTCTGAATAAGTCAATGCTCTATCTTGGCCCTATGAAGTCTTCCTAGGCTGTTAGATGTTTGTTTAATTGTGGAGCATGTAATTTCCCTGTGAGGCTGCGATGATTGGGTCTCTAACCATGCTAATGAAATAATACTTGTTAAAGTCTCCTTTTATTATTTTGTTTTTCCATGCAATTCTCCTTCCTTTGATCTCCAAATGTGTAAAAGTAGAGTTCAGAGATCTCTGTGACTTCAAAAATTCCTTCAATCTTCCCTCTCATTTTATTGTCTCCAAACTCTTTGAAAATAAATTGAGGGATGGCCGGGCGTGGTGGCTCATGCCTGTAATCGCAGCACTTTGGGAGGCCGAGGTGGGCGGATCACGAGGTCAGGAGATCAAGACCATCCTGGCTAACATGGTGAAACCCCGTCTCTATTAAAAATACAAAAAATTAGCCAGGTGTGGTGGCGGGCACCTGTAGTCCCAGCTTCTCAGGAGGCTGAGGCAGGAGAATGGCATGAACCTGGGTGGTGGAGCTTGCAGTGAGCCGAGATCGCGCCACTGCACTCCAGCTTGGGCGACAGAGGCAGACTCCGTCTCAAAAAAAAAAAAAAAAGAAAAGAAATTGAGGGAACAATTAATTATGCTCCAATTTATTCTGTAAATGATGTTGGGTGGCTTATTTTGTAGTATTCTTCAACATAATATTCTCCATGAAGGGATTTGTATGTTACAGAGAGTTATACCTAATTTCTTCTTTTGTCTTGAAGAACTGGATATCAAGAAATAACTACCAAAAGAGATAATTTATAGACTTTTGCTTTTTGGTCATTAAGACAATAATTATTTGTTGATTTTAGTTGGTAGGTTAAAAAAAATCTATGTACAGAATTTGTTACGGGTTATTCTTCATTTTCCAGGTTTTCTGTGTGTTCTTTTTCTTTTTAAGATAAGTAACCTGATCTTACTTCATCCTTTGGTAAAAAGATTGTCCAAAGCTAGCAGAAGTCATTATTTTTTATATAATATCTTCAGAACAAGATTCCATTAGTGTTGACGAGGCAGTGTTTAATGTTTCTGTTTCATGGGTCATGCACTCTAGTCAAATCAAAGCACTTAGGTTTTGCTTTATCCAATAGGATATCAGTGATCTCAAGGAGCATATTTACACAGGTAGTCCTAAAATTGCATATGACACCTTGACACAAAGTAAGATTTGTTCAGAATGTGGGGGAAGTGGGCATCAGCAACGGGAATAAAATAAGGTATTTTCCAAGATGAACAATAATAATAAAGTGAGATGGTATGTCAAGAAAGGATAAGAAGAGAAATGAATGTGGGATAGGATTTGAAGGGGGAGGGGAGCACACATGGAGAAAGAGGTATGGCAGAGACAAAGAAACCATCTCGCAATCTGCCTAGGAACAGAACTCTACTCTCAAACCCTGGCCTCAAGGGATCCTCCCACCTTGACCTTTCAGAGTGCTGGGATTACAGATGTGGGCCACCATGCCCAGCCAAGAACTCTACTCTCAAAATGTTTATGTTCCAGATTTATAAAAGAAATCAGTTAATAAGTTTGTTGTACTTCATTTAGAATAACACTGGTGAACTAATTGTCATATTTAGAGATTAGGCATGGCAATCCCTCCCATTTGGCATGATAGATGTGTCCCTGAGGAATTATGAGTAAAGTAGATCGTTGTGACTCAAACTTTAATTTCAAATAGAGTGGGGAGGAATGGCTATTTACAGCAATGCTGGATTAAGTGACACTGAAAAGCCAAGCCTCCCACTATAGTGTCTCTGTAGTATAATACGCTGAGGTGGTCACAGTTAACCAGAAGGATGGGGTTTGAGCCCACTGGGAGAACATTTGGTAATATTCTTTGTGTGTGTGTTTTTTTTCTCTCTAAAGAAGGGATGGGGAAGTAGGGAGAATTGGAAAATCAAACCTCATCCTCTGCTCTGCCTGCCAGTCAGAGGTAATACCGACCAAGGATGGAGAGGGCTGGAGAAGCCAGGCCTGGCTACAGCCACTGCTTTGAGATCCCCTAGTTACGATGAACTTGCACATTTGCTGGCTCATGAATTCTCTGGTACAATCTTCTTTTTGTTTTCTTTTCTAGTGTTTCTGAAAGATCTATCCAGCACTCCGATGGCCAGCAACAACACCGCCAGCATAGCACAAGCCAGGAAGCTGGTAGAGCAGCTTAAGATGGAAGCCAATATCGACAGGATAAAGGTGAGGATGGTCTAACCCCACACTTCATCTAGCGTGAGTCTAAGGCGCATGTCATGTGACCACTCTTTCCTAGAGAGGGATAAAACCAGTAATGACAGGAGAGCATCTTAAAGATTAGGCAGAAGTTCATTTCTAACGTGTCTTTCCCTTCTCCAGCATAAAATAATAGAATGAATTAGATCCTCTTTCCCATGTAGAATTAAAACCTAACAACACAACACAAAAAAAAAAGCAAAACAGGCTCATGGTTAAATTCCAGTGAGAGAAATTAGAGAACACATAAAATATATCAGCGCACTAGTTCCCCTCCCTGTCCTCATGGAAACGTTTTTCTTATTTGGTTTTTAATTTTTTCTGTCCTGGTTCAGGTTCTAAGGCTAAATGTCCGTATTTTGGGTCTAACACTTCTAGTTATCCTTGCACGTTATAAGTTTTTTCTTCTTTATACTTTATTGAATTTTTTTCCTGCAAACACAAAAGTCACACCTTGCCTCCCTAAGAAGTCAAACAACAAAGAGGTTTAATGAAAGTTCATAGTCTATGTGTTTCTTTTTTTCCTCTCCCTCCCCAGACCTAACCTGACAGCTTTGCTGTAAGCTGGGGCTAATTCATCTGGAACCAAGACTTTAAATTCAAACCCTTCGTTGGTAGTTTTCAGATGAAAACCTTGGCCAATATGCTGTCGTTATTAATAGATAGCTATGGCACGGTGGCAAAGTAAATTTCTGTTAACCATCAAAACTTTACTGCCCCAGAAGTAAAATGCCTTACCCAAGAATTCTATGAAATGCAGCTCAGACACATATCTCATTGTACTAAGCTAAAACTACAACCTTCTTCCAAATGCCCTTTTAAAACTAGAATATTTTTCCTATTTTCTCCATACCTAATTCAGCACCTGGGCAATCCAGCTGTCCTTTGGAGTCTGACAGGGTCAATAAAATTTGGCTCATGGGCCAAAGCCAGCCCACTGCCTATGTTTATAAAGAAAGTTTTATTAGAACACACTCATTTACATATTGTCTATGGCTGCTTTCACTCTAAAACAGCAGAGTAGGGTGGTTGTAACAGAGACCATATGGCCCACAAAGCTAAAATATTTATTCTCTGGTGTTTCACAGGAAGTTCACTGACCCCTGGTCTACAGCGATGGTTCTCAGCTCATCTGTGCGTTCCCAACACCCAGAGAGCTCTATAAAAGGACCAATTACCGAACCACACCCAAACCAATTAAATTAGAATCTCCTGGGGTATGATTCAGGCATCAGTATTTTTTAAAAAGAATTTTTCAGTTCATTCCGATGTATAGCCAAGGTTGAGAACCACTGTCCTATGGGAAGGAGTTTACTTCTGCTAAGTCTCATCAGGTATGTGCTAGAGAGTGAAGAGAGAGCTCTTCTTTCTCTACAAGTAAGATGAGCAAATACCCATGGACATTTTCCCATTATCCTAAATCTCCTTTGTAAAATTTGATGCCTAGTAATGGACCACAGGATTTAATCAGCTCCTGCTCTTCTTTCAACAGCCTTAATTCTTCTTCTTTCTTCATGACTGAGATCACTAAAGCGACCTTACCGTGCTCCTTTGCCATCTTCCTCTTCTCCTCTTTTCTTGCTTCTTCTTTTTCACTCTCTTGCTGAAAAAGCACAAAGCAACAGGTGGGCACAATACCTGCTGAGAGAAGTAAGGTGGCCCATGGATTGTCAAATCAGAAAGGGTCATTCAGTTCTTTTTGAGGGAGAGGAGGTTCTGCCCATGGGCCTTCTGGAAAATACCACTTTGACTTTTGAGGTGGTCCAACTATGATAAAAGTCTGTGAAGCTTTACTGTGGTTGATGTTTTCTGTTAATATTCAGCATCCCCAGTTACTGTTCCTGAAGGAGGATATGATGTGCTCATGGGTGATGAAAACTGACAGCAGAAGAAAGATAATAGAAATAGAGCTTTTCAGAAATAGTTTAGACTTTTATCATCCCTCACCTGAATTACTGACTGCAAGGGGCTCCTATTTGCTGTCTGCAATTCCATCTCAATACATCTCCATCCCGCCATCAATTACCTTCCATATTCCTTCCAAATATAATGTTCTAAAAGAAAATCTAATTACATTCCTCTTTATTGAAAATCAGCTCATGATTCCCCATCACCAGTAAAATAAAATTCAGGCCCTTTAGCAGTGTATACAAAGTTCCTGTGACCCCTGTCATCTCTTCAGCTTCATTCCTGCTCTCTTTTCTGCATGCCATATAGAACAACTTTTAATTCTTTTGATGGGAATTTCAAATGCCTAGAACATCCAGTCTCCTTTGCCCCTCTACCTTGCTGCTTTACTTACCTTACTTTACTTAACACTTGACTGCATTGACTCATTAAAGATTCAGATCAAATTATTAGGTCCTTTAAAAAGTTTTCCTAGACCCGCATCATAAGGTTGGATTTTTGCTGTTTGTTCAGTTGTTCATTCATTTACTTATATAATAAATACTTTACTGAGAGCTTTCTAAATTGCAAGGGCTTGTTAGGTTCTAAAGAGATGGAGATAGACAAAAACATGATTCTTGCTCTCAAAAATCCCTGACCTAGTTGAAGACTACAAAAAAATTGAACAAGGCCTATTATTGACGCAAACAAGATATCCAAGAAGCATAGTTACCAAATGTGATCAGAAAGAAGCCAATACCACACTCTGATTGCCCTTTGAAGAGACACAAATAAATCAATACTAAAAAAGAAGCAAAGCATGAACCTGATAAACTGGGTGTGAGTAGTTGCCTTCCTAGGTGATCTTCACATTCAAATCTCTGAATCCCACTTGATGTCATTGGACCTTACATTGTTAGAAATACAGCAGCATCCTGTATTTCAGCATTTGTTCTGTACCTCAGAGCCAGGCAGGCTTGCTGTGGTGAAGTGACAGATTATTTTTAGTTGAGCAGTTGGATAAAGTGTTGACTGTGTTGACACGGTTGTCAGCTAGCTGGTTTAGGGCTTGGTTATCTGCCTTTAGAAGTCTTTTCAAGGCTTTTGAGCATTCAGGCTTCCCCACCTACTTTCCATACATGATCCTTCAGCAGGAAGGGGCTTCTCTCTGAAGATCCCAGGCTTGTGATTTTCCAGTGAGAGTAGTGACCTCTTCAAGCTATAAAGGATAGAAATGGCTTTATATACGTCTGGCAGAACCTACTGCAACTGAGGTGGCAAAGAATAGGACTCTTAAGAGGAGGATTTGGGGACACAGCTGGAATTGAAGTTGTTGAGGGTCCCTTAAGCAGGCGGTGGCCTTATCCCTCATGTGACCCCCAGAATAAATTATGCTGCATAGAGTAGCCCTACTCTATGAATAACATAGTTACATGAATAGCATGTTTGTTTTTTAAGCCTTCTTGTTTTCTATCCCTTTACATCACAGACCCTGGGAGATTTGGGCTAAGTGAACCAATTATCTGTTCATAAGCCTCGGGCATATATAAATTATACTCTCAGCCTCTTTGTATTTCTTTGTTAGGATTTCATTCAAGGACAGAGGGTAAAGAGAAATAAAAGGAAATTGGGAAGAGAGTTAGGGGAAGGGGGAGAGAGGGGCTGTGGACTGTGACACCTGGATGAATGAAACAGCAATAGACTCACACTAACACTGACCAAAGACAAAATGAAAGAAACCTTGTCCTTAGAGCACAAGAGGAGGGAACATGCACAAAAGTAAAGGACAGCAGGGCTTCAGTAAATCTGTTTATTCATCATTGTATTAGGACTCTTTGAGTTTCTAATAATAGGAATCTCAACCAAGCTAGCTGAAGCAGAAAGAGGTACTGATTATAAAAGATACAGGATGTCTCAATCCAAGAGCAGAAATGTGGCTAGATAGGCAGTGGAAGTGAGAACTGGAAGGCCATTGAGAACTGCGAGTGCTCCGTCACCTGTCTCTGCTCCTCTCTCTGTGTCTGCCTCTTCCTTTTCCTGGGAAGAAGGGATTTTTAGCTGCCAGGTCCATATAGCAGGCACAAGATGGCTGCCCATGGTTCCCAGGATCACAACTCATAGTTCCAGCTCCATGAAAAAAGAGATGGCTTGATTCAATCCTTTTCAGTCTCCATAGCACGTAGTCCTAGAGTGCCATCTCTGTTCCAGCAAGAATGAGCCCTCTCCAGCTTCAATCAACTGACATTCAAATTGAACTCCATTATACAGACATAGCCCCTAGGAATTAACCTGCCCATGTAGAGGAATGGGAATGGGAATGGGAATCATTGTAAGCTGGAAAGATGCTCTTTGGCAGGAGATGCTATTAATATTATGAAAAATAATGTAAATTTAAGAGTAAAAGATATAAGATGCAAGGCAAGAGCATGGGTAAAATGATTGCTTCTTAACTAATTGGCTGCTCCATAAATTGACCCCACAGAAAAATGTCTCATTTCTCCCATATACTCCCAACAGACCTTTCCAAGTGATTCCTTTTATCGTTCTAAAAGTGTGCTATGCAAAGTGTCACCTCTCTGGTTATTCTGGGTTTCTGACTGAGAATACCCTTCCCTCTTATTTCTTTGCCTCTCCCAATCTTATTCCTCCTTTAGGGGTCAGCTCAAGTTCCTACTTGTTCATGAATCTCTTTTTCTATTCTGACCATATTTACTAATCAATTTACTAATTAGTTTCATCTTCATCAAATAAATTTTTCCACCTAGACTACATAGTCCTTTTCAAAGACCATGTTGTCTACTTGTTTGCATCTTTCATGGTACTGGGGTACACAAGCATTTTGTAAAAGCTTTTTTCAGTAGACAGCTTTAAATTTGTGTATTAAGAGTGTCATATAACAAAACATTACTATATTCCCCATGACATTCCCAGTTACATTTATGGACTTGGAGATTCCAAGCATGAATGTAACTGGACAAATAAAGCTGTGGTAATGGGGAAGTCAAATTAAATATTTTTTAAAAGGATGGAATTAGTCATTTTAAAGAAAGATAAATTGTTTCATATCATTGTATGATCATAAATATCTAGCATTTATAGTGTGCCTTCTGTTTAAAACACTTTAACATATAAAAAGAACAGACTGACTTTCACAACGAGGACAAATATGTATAAATTAGTGAGCCAAATATGGACATTTCTAATGATTAAGTCATCTTTATGATGATTATGATAATAGATTGAAATTGAACTTCATGGAACCCTGTAGTGAGAAATGGTCCAGTTAGACGCCATCCTTGGAACTAGAGAGAGGACATATATTCTAGGTTTAGGACATTTTAAGTATTTTTCCAGCATTTGAGCTGAGAGTATCCCTTCCCTAAAATGCTTGTGTTCAATTTTATTAGGAAAAATGGAATACAATCCTCCTTCTAGGCCAATTCCAACCTCACCCTATATATCTCTTTATCCAACTCTTCATTTATATCCTTTAAAATATCCTTTGCAATAAGTTGGAAATAGCAAGTAAACTGTTTTCTTGGGTTCTGTGAGCTACTCTAGCAAATTATCCAACCTGAAGAGGTAGTCATGGGAACCTCTGATTTGTAGCCAAGTTGGACAGAACTTGTGAGTAACCTGGGGGCCTACTGCTTGCTATTGGCATTTGAAATGGGGCAGGGGCAGCCTTGTGAGACTAAGCTCTTACCTGTGGGATCTGTTTCTGTCTCCACATAGATAGTATCAGAATTGAATTAAATTGTAGGACACACAGGTGGGCCAGAGAATTGCTTGGTGTGGGAAAACCTACACATCTGGTATCATAAAAGAAGTATGTAGAGTGGTGTGAGTATAGATTAGGAGGAAACAGTTGGATTGTTTTTCTATACACACTTCCCATCTCAAGCCTCCATCCAGTATAATCTTTGAAATCCTTTCAAAACACAAATTAAAGTTAAGTCAACCTTAGATGGCTCCATTAATGCGGGCAACCCAACTAAAGCCATGATTTTATGACTGATACCCTTAATACACAGGCAATTTCCCGTGTGTATAGGCAATGACAGCCTGTGCTTATTTTTTGCCTGATGGCTTGCAAGCATTTTGCAACATCGATTTTAAGATGTGTCTCAATTTCAGATGTAATGAAGATGGATTATATCTCTACCTTCTGTTTAAATTTGGGGATCTGGTTTTTATCCTTACTGACAACTGCTTCATCTTGGCATTGTCAAGCAGTCTTTCTAGAGTAATTCTCCTGTTTTTTTGGAGCCTAGACTCACAGTCCGGTAGCCTTCATTGAAGCTGTCTAGAGTACCACCTGCCCCACCCCGCCACCCCCACAACTCCTTACTTCCCGGTTCTCAGTCCCGGTCTGGTTTGGTGAGGATGCTGGATAGTAGGATTTCAGCAATTGCTAATCTGGGGAGATCCTTGCTGTGATCAAAAGTGAAGTCCTTCACTTGTGCAGTAGATCCCACCTCTCTAACCAAGAAACCTCCTCCAGCAGTTTATTCTTCCACCTTCTGTCTATCCTGCATCATCAGTTTTTGATTCTCTACATCATTTCCATTATCATACAAACATGGTGTTATTTCTCCATCTTAAATAAAATTTGATTTTTTTCTCAATCCCTCCACTTCCCCTTCTAGCAACGGCCTCAATTGTTTACATTTTTTGCAGTATGACTTTGAAAAAAGTATCTATATCCACCATCTCTAATTTCTCTTTTCCTTTTCTTTTGCAAAGTCATTTTTATTCTGGAAATAATCTCAAAGTTACAGAAGAGTTGCATGTGTGGTGCAAACAATTTTGTTTTCTCCTGAGCCAGTTGAGAATAAGTTGTCAAAAGATGTCCTGTCACCTCTGAATACTGTAATGTGTGTTTTCTACAAGTAAGGACATTCTTCTACATACTCATAATACAATCATCAGAATCAGGAAATTAACACTGACCCATTACTACCTTCTAACCCTGAGATCCCATTTAAGTATGCAAATCATCCCAGTAATGTCCCTTTTAGCGAGAGGACCAAGTTCAGAATCATTTATTGCATTGAGTTGTCCTGTCTGGCACAGTTCTTTAGACTTCCGTGACCTTCATGACCTTGACACTTTTGGAGATTATAGGCCATTTATTTTTTAGAATGTCACTCAGTTTGGGTTTTTCAGATAATTATAATTAAATTCAGGTAACAAAACTTTGGCATTAATATCATAGAACTAATGGAGTATTCATTTCATTGTATTCTATTGGTGGGACATTATCTCAAATTGTTACTGACTGGTAATGTTAAGTTTCACTACCTGACTAATGTGTTTTCCAGATTTCTCCACACAAACCTATTTGTTTTCTTTTTGAAGTTAAAAAGTATTTGGAATTTGGGAAGGAATTTCCTCTTTTATTCAGTGGTGTACAGTCTGCTACTATCATCATGTATTTTGATGTTTCCGTTGGCACAGACTGAAAGTGGTTATTGCGTCCTTTTGGCATGCTGCCCTCATTCTTTGAGCTCTTTCTCAGTTTTTGGCACAGAAAGATGTTCTAAGCTCCCCTTGTTTTCCCTGCCCCAGTCCTGGAATCATCCTTTTTTCCAAAGAGCACTGGTTCCTGGTTCCTTTGAGAATGGTATTTAGAAACCAAGATCTAGATGCCAAATGTGCTCACTGCTGAAGTGTTGCTGCCCCCCAGGACCTCTCAGTGGATAGAGCTAGATAATACAGTCATACAATCAGTCTGTCTCTCTCTCTTCCGTTCCCCCCCCCCATTTATATTTCTTTCTATATCTGTATGTATGTGTATATGTAACCATAAGTTCTCACTGACACCACCAATTCCTACCCTACACTGCAGGGTTCATTCCAGTTTTCTACTTTCCGTATTTGTAACTCCCTTCACCTGCAGTGAGACACCTGGCTCCCCTTATCCTTGTTTGGTCACTGTCTTGTAGGGAACCAAGCTTCCACTCCATGGCCTCCTCTCCCCACATGGATGCCTTGCACATTCATTCAGGTTCCTATACTCCTTACCAGGTTGGACCCTGCGTAGATGTTCTCCTTATCCTACTTCAGCTCTGATATCCCATCATGAGTCCCTGAGCTAATATAAAATCCTAACTTGCTTGGTCCTACCTAATCATTTTAAGATTGAATTGTCCAGGAAGAAGAAGGAGCAGAAGGCCCATTTACTCTTACACCCATTCCAATGAGGCTTTCACACCCACCATTCCACTGAAGCTTCTCTCATCAAGATCACCAATGACTCCAGACGGCTAAATTTAATAGTTACTAGTTTTCATCTTATTTGATGTCTTGGCAGCATTTGACATGATTGATGACTCATTGTGCCTTGAAACACTTTCTTTATTTGCCTCTTAGTAATGCCTACTTTCACAGGCTACTCCTTTTAATTCTCCTCTAGTTTGTCTTAGGCTCTCCAACTTATTACATTCAAGGGTCCTAGGGTTCATTCATTACTCAGCTCTACTTTCTTGGTGATCTTGTTAGTTCCCAAGGCTTAGTGTACCATCTCTAGGACCTTGATTACCAAATTTATAGCTCTAGCCCGATTATTTATCTCAAACTCCAGCATCATACATCTCACTAATAGACATTTCAATTTCAATCTGTCTAAAACTGCATTCTTGATCTTCACCCCCAAAAGTCTGTTGCCATAGCCCTACCCAGCTCAACTGACAGCAAGTTCGTTTTTCATTTGCTTGGTCCAAAAACTTAGAGTTATCCTTAATTTTCCTTTTTTATTCATACTGTGCATCTAATCCATTAGAAAATCCTGGTGATTCTACATTCAAATGCTATTTATCCAGAATTAGACTACTTTGTCCCACCTCCACTGCTATTACTCTATTCTGAATCCCTGTTGCCCTTCACTTTGATAAAGCAGTAGCCTCCAGGGTAGTCTCTGCTTCTACCCTTGACTCCCATAGAGTACTGTTCACAACACAGCATTCTGAGTGCTTCGTTAGAATGTAAGTCAATGGGTCACCATTTATTTTATTGTAACTTTCATTTTGTAAGTTTCTACCAAAAGATTATTTTCTTAATTAAGCTGAACTATTGCAACCTGTTCCCCAGACCCCTCCCTACCATCACCAACACACTCTCTCAATCCCCTTTACCCTGATCTACTTTTTTATTTTCTTATGAACTTACTACCTTCCAACATTCTCTATATAACCACTATGTTTCATTGCCTATTCTCACCATTCTCCCACTCAAATACCATATAAGCAATTTGATTATGCTGTGCCTTGGTGTCGTTTGATTTATGTTTCTTCATTTGGGGTTTCTTGAGTTACTTGAACCTGTGGATTTGCAGTTTTCATTAAATTTGGAAATTTTTCAGCCATTATATCTTCAAATATTTTTTCTTTATCTTTCACTCCCCATATCTCTCTGCTTCTTTAGGGACTCCAATTATATGTGTATTAAGTCATTTGAAGTTGTCTCCTATCTCAGTGTGTTTTGTTCATTTTTTTTTTCAGTCTATTTTCTCTCTGCACTTCATTTTGGATAGTTTCTATTGCTATCTTCAAGTTCACTAATCTTTCTTCTACAGTGGCTAATCTGCTAATTTTATTCATTGTATTTTTCACCTCATTGTATTTTTTCATCTCTACATATTTGATTTGTGCCTTTTTATATCTTCCATATGTCTTTTTATCATGTGTTGATTTATTCTACCTTCTTGATCATGTGGACAATATTAACAATTGTTATTTTAACAATATTCGTGTCTATAAATCTGCTAATTCTATTCATTGTATTTTTCATCTCATTGTATTTTTTCATGTCTACATATTTGATTTGTGCCTTTTTATATCTTCTGTATGTCTTTTTATCTTGTGTTGATTTATTCTACCTTCTTGATCATGTGGACGATATTAACAATTGTTAAAATAACAATTGTTTAAAAATAACAATTGTTACTTTTGTTAAAGTATTTAACAATAGTTAACAGTTAAGTTACTTGGAAACATTTTGATCTATTCAAGACTTACTTTTCAACTTTTCAACTTTGATAGGTGGGTCCACAACATTTAACCTGGGGCTATGTGGCATCACTAATGAAGTAATAACCTTGTTAGGACTCTACTCAATGTCTTGTGTGCTGGGAAGCCTTTCTACTCTGGCCCTATGTGATCTCCAGGATTGTTTTACTTGCTCCTTCCTGATATTCTTTGCATAGCCTCAAGTGGTTTTCTCCTATGCATGTGCCAATCAGTATTCAGCCAAAGGCTCAAGATGAATCCTCCAGAGGCCTTAAGAGCTTTCTCTCCCCTAGTGTAATTCTTTCTTCTCTGCTATTCTCTCCTCAACTCAGGGAGATTGCTGAACTCTGTCTGGGTACTCCCTCCCTGTGCAGTGGCAGGCAGTAAGCTGGGGCAACTGTAGAATTTATCTTATCTCCCTTCTCTCAGGGATCACTCCTCTGTGCTGCCTATTGTCTAAAAGTTAAAAATTATTTCTTCATATATTCTGCCCAGTTTTTAATTTAAGGCAGGAGAGTTTAGTTGGCCCTTATTACTCCATCATAGCCAAAATTGGAAGTATAGAATGCTGTATAAACTCTACAGGGACAAGCATCTTTGTATATTTTGTTCCCTGATTATTGCAAGTATCCAGACTACACCTGGCATATTTGATGCTCAGTAAATATTCGTTGCATGAAATATCTGTCGAAGAAGATTATGTTTGAGAACTCCTTCAGCAATTACTATGAGTGTTGAATATGTGTCAGGCACTGATTATACGGTAGTAAATAACACAGGTGTGGTTCCTGCCTTCGTGGAGCCCAGAGCCTAAAGGGAAAGGCAAATATTAAATGGCAAATAAACAAACGATGTCCGTAATTATAAACTGTGAAAGCAATTTATAATTTCTGTGAAAGAGAAGAATGTGAGAAAGTACTCTGAGAGAAAATAATCAGGAAAGTCACTGTGGATGAGGCGATCAGTGAAGGTTCTGCAAGGAGGTGGTATTTCTGCTGACTTCTGAAGGAAGATGATAAGCCAACCCATTGAGGAGATGAAGAGAACAATATTCTAGGATACTGAATATGTGACACTCTGAGGCAAAAAAGAACTTGGAGCTTTCAAAAAGTAAAGGAGATATTTGAGAGGGAAGAATGCTACAACATGAAATTGGAGAGAGGGGGAGGCCCAAAACATGCAATACCCACAGGCTGTTTTACAAAGTTTTGGTTTTCTACAAATTACAATGAGAAGTTATTGAAGGTTTTAAATAGGAGAATGATAGGAATCCACTTGTATTTTAAAAATATCTTTCTAGCTACAGTATGGAGAATACTACTCCTGCATAGTTATGAACACAGGAAATCATTTAAAACTGAGATAATTAAACATTTTTGTGCTCTTGACTCATTTGTCTGTCTGCTCAAGCCTATGGTCTCCTTCTTAGAATCATGTTTTTAAATTACAAAAGAAACTAATTATATTGACATGAGGGTCATTAGAATATTTTTGTAAAACATTTTAAATAATATTATTTAAAATATCAATTTTTAAAAATATATGTGATGTAGTTATACATAGGTACTCCTTTGTTAACTGATTATGTAAGATCTAATAGGTCTACAATCATAAGGTGGATGAACAGAAATGCAGTGTTGAGGTGTCTGCAATGAATATAATGTGATTGAAAGTATCTGGTATCTATCAGTGGCCAAGTCACATGTACTGCTAGGGCTACTGCAGTGTGTTGTCTATATTTATAATGAGAGGAAATGTTAAATTTCCATTTGAGGTTAGTGAAAAATAAAGATGTAAATTTTTTGTATTATTTGAAGTTCACATACCACCCCCCGAATTCGATCTGTGGAACCCTGGGGTAATCCAAATTAATTGCCTTTATTTACAAAGTTATTTTAGTAATCACAAAGAGAGAAGACTGCAGTATGAACTGGGGTAGCTGCAATAGATATAACAGGAAGGGAGCCAAATTTGAGATATCTTTGGAGGAAGAATCAACAGGACAGAAAAGGGAGAGATTTTCTGGAGTTATTGGGGAAATCTTCATGGAAGAAGTAGGCATACGAATGTAGAAGAAGCTGTGTGCAAAATGTTAGCAGGGATTGTCAGAAAGCAGAAAGATCTGCTAGGCACACGATTGCTGTGACTCATTATAAGGCACAGGACAAGGAAGACAGCCACAGGTTAGAAAGGAGGAATGTTCATGAAGATTAAGTCAGGGACATTGAGACTCACAACTCAGTAGCTCAGGAGCTGTGGGACCTGGGGCAAACACTTAATGAAGCCTCCACTTCACATATTTAAGATGAGAATGATAATAGCTTGTGACCCATAATGTTGTTGTAAGGATTAAATAAGATACCGTATGTAAAGTGGTTAGCACAGTTCTGACACATAGCAAGGGCTGATAAATATTAGCAATTATTCTAATTACTGCTGGGATTCTGACACTGTTGGAGCATTGCCCACAGGAGATTGCAGTCTTGTTGAGGAAACAAGATAAAACACATAATATATTTTAAGAAGGAAACCATTCAGAATCAAATGTTCAAATATAAAGATATGAGCAGCTCTAAGTTATTAAATTTTCCTAGTATAGTACTTCCTGTATCATAAAAAGATTTTGAATATTCATGCTACATAGTTGTATGTGAGTGTTGCAAACGGGTAGGGATGAACGGTGCTGCTTCTCCTCGTAACAAATGAGTTTTAGATATCACTGATTTACTGTCTCCACTGCCTAACAGCTAAGCTCCTGTTTGGTGTAACAATGACTATCGCTCAAACAAGAAGAAAGAATGAAGAAAAAAAGTGATCTCAATTCAGTCTGAAAGTCTGTCCTTTGTTTTCATGTGGGAGAGCTAAGACATAAACAGGCTGTTTCCTTTCATTTTGTCATAGAAGCATTTCATAAAGAATTTCAATTTCAACCTTTGGAACAAAGCCCACATTTGAGTAGTTTATATGCAGATGGCTGTGGCTTAATGGCAACACATTCGAGTTCAAGTTCTTTTTCTGCTGTGTGCTTTGCTCTATGATATTGAACAACTTATATAATCTGCTGAGCCTCAATTTTTCATCTATAAAAAGAGGATAATAATTCTTACCTCAGGATTACTGTGAAGATCAAAAGAGGAAATTTAACTCAATGTCTGGAACAAAATAAGGATAAAATAAAAATATTTTTGTAAGTACTGTAATGTCTATTAAAAAGTGAGACTGATTTTTACATACATATCATGTATTGGGTTGACTAGTGTCCCCTAAAATTTATGCCCACCTGGAATCTTAGAATGTGGCCTTACTTGGAAATAGGGTATTTGTAGATGTAATCAAATTAAGAGGAATCATACTGGATTAGGGTAACTCTAACTGGTGAGATGGGAAATTTGGTCACACAGAGAGGAGAATGCCACATAAAGACACAGACACTCAGGAGAGAATTCCATGTGAAAATAGAGACAGAGATTGGAGTGATATGTCTATAAGCCAAGGGATACCAAAGATTGCCAGCAACCACCAGGCACTAGGAGAGAAGCATGGAACAGATTCTCGCTCAGACCCTCCAGAAGGGACCAACCAAGCTGATGCCTTGATTTCAAACTGCTAGTCTCTAACAGAATAAATTTCTGTTGTTTTAAGTTACCCAGTTTGTGAGGACTTGTTCAAGACAGCCAGAGGAAACAAATACACAAACCAATACCTGTACCTCTTTGTGTCAATTAGGGTTGGCTAGATGTTGTGGTAGTAACAGAAGGTGCCCTACCCTTCATTCTTAGGGGTTTGCAATAGCACAGTCACACTTCTCACTCCTACCATATGTCAATCATAAATCAGCTGCCACTCCACACCATGTCACCTTCATCAGGGATGCTGGCAGATGGAGCAGCCTCTGTCCAGAATGTTGCTTCTATCTGTTCTGTGGCAAAGGGAACAGAGACCCCAAAAATTCAACGGTTTATGGGATGAGAAGAGGAAACTGATTTCTCTACCCAACCAGTAAATCATAAAGTTGAAGTAGCCTTAAGTAAAAAAGGCCAGGCACAGTGACTTACACCTGTAATCCCAGGACTCCGGAAGGTGAGGCGGGAGGATGGCTTGAGGTCAGGCGTTCAAGACCAGCATGGGCAAAATAGCAAGAACATTTTTGAAAAACCAGCTAGGCATGGTGGCATGCACCTGTAGTCCCAGCTACTCAGGAGGCTGAGGCAGGAGTGACAAAGCTTTAATCAACTCAGCCCTGGGACAAGAAACAAATCAAGGATATTGCCACTATGCCATTTGTTAAAACCTCTGCATCAATTAAGAGGGTTCCTCATAAATTATTTCAGTCGGACGAAGTGGTATAGAGGAAGGGACATGGCAAACTGTGCATTGGCTCCTAAAGTTTCTGCCCATAATTGATCCACATAAATTCTGCTCACATCTCTCTGGCCAGAGCAAGCTTATGTCACTGGGCAAGTCTGATGTCATCATGTGGGCATGTATGTCCCACTTGTAGGAAGGGGCAGTGACTATCTTTAGTAATAATATAATTCACCCAAATCTTAAATTAGATTATCCTTTCAGTAGTTGCTTTGATATCCTTTCAGTAGTTACTTGACAGGCGTTCGTAGTAGTACAGTGGTGTTGCTTTCATGTGGAAATGTGTTATTTTATGTAAAAATTTGACCCCAAATGGCATTCCCCAGGTTGATCATTTACCTAGTCCCCAGATGTAGCTATAGATGACTTTTAGTTTATTTCCTGAAACTAAATCCACGCTCTAATGTAGTAAAAATTTCCTCTGGTGAAGATGGTTGAAGGAAGGTACTACAGGGAACTCATAACAAGCAGCTACAAATATGTTGTAAGAAATGACAGCATCGCCAGAATCAGTGACGACCTCCCAGTGAAATATCACTAAAGGGCACAATGCTTGGTTAAAGTCACAGGTATAAATTTTAATATATATGAAGTATAAAAATATGTTCTATATAGTGTGTGTATACATAGATATATCTCCTGCTGCATCTGCTTAAAAAGGGAAATTGACATGGTTTTAGGCATCCCTAGCACAATTCCTGAAGCAGAGAGTCACGACTACAAAATGATAATAATGGCTAGCCTGTGTGGAAAGCTTGCTATGTGCCAGACACTAAATGATTTACAGGGATTTTTTCATTTAACCCTTGTTACCAGGGCTGGGACCAGGGTGGGGCAATGAGATATCGGAGCACAAAAGTGAAGGAGGGCCGGGCACAGTGGCTCACGTCTGTAATCCCAGCACTTTCGGAAGCCGAGACAGGTGGATCACTTGAGTCCAGGAGTTCAAGACCAGCCTGGCCAACGTGGTGAAACCCTGTCTCTACCAAAAGTACAAAAAATTAGCCAGGCACCATGGCACACACCTGTAGTCCCAGCTACTAGGGTGGCTGAGGCAAGATAATTGCTTGAACCCAGGAGGCAGAGGTTGCAGTGAGCCAAGATCAAGCCACTGCACTCCAGCCTGGGCAACAGAGCGAGACTGCATCTCAAAAAAAAAAAAAAAAAAAAAAAAAAAACAAATGAAGGAGACAGCCACCTGCGGGGCTATGGAAGTGCAGGGTTGACACCTGCATGCCCCTGCCAGCGAGTGCCTCCTTCGGTTCTGCACCCTAAGTGCCTCACTCACCTTAACCTAGTCCCAGACTTGCTGGCAACAATCCTGTAAGGTCAGTGTCGTCAACTTTCTTCTTTGCAGATGAGGAAGCAGAAGCTTTTAGAGGCTGAGTATCTTGCTTCATGGAGCAAGGATTTGATGCCAGGACATTGGGCTCTAAAGCCTTGGGCCTTGACTGACTGTACCAGACTCCAGTGTTGGTTGTTTTTGTCTCCCTTTCCAGGTGTCCAAGGCAGCTGCAGATTTGATGGCCTACTGTGAAGCACATGCCAAGGAAGACCCCCTCCTGACCCCTGTTCCGGCTTCAGAAAACCCGTTTAGGGAGAAGAAGTTTTTCTGTGCCATCCTTTAAGTCTTTGAGAGGGGCCTGAAGAGCCTCCGGGCTCCTGGGACATTGATGTAGAGTTTTTAGTGAAGTGGGCACCTTTCTAGTCCACGGCATTTGAAGAGAGCGAGGAGAACCATTCTGGAAACTCTAGGCTATGCATGTTTAAAGATCTGGTCCCCTTTATGAGAATGCAAGCCGATCCACATCCTGACTTAAGAGATCTGATTCTGACGAACTGCCTGGAGGAGGGGAATATATAAAAATAAAATTGGTGTCACTTCTTTTCTGCTATCCCCCAGCCCCCCCCCCAAAATCCTCATGTTTCTGCTTCATATTTTGAAAAATAACAATTAAAACAGACAGCTGTACTGAGGTAAGATATGTGTGACCTTCTTGGAATGAATATTGTCTTTAGAATACCCTTTGATAAGCTGAGCTGTCCCGTGTAGATGCAATTCGGTTTAATGGCATTGATGTATAGTCACTGTGCCTTTCTTTTTCTTTCTTCCTTCTCCTCTACCCCTCCTTCCACCCCTCCCCATTAGAGTAGTGTGGAGATAAGGCTGGACTGGTCTATCAGATTGAACTCCAAGAATGATCACACAAAATGTTTAGGGAGATGTTCCCCGTGGTGTATCCTCATGGTAACAACGACAAAAAATGCCGGTTGTCTGTGTTCTCTTTTCACTATTCCTAACATGTGTACATGATAGCTTTGATTCTGCAAGTAAAAGTAAATCCTGTGTTGTGACTGGTGCTTTCATATATTTGTGACAATTTTTGAGTAATATTGCATGAAAATGTCCCTATGTTACATCCATTCAGAAGTTTTGTTGTTTTACTCTAAAGCTGGGAAAGGAAATGAGAGGGAAAAGACCCCGGAGAGGGAAGAAAATCTCAGTATTTTGAAAATTGAGATTACTTCAGAGCCTTAGCCACACCTAAAATACCTCCTAGTTAATAGTGGTATAAATGCCTCTTCAATACGTTTTCCAGAATCCAAAGCATTTTGGTTTATCCAGGACCCAGGGCAGCACAGCTGTCACCAAGCAGGAGAGTTAAGGATTCACCATGAGCTGGGAAATGCTTTTGCCATGAGTATGAGCAAATTCCCTCTTTCCCTGAATCATGGACATTCTAGATTAAAAGAACATTTTTTTGTGCTCTTAACAAGAAAACCATGGCCCTCCTTTGTTCAAGTATCAGAAGAAATAAACCCACAGCTCCAGAGAAGGTGACCATTCTCAGAACTCCAGCTATTCACTCTCCAGGGAGAAGGACCTCAAATCGCCACTCTTTGGGCGGCAGGTGCGGTCCCCACGGCCGGCTCTACGAGGAAGAGTTCTGGCTCTTTTGTCCACTGAGATGGTCTTGGTTTTTCACTTAACAAATTTTTTAATGGAATCTTTGTTTTTGTTCTCCATCTTGTTTGTTAGAGTCTCTCGGCCTTTATTTACAAATTCCTTGCAACTAGAGCGCTCCTTCCCCAAGATATGGTAGTGAGAGTAATTTTTCATTGTAGCTGTAGTCTCCATCAGTAACAGCAGGCCCTGGAAGACTTGATCACCTTTTTCTGTGTCATTTTCAGTCAAAGAGGGCCTCTCTTACATCTTGTTTGCTTTCAAATCCCCAAATATCATCTCCATCTCCCAATTAATTTTATTGTCTCTTTCCTCTCTATTCGCTTTCTCCTGTTTTTTTTTTAAAAAAAAAGCATGAAAAAGGAAGAGAAAAAGTTTGATATGCCAAGGACAGATTTTGAAACAGACTTGGTAAATGTTTTCCTTAGCTCCTTCATGGGCATGCTGGTGAAAGAATAAATACATCCAATTAAAGCTCATGCTGGGGTCGGGGAGAAGAGGATACTGAAACATTTGTGAAATGTATGAATGCACTTCTGTAACCAGATACTTCTGTTCTTCTGTTCAAATTGTGGGGTTTTTGTTACAGTTAGGACGCCCATGAAGATTTAGGGGTGAAAAAAACAGCAGAGTATTTATTAAACTACAGCATTGTACAATTAGCTTAGTAACACTATGGAATAAGCTAAAACATATCACAGTTTTTACATGGGCCAAAACATGAATTGAGTATGTGGTCACATGAAAACACGGATGAATGAATAAAACACTCTTTGGTGGTGACTGAGGCATCATTAGAAGGCCCAGACGATTTCCACTATTCACAGCATTTCCTTTTCTCAGAAGGACTCTTTATATTTCCATGTAAATCTAGATCTTTGGAGCAATTAAGATGGAATTACAATTTCTAGGGAGCATTTTAAGGAAAATGTTTTGGCTTTTTCATAATTTTATGTCTTACAGTATGGAATTATAATACGAAAATCTTTATATGAGTTTTGGCTTCTTGGTATTTGTACTTATTCAGGGGAAAAAGTCTTTCGATTACTTATGCCTCTATAGAGCTTAATTTCTTGAGAAATTCAACAGTCATTTTCACCAGCATAATTTTATCTTAAGGAATAACTAATAGGAAAAGTCAGCTTAATTATTTAAGGCCCTAGTTTCTACATATAATATATTCGATAGAAATGAAAATCTGCCGTGGAATTAACTAATAAGTAGTAACAATAAACTTCATATTTAGAATGCAAAGTCTATAAAGAATAATTTTACATGATCCTCAATATCAACTCCAGTTTAAAAAGTGTTATTTTTAAAACATTTGAAACCAAGTACTGTTTAATTTCAATCAGAAGATGCAAATACATACTTTGATCTATGTTTGATTTTGCTAATAATATTTGAAGGAGATTGCCTACCAAGGACAAAACAATAAATTTAAAAATCAAACGATTTCTCCATACGCTCATAGTCACATATGGAATTTTGAGAAAATAAAGCATGCTGTCTTTAGGAATTTTTATACTTCTTTGTCTTTCTTCCTTAATATTTGCTTCTAGCTGCTCTTGGCAATGATGAATTGTTATGTATGCATTAATGTTTTGCAGCCCAAAAGTTGTTCACATTTTTCCTATATAAGATCTGTGGAGTGTGTGTTTCAAAGAGAGAACTACAGAAATGTTAAAGCAGGAAAACCTGAATGTGATGTGCACATTTTCATCCCACATGGACAATGTATGTGTTTTAATAAATGGAATTTTCAGATTCATTTCATATGCAGTCAATTTCATTGTGACGGCCACTGATTCTGTGGTCAATTTGAGAAGGATCTGATGGTATGAATGGATGAGGAAATAGGAATCCATTGATTTTCTTTAGGATTTTGTTAATAGAGATGTCCGAAAGAAGAAAAAACTCACTTGACACTCTAAAAGCATTTCTTACTAGGTCTGTACATCTTGGGTACAGCCTTTGGGGACAGAGAAAGGTGGGGGCTGTGAGGAGAGCCCAGGGCTCTGATAGGGTGGAGTATGCAGACAGAGGAGCTGTATTTACACTTTCACTTGCTGCAGGTATGCCACAGTGGGCTTTTTCCCTTATGAAAAATAAAGACTGAACAACAGAAGTGCTGTTCTCTGTAGCTATCTGTGATTTAAAAGGAGTACAGGAGAAGCTAAGTCCTTAGAACTCTAGATGCAGCTGCTCCTTGGAGATCTTCTTAGTCGAGAAAGACTTCTGAATGTTCCTCAGATTATGCCAGTAACAGACCCTGTTAGTAAAGAAGGAAACACTGGATCTCCTGGGACTTGTGCCAGCAACAGCAGCATCTTTAAACCACGGATGAAGGGGGCCACTTGGAGTTTGCACACTAGTGCTCCACTGACATCAGTGTTTCTCAGACTGTGGTCCATGGACCACTTGCTCCAGGAGTATTAATACCTGGAATGCCTCTTTACAAAGCGGATCCTGAGCTACCCACGAACTCAGAATCCCTGGCAGTGACTCAAGAACGTGCATTCTGTTACATGCTATAGTCTGAGGACCACTACAGTATTTATGACAGCTAGCTTTTCATACTGCCAAAGGAAAGGCACAAACAACTCATAAATATTCTCGCTCTTCTTCCCACAGCCCCCAGAAGTGGCTGCCTAGGCATGAACATGTAACTGAAGGGTGAGAATCTAGCCAGCAACTAGACATGCTACACTGAGGAAGACGCAGCTGGGCTGTGACTCTGCTCCTGTTTTGTTGAGCCCCTGTGGGAGGACTGCCTCCAGTTCTCATTCTTTAATAAGCTGGTCACATTGTAGATGGCACTTAGAATGACAGAGGGAATTGGAGCTGGGTCAGCTCCAATCCACAAATTGCAAATAATTTGCCAAGGGAAATCCCTTTCCCTTCGGTTCTGCCCCAAATCTACATTTTCTTCTATTTAGAACCAGGAGACTCAGGCAGAATTTATTTTAATGAAGAAGGCCATGGGCTCCTGGGCCTTTCCTCAGCAAGAACTACTGCTGTTTCTCTCTGGAAGTCATAAGAAAAGCCGGGAGCCGGGTATTGCATCTCCACAATGAAGCAACAGAAAGACGGGGCCTGGGGAGCTCAGTCCACACTGTGCTCGAGCATTAGCATGCACTAGAGAACCAGAACTAGGCTCCAGCGCTCCCATGCGACCTTGGGCAAGTCCTTTGACCTCTCCTGCTTTAAAGTGGGTACAAGAATGCCTGATTCATTTATCTCACAAAATGGTTAAAAACAAATGAAAGAGGATGGGCACAGTGCTCACGCCTATAATCCCAGCGCTTTGGAAGGCTGAGGCAGGTGGATCACTTGAGGTCAGAAGTTCAGCCTGGCCAACACGGTGAAACCCTGTCTCTACTAAAAATACAAAAATTAGCCAAGTGTGGTGGTGGGCACCTGTAATCCCAGCTACTTGGAAGGCTGAGGCGTGAGAATTGCTTGAATCGGGGAAGCAGAGGTTGTAGTGAGCCAAGATCACGCCACTGCACTCCAGCCTGGGTGACAGAGCGTGATTCCATCTCAAAAAAAAAAAAAAAAGAAAAGAAAAATGAAAGAGGTAAAGGGGCATCACGAAGGCAGAGGTGGTAAAGAACCATTAGAAACTACTTGACGGCAACCTTCGAAGAAAGGAAACCGCTAGATAGCTCCTGCTCACCTCTTAACTCACCTCCTTTCTCTCTAGCCCCCAAATGCCCTGGTTGAGACCCTCAGTGTCTCATGTCTGAATTCCCATCACACCAGCTGGTATGGGCATTCTGATGCTCATCTCCTCCCACTTTCACCCAGTTGACCCTGAGTATTCATTAGTCAGGACTTCTTTGATTGCAAGTGACAGAAACCTAATGCCCCAAAATAGGTCCCACTTCAAGCCCAGCTGGATCCAGATGCTTAGAGGATGTCATGGAATGTCCCTGTCATCCCTTGGCTAGGCTATTCTCTGTGCTGGTTTAATTCTCAGACTCTTGCCCCGCAGCATCAAGATGGTGTCAGCAGGCCCAGGTTTATATCTCAACAGTTTAGTAATCAAGGAAGAAAGATAACAACAGCTCTAGCAGAAGCCTCTGGCTATATCCCTGGAACCCTTCCTAAGACACTATTGGCTAGATCTGGTTCCTGTGCTCGCCCACCCCTGGACCTAGGGATAGAGGTAGAGTCACTGGGCCATGTGGGCAGAACAGTGGTTCTAAGGAAATTGAAGTCCTTTTGCTACAGGAGGCAGGATTGAAAGTTAAAGGCAAAAAACAACTGATGCCAACCACATCTTAACAGATTTATTGATGTTACCTCATCTTTCACCATGTTCAGAAACCCAAGGTTCTCTGGTTCATGGTGCTCTTTGTCAACCACATCATGTCCAATCTCAACTACCTGGCTCTCAAGGCCCTTGAGAGGCCCCACTTGGCTAATCCCATCTTGCCATCCAAACCCTCTTTTCCAGTTCATCCTGTCTCCTTCAGTGTGCTGTGAGTTCATCCCACTTCCCTGTCTGCTGCTTTTTACATTTTTTTTAGACAGAGTCTCGCTCTGTTGCCCAGGTTGGAGAGCAGTGACGTGATCTCAGCTCACTGCAACCTCCACTTCTCGGATTCAAGTGATTCTCCTGCATCAGCCTCCCAAGTAGCTGGGATTACAGGCACCCACCACTATGCCTGGCTAGTCTCCCCTTTTGCTTCTGATGTTACCCCCTCTGGAATGTCATTACACAACTCCTTGAGTAACTAAACTTGCTTTTCTGTCAAGGTTTAGCTTGAATTCCACGAGGTCTATGAATGACTTCAGGAAATATGAACCTTTCTCCTCTCTCCACTCCTGTTGCCCTTGCTGTCAGTATTGTTGAGTATTTGACTGTGTTTGAGGCGTTGTGCTAGGGTAGAAGGCATGGCACCTGCCTTCCGGAGCTTGCGGTTTAATGGAGAAAATAGACAAGTGAATAGTCAGTTACCAAAGTGGTCAATTCTAGGACACAGAAGCTAAAGGGAGGGTAGAAGTGATGACCAGCCAGAGGAGGTGATGCTGGAGTTAATCATACTTAAATGATAATCTTTTTTTTTTTTTTTTGAGGCAGAGTTTCACTCTTGTTGCCCAGGCTGGAGTGCAGTGGCACAATCTCAGTTCACTGCAACCTCTGCCTCCCGGGTTCAAGGGATTCTCCTGCCTCAGACTCCTGAGTAGCTGGGATTATAGGTGCCTGCCACCACGCCTGGCTAATTTTTGTATTTTTGGTAGAGATAGGGTTTCACCATGTTGGCCAGGCTGGTCTCGAACTCCTGACCTCAGGTGATCCGCCCGCCTCGGCCTCCCAAAATGCTGGGATTACAGTCATTAGCCACTGCGTCCGTCCAAGAATCTTGTCTCTAGGGTAGTGTAACCTTTAGGAAGTAGACAACACTAGGTGGATGGGCTTCTCTTTAATCTTTCCCTCATTGTAGGGCAGCTGAGAATGAAGCTCTCCCCTGCAAAGGGGTGGGCGATTGGCTCTGCACACAAAACAATGGGCCAAAGCTGAGTGGAGGTCGTCACCTCTCCCCCTCCAACCTCTACTGGCTCCGTGTCTTCACAACATCATGGGGACATTGTCTTCAGCCAGCAGCCCTTTGGCCTGGGTGATACCACCATGCACCAACCTGGAAGTCAGATCTCGTGGGCTTCAGGCCCAGGGGCTGCAGGAAATACATTGCTGGCTGTATCACCTTAATTTTAGCCCCAGGGGAAGGGGCCCTTCCACTATCTACTGGGAACACTATCTCTAATTGCCCTTCCCTGTGTGTGCATTTGGCGATTTACATTTAGATATAAATTAACTACAACTTTCAATAAAATTAAAAATTTGGTTCCTCAGCTGAACCAGCCATGTTTTAAGTGCCCAAAGCCACATGCAGCTAATGGCTATTGTCTTTGGACAGCACAGATATAGAGAACAGTTCCATCACCGTGGAAGGTTCTATTAGACAGCGCTGCTCTAGCATAATGGCAACCTTTTTTCCATCACAAACAACTGACTGAATATGCCTTCTCCTTGAGCCCAAATTTTGACAAAACATCAAAAAGAGGGTGAGAAAGTAAAAGTAGTGTAATGACCCCTAATAATCACAACAATTGGCCATTGGTCCTGGTAAATCATCATACAGGCTTTGGCATAGAAGAGATAGACTGCAGATTACATGTCATTCTTGGAACCCTCTAAGTCATATATTCACTCATCTCTCTCACTCATGAACATACAATGATAATAATCATAATGATCACATCAGCCGCAACAATAAAGTGAATGCTTACTTAGTACTTACCTTTGAGCAAGGCACAATGCTAGACATTTTATAGACAGCACTTCATCTAATTTTCACACTAACTCTAGGACACGGTCATTATTTATCTCCTGTAGCAGATAGCTTTGTGCCTCATGACACATCCACGATCCACTGCTGATTTCAGCCACAGCGGCAGTGGAGAGTTCTCTGCAAGCTCATTCTTCCCAGTGAAAATTGGTGCCCCTGGGGCAATCCTCAGCCAATGAGGGACGAGTCTGGAGAAAAGTCTCAGGCTCCCACCCTTTCAGAGGGACATCTCTGGATGCATTTTATATGATTTCTCTGAGCATCCCTAAGAGGATGCCCAGTCCTCAATCAGCCACAAGAGTAACCAGCCCAATAATATGCCATATTGTTTTTCTCACTTAAATCTGCCTCATTTTCTCTCTTCCTACATTGCTTCTTTCTGGGATCACCCTCAACACTACCTTTAATAAACTACCTGCATCCAGGTCCTTGACTCAGGCTCTGCTTTGCAGGGATCTCAAAGTAACTCACCCCTACTTTATAGATGAGGAATTTAGGGTTTAGAACGGTTGACATTTCTCTAAATTCCCATTACCATGAAGTGGCAGACCAAGGATATAAACCTAGGTTTGTCCCGATTCCAAAGATTTAATTCTTAACCATTATCTTATGGTGTAAATTGGAATGTAAGTACATAAAAGGGAGGTGATAATAAAAGCTCTGAGTCTGTTCTTATTTATAGAATAAGCGGATTATTTATAAACTTCAAATCTCTGAGTTACTTCTCTAAAAGGAAGAAATCAGTGAGCTCATGTCAATATTTACATTTTCTTCACAGTGGTCATTTGGTACCTAGAAAGTATCAGCAGTAGCTTCCAGGTTCATCTTGCACTGAAAATATTTCCTGGTATCAAGGAGCCTGTGCAAGGAAGAACAAGAAGAGTGATTCTAACAGGGAAGGCACAGAGTGTTTTTTTTTCTTCAGGACTTTCAGGAAGGAAAACTCTCTTCCTTTACTGACTACTCTTCCAATACCTGCTTTTCTGTCATCTTAGAGCCCAGTGACCCTCCAAGGGTCAGAAGCAGGGTCATCTGAGTAAGAGTAGAAGCTTCCAGAGACTTCACTCTCCAAGCCGTGATTTGAGAAAAGGATCAAGAACGAATTCTAGGACAAAGGCCCTTGCAAATGCAGTTTCAGGGACTCACTCAGAGCTTCTTTGGGAAAAAAGAATGGAGCTTATCTCCTTCCCCCACCGTCAATCTACTTCCTGTTCCTACTCCAGGGATATACGATGTCCCACTCAAGCTTGTAACACAGAATCCCAGCACAGATCAACAGATGCTGCTACACATGCACACACTTGCGTATGTGTGCGCCCAAGGAAAGGCTGTTCCGGAATGCTTAGGAAAGCCAATTGTCACTCTAAGAAGGGACCAGCATGATGTACTGGCATGCCCATCATAAAAAAATCACTACTCCCACCTCTAGGTTGTCTTGGTTTACTTTATAACAGCAGTTCTCAAAGAGTGTTCCAGTAACTCTTGAGGGGACTTGAGCCGCTTTCAGGGAATCTGCAAGGTCAAAACTATTTTCATAATATTATTATGATGTTATTTGCCTTTTTTACTTGCCTTCTTTCATGAACATAATTGGATATTTTAGAGGCTACATATTGACGTCACAACAAATTGAATGCAAATGCACATACAAGAATCTGTCTTCTCTTAAGCCAGACAATAAAGCAATTTGCAGAAATGTAAAACAATGCCACTGTTCCCACTGTATATTTTCTTGTTTTGAAAAATATAGTTATTTGTCATAAGAATATGTTATTTATGTTACCATGTAATGGGCTTGTTATTGTTATTTTCAATGAATTAATACATTTTTTTTTGAGATGGAGTCTTGCTCTGTTGCCCAGGCTGGAGTGCAGTGGCATGATCTCAGCTCAATGCAACCTCTGCCTCCCGGGTTCAAGCAATTCTGCCTTAGCCTCCTGAATAACTGGGATTACAGGCACAGGCCACCATGCCCAGCTTATTTTGAATTTTTTTAGTAGAGACAGGGTTTCGCCATGTTGGCCAGGCTGGTCTCGAACTCCTGACCTTGTGATCCACCCACCCCAGCTTCCCAAAGTGCTGGGATTACAGGCGTGAGCCACCATGCCCAGCCTCATAAATACATATTTTTTAAATTTTCTCAGTTTTAATTCTAATATGGCAAATAACAAGAGCTACAACCCACATAAGCCAAAGCCCTGATAATTTTAGGAGGTCCTCAATAATTTTCAAAAGTGTAGAAGTCCCTAGACCATGAAGTTTGAGAACTGCTGTCTTATAGAATGCCTTTGAGTTCCACTCCCTACTTTCCAGATGGGAAAGTTGAAGTGCCATTCAAAATTATATAGAAATGTAGTGGCAGAGTCATGAGTAGACCGTAAATGGAAAGAGGAGATGATTCAAAAAGGCAGCATAGAAGTGTTTTAGGTCATTCCCTAGGACCACGTTCGAATGTTTTCTAGGAAAACGTTCCTGAATTCAATTTCATAATTAAACAGCATATTGAAAGACAATTTTCCACAAAAACAAAAGCGAAATCATGACTCTCACATAGGTATTAAATGAACACGTCAAAGATTTTCTCTAACTCATTATTAATAAGGAAACAAGGCAGATGTTACCAGTGGCCAAAGCAAAAATAAATAAAAGAGATTTAAAGATCAGGAATACTGAAATGAATTTGCAAATGGGTGCAAAATTGGCCTCTTTCACAAAGGAGGAGACAAGTCAGTTAGGCCTCCACTAGACATGATTCAGTTGCATGTCTAAAACAAGGATTCTTTTGCATTGCTATCAGTTATCTACAATTTACAGTTACGAAATAGCTCAAAGGCAAGGAAAGGCACTGAGCTCCCACAGAATCAGAATTAGATAATTCCGAGTCAAGTGCTGAGGCTCATGCCTGTAGTCCCAGCTACTCAGAAGGCTGAGGCAGGAAGATCGGGCTGAGGCGGGAGGATCGCTTGAGCCCAGTCCAGCCTGGGAAACATAGCAAGACCCTGTTTCTAAAAACAAAAAAGAGAAAGAAAAAAAGAATTAGATAACTTGGAAGAGTAATACTATAAACAATGCATTGTTTTCTATTGAAGTACCGGTTTTTCCTTACTTTTGAGACCACTTCAGGTGCCAGGCACTGAGTTAAGCTAAGTAATTCAGAAAAAAGAAGAACTTAGTTTGTATCCTGTTCTCCAAGATCTTACAATCCATTCCTATTACATCCCATCACTAACACTAAAGAGCACCTCTTTTCTCACAGAAAGACATGGCATTTCTTAGGGCTTATCTCTATCTGTTGGGTAATAAAAGCTAACATCAATTTAGTGCCTACCGTGTTTTGGCTCTTAACACCCTCCCAAAAGCCTTATCAGATAATAATATCCCCTCACATTACAGAATAGGAAACAGAAGCTAGAGAGTTAAGTCCCATGTCCAGAATCTCAACCGGTAAGGTTGTTTTGAGGGCCCAAACCTCAGAAGATCCAGCTCCACCTTCACGCTCTCCCTTAATCTGGTGCGAAGTCAGCAAAGGGACTCCTCGTTGGCAAGAAACGCATGATGCAGTTAGTATTCACACCAGAAAGGGCAGTCATTTTGACCCTTGAGAATCATGTGTTTTTATTAAACCCCTTAACTCAGTCAGAATTTTTAACAGCACTTTGCTTAGTAATAGACATGGTAGGACCTGAAAGAGATGTTTTGGTTCCTTCATCTTTCTTGGTGGATAACTATTTCTAGACGGTCTAGGAAGAAGAATTTATAAAGGTATTCTCTCAGAGAGACATGGGCATTACAGATGGAGTTGAGAAGTTGTGCCGAGGGTTGGCTCAGAGCAGGAACTGGCAAACCACAGCCTATGGGCCAAATTTGGCTGGTTTTTAGATGGCCTATTAGCTAATAATGGTTTTACTGTTTTAATCATGGAAAATTGTTTAAAAATATTTTGTGACATGAAAATTATAGGAAATTCAAATTTCAGTGTCTATAAATTTTCATTAGAATACAGTCACACCCATTAGTTTCATGTTTTCTGTGCCTGCTTTTAAGCTACAAGGTTCATGCCGCAAGACAGCTTTCTAAAACAGATTTGGAAACCAGGGTGATGTTACAATTGGTCAAAGCAAAAATTTAAAAAGAGACATTTAAAGATCAGGAATACTGAAATGAATTTCCAAATGGATGCAAAACTGGCTTCTTTACTGAAGGGCAGACAAGTCAGTTGAGCTTCCACTAGACAGGATTCAGTTGCATGTCTAAAACAAGAATTCTGTTCCATTGCTATCAGTTATCTACAATTTACAGTTACAAAATAGCTCAAAGACAAGGAAAGGCACTGAGTTCCCACAGAATCAGAATGAGATAACTCAGAGCCAAGTGAAATGGCACGTCTGCAGTTCCAGCTACTCAGCCAAATAGTTCTTCTATTTGCAAGATTGTCATAGATACTGTATGGCCTACAAAAGTGAAAATATCTATTATCTGGCCTTCTACAGAAAAAGTTTGCCAATTCTGGCTTAGAGTGACCTTCTGTTTCAGAATAATTTCTCAGAAACACCAGAGTAAGTAGCTCAGAACGACTTCAAGATGGCATGTCCTAAAGGCCACAGGGCTCAGAATTACTGGGGGAAATTCTGTTATTTCAGGAGACTTGGTAAAAAGGCCAAACCCCACTAGAGGCTTGAAATCCTAGCCTGAATACCACTTTGGGAAGGTTCTCCGCTAGGTTTCCCGCAATTGGCACCGCTATCACTCCATGGCTGTTCTGGTTCATGTTCTGTGGAAATCCACTTGCCTTTACCATTCTTTACAATAATTACAGCTAAGTGGTGCCTCCTGTGTGGAATTTGCCATCCCTGACCGGAACAATCTTGCACATCGTTCTTCTTTCTCAAGAGCGCCCTCTGCTGGTCAGTTCTCAGAAGGCGCCACATCATCGCGTCTTTCGTCTGCAGATGCTCTTTGCAGCCAGAAGCCGAAGGTCATTTTGATCTAGAGAAGAAAGCATTTTGGCTATTGTCTCCATGGCTGTTCGAATTTTCATTCGAGTACATAGGCATTACTGCGTCAAGATGTAGAACTTCTTCACTGTAGAAGACGCTGAGAGAACAAAACTCCCTTTGAACGCAAACCTTTGAATGCAAAGTAATAATCCCTTAGGTAAGCAGGAAAGGCCTAGGTAAGCAATGCCCTGCTGCATGCTGGATCCCCAAATTACTTGATAATAAGGCAAAGCTGAGTGCATAGTTTCCACCATAAGGAAGTCTCAATAGGAGGAAAACAGGGTCTTATTTATGAAGACTCTGACGTCTGGTTTAAGGGAGATCTTTTAATGTAGGAGAGGGAGGTTGGATTAGAATTGGGTAAGGATTGTGACATAATAGTTTAGGATTGGTGGACACATCAAGGGAATGTGAATCTAGGAATGTAAACTGTCTGTTGATGACTTGAGACTTTCCAGAAAGTTCTCCCATGAAGCATAAAGATTTGCAACTTGGCTCTTCCAGGGCAAGAGTCTCTGGACTAGTAAAGTTATGGTCTTCAGTGTGATGAAATAGTAAATAGCTGGTTAGGGTTCTCAGCCTCATAAGATGGTGAATGTCATCGAGGAGGCCAATTGTGAATAGGATGTGAGTGTAGCCATTGCCCTGGTGACTTAGTACAAAATGTTGGGCCCGCTCTGGGCTTCCAGCTTTGTTAGGGGTGACTGGAAGTGTGTTTATACCTCTTTCAGTATGTTTGGACATGGCAGCTCTGCAGCTATAAGGTAGTCCACTAGGAAAAGGGATGATCTTTCTAGGCTGCTACGATACTGGTTTGACATGAGCATCTATGTTAGGCTGGAAGGTGCAAAGTGAATGAGAGACAGACCCTTGGGATCCTGCCCCAGCTGGGGAGGAGCTCTGCAGAGGCCCACATTAAAAAGCTACTGAAGGTGCACAGTGGACAGTGCCCAGGCTTGGTTGGATGTGGGGAAAAGTCAGGGAAACCTGCACATGGTTGAAGTCAAAACTGAGATTCAAAGGGTGATGGGAACTCACTAGGCTGGGAAAGGATCAAGGGAAATGCAAGAGAACAAGGGGGTTTATTGTGGAGGGTGAAATATTGACTTTTAGCCATGTTGGCTGTGAGGTAGAGAATGGGGCTAGCCCAAGAAATGCAAAATTGGAGCTTCTCTGAGAGGTGGGGATTGAACAAGTGGGTTTATACTCATGTTTAGGCAGGGAGAAAGAGGAAGGCATGGAAAATCCCTGGAAAAGCTAAAATAACCAAAGGAAAGAGCATAAATCAAGAGTAGAGGTACACACCCCCAAGGGAAAACTGTGATGCTTATGCTGCAGCATCAGTGGCTGATGAAAGCTGGCCAGCTTCAATGTTCCTATGCTTCTCTCTCTAGGGCCAGAGATTGTCAGAGGAGCCAGAAAACTATCTTGGGACATGAGCTTGTCCCAACGTCTCGGGGCCACCTGCCCAGTGGAGAGGGCCATGGACAACACAGAGGAATGTGCTTGAGAAAGGAAGGAAAAGAACTCCCCCACCTCACAGAGTAGGACCGAGGAGGACAGAGAAGGTAATTAGTTTTTGTGGAACAGAGGATTTGGCCTATTTCTTACTCCGAATTTAGTCAACTCAATGCCCGAAAGGTTGGGAAACAGGAGTGGGAAAGAAATTGTTCCAAATGAAGGCTGCCTCTCGGGGGATCCTGCTGTGCAGGCTGCAGAAGCAGGGGTCTGCCTGGGCTGTTGCTAAGGTCTCAGGGGTTGAGCAGAAACAAATGAATGGTCCTGAAGGGAGGAAGGACAGAGCAGTGGCCCAGGAATGGGCCCAAGTTAGGAATTCGTGTGTAGAAGTCAGCACAATGAAACCCACAAAGTTCTCTGCGACAGCTGTTCTCAATCTTGAGCACATCAGAGTCACCTGTAGGGCTTGTTAAAACACAGATTGCTGGCCCAACCCTATGGCTTCAGATTCAGTAAGCCTGGGCTGGGGCTGGAGAATGTGCAATTCTAACAAGTTTCAGGTGATGCTGTTGCTGCCACTCAAGGGACCAGCACTGAGAACCATTGGTCTATGAGATCCCCAAAAGGAGTTGCTGTGGTTTGAACATCCTCCAGAAGTTCATGTGTTGAAAGCATGCTGCAGTGCAGAGAGGTGGGTCCATGTTTGCCATCCTTTAGGTAAGCAGATGAGGCTGAGCTGCCCAGCTTCACAGGCCACACTGTGGCAGAGGATCAGTGTCCCCCGGGCTCCTGAGGCGATGGAGCTCTTGTCACTTGGATAGTGTGGGAGCAGTGGGAGTTTCCTGTATGACTAAGAGCAGTACAGCCCTGACACAGAGAACCTGTAAACCTGTGCACCAAGAACCAAAGAGTGGATAGAGATGAGAATGGCCCAGGGGACACCAATGTGGGTCTACAAGGACGTGGAAGTGATCTGCTAACTACCACTCATTCCTTGGCATGTCAGAAGTACCCCCAAATTTAGGCACAACTCCTGAAAAAGGAGATCATAATGGATTCATCACAGATTGACGGTGATTTAACTTATAAATTGTGTGGAAAAGAAGTTCAAATCAGAAATTAGGTTCCCATGTGTGGTCTGTTTTGTATTACTTCCCTTAGCAATGCCTGGAATGAATGAACAGCCTAGGACAGACTTTACTTCCCAGGGTGCTATCAAAGACTGCCCATCTCCAGGAGATCCATACTTTTTTTAAAAACCAAATTCCAACTATTTCCTAACTGTGAGGAAAGGGTGTGAAAATGGCAGCAGCTTTAGAAACATACTCCACTGAGCTCTAAAGTCTGAGGCTGCCGGAAAGTTGGGCTCATTGGGGAAATAGCTCAAACCCTCATTAACAATCTAAATTATTTATTCCTACCTAGTCATTAGTGGGACCAATGAGGTCAGGTCTCAGGTTCCACCAATGCCACTAGGGAAACTCTACGTGATTACAGCTGGAAAGGGAAGGATGACAGAGATTTCTTTTCCCTAGCATTTGCTAACACCCACACCCAGCACTGAATATTAGATACCGAGCACTAAATTCCCAGGAGGCTGCTGCTCTTACTCGCCAACGCTAAAGTAGGAATGACCCAGCAAACATGAGAAATAAAGAGAAACAAGGTGTTCAAGTAGAAATGGGTATAAAGAGCAAAATTTTTCCCTTTATTATCAAACCTCAATATAGTAGCATATTTACAATATTTTCCAGGGAGCTTTTTAAAAGAAAAGATGTATAAAGAAACTATTGTGCTTTTTCTGAGCCTAGGACAGGAATTGAGGCCAGAATCTCACTGGAAAATTGAAAAATCTCTTTGAATTAAAAGAGTCACAGTGGTGGAGCTGGGAAGTATATGTCTTGTCTGCTAGCAGCTATATTCCTCCCTTTCTTTCTCATGCACTTTTTCTCTCAGGCTTAGAATTTGTTTTTCTATAATTGAAAAATGATCCATGCGGCTGTTCAGCTCTTCCAGCAATGCTGAGTTGTAAACGGGAGGTACGAAGGTGAATAGTTCATACGGATGAGTCTCAATCACCCACAATAATGGCTGAAAAGAGAGTAAAGTGTAATTTGCAAAGGATAATCCCCCCAATCCATTATGCTACACCAGACAATGCAACAGCTTCTGACATTCACCGTTCCCACTCACCTCACCACTGCGATGGCTTCCTAAACTGGTCTCCCAGCTTCTCACTCTCCACCAGCTCCCTTGTATTCTCCACACAGTACCCAGAAAGATCTTACAACCCAAGCCACAGCTTGTCACTCCTGCTTAAAACCTTCAGTGGCTTTCTGATGCACATGGAATAAAGTCCATACTCCACACCATGGCCTCCCTCCTCACTTAACAACAGTACACCCAACCCCCGGCTCACCACCCTCCTACCTCCCTGATCTTCCTTCAGTTTCACAGAAGCAAACCCTTGCTGACAAGGGGCCTTTGTGCTCATGCTTTTGTTCATGCTCTGCCCTTTCCCCATTGGGAAATCCGGTAATAGCTCATATTTGATAGCTGGCTTAGATGTAACCTCCTCCATGAGGCCTCCTCTGACCACCCTATCTAACGTAGGTCCCTTTCTGTTTACCTCCATCTCCTTTGCCTTGCTGTTTCCTGCCTCCCTGTTGGGCTGTAACCTCCATGAAGGGGAGGATCATGTCTGTCTTCATCATTATATCCTGAGTGTCCACCATGGTACATAGCACATGCTGAATGAATGAATGAATGTTCTCCACCCTCGCTCTTTACCCAGGTCGGACATCCTCCTTAACTGACTCATTGTGAGCTACCTAGGCCTTTAGATGTTGATATAGTTTGGATGTTGTCCCCGCCCAAGTTTCACGTTGAATTGTAATCCTCAGTGTTGGAGGTGGGGTCTGATAGGAGGCCACTGAATCATAAGGGCAAATTTCTCATGGATGCTTTAGCACTATCTCCTTGGTACCGTCCTCATGACAGTGGAGTGAGTTCTCACGAGATCAGGTCATTTAAGTGTGTTCCACCTCCCCACTCTCTCTCTTTCTTGCTCCTGTTCTGGCCATGGGACACGCCTGCTCCCACTTCCCCTTCTGCCATGATTGTAAGTTTCCTGAGGCCTCTCCAGAAGCCTAGCAGATGCCAGCACCATGCTTCCTGTACATGCAGAACCGTGAGCTAATTAAACCTTCTTTTTTTTATAAATTACCCAATCTCAACTATTTTTATAGCAATGTGTGAGTGGCCTAATACGTATGTCATGAACACACAATAGTTGTGTCAGACTTTGAAGTAGAAGATAGAATATCTTGTATTCTTCATCAAAAGAGACTTTTACTTAAAATGTTCACAGGTCTGAGAGCCATGGCAGGATCAGGGCAAATCTGTAGGAGTTCACCATCCCCTGCCCCTTCTTCAGCTGGCAGGCTGAACTCAGTGCTGTGGTTTTGGAACCCTGGCAAGTCTGAACCTAAAGTAAAGCGTGCTGTTTGGCACTCAGCTGTCAAGACAATACCTTCTACAAGTTGGTCAAAGGATTTCTGAGGAATGAGATTTCCCAGCCCTCTAAGGTCCCTGCAGTAGCAGCCCCTAATTCCTAGCATCTTGGAGAAAGACTAGTTCTCAAGAATTTGAAACAAAGGGAAAGGTCAGGCCTTTGCAGGCATCTCAGTTAGCAGCTCTGCCTGGTGGGGGTCACTGAGGTACTAGGGAAAGGGAAGAGAGAACAGGAATATGCATGGGAGATCTGTAAAGTAGGTGATCTAAATTTGACTGTATGCTGGTCAATATCATATGACACCATAACCTCTGCCTTATTCATTACCGGCTTTCAAGCATTCAGAGGTGGCTTTTCTGTCACTTTTGGGGGAAGAATCCACATAATCCTATCACCCAAATGTTGATCCCTGTTACTCTGCCCCCAACCCTGCCTCCCTAAACCCCTTCCTCTCCACGTTTTAGGACGCTGTATATTCCTTGTTCTCTTAGTCCTTCCAACCACTTTTCCCATATTCCATGACTCTTCCTCCTACTCCTTAAATATGAATACTGGGTTTTCCTAGGATGAAGTCTTCAGTCCTCTTTTCTTTCCCCGTCTCCTCAGGGACCTTACTGTAACAGTTTCCATCTACAACTTTATGCTGATGGCTCCTCAATGGACATCTCATCCACTCACTCACATTCATTCCTGACATTTCAGTAGTGATTATGGGCTACATCTACAGGACTTCGATTTCAACAGGTGCAGAACTTAATTCTTCAGCTTCCTCAGACTGGTTTCCTTCTACCGGTGCTCCTGTTTCTATGCAAGAATTCACTGCTTATCACATCTCTGATAGGTGACCTTCTAGAAACCTCCTTTAAGCCATCCACCTCCTTCCCATCCTATGTTTAGTCCCACCAAGTCCGTGGATCTTTCTTTCCTTTCTCTCTGGGATCTGTCCTCATGTTAGAACTATTCAGTTGTAAGTTACAAAACCCCAACCAAATCTGGCTCAAGTATAAAATAGATTTTATTGGATCACATCTCAGGAAAGTTGCATCTAGCCCCCTACCAGACATTTTTGGGAATGGCCTGTCTGTGCTTCTTGGCTGTATTGTCCTCTGTGTTGTTTTCACTGTTCGGCAAGTGTTTCCTCTGCAGTATTAGATGTGGAAGGTGAATGCTTTATGCTGTTTGCATGACTACATAAATTCCTATTCATTCCTATTCGTTTTCTACCAATAAAATTGAGTTCTACTGCCCTGCCATTTTGCTTTTAATGCTAAATCATGAAATTCCAGAGCTTGACCTTAAAAAGCAGCAAGTTTTCATATTTAACATAAAGAGTCTCAGAAAGAGATAAAGGAGATGTTTGCTCATCGGGAGGCTCCCCCAGGGAGAGAGACCTTTCTGCATTATACAACTTGTTCCAAAAATTCTGATTTCATGGGGTGTTCAATTGATAACATTCATTAGAATATAAAACCTGTTTTTCTGTGCACTGTAGAGACTTTTGTGGCTATTCCTGGTTATTACCAACTTGTTCTGTTCACTGTTTTCGGAAGACTAATTTGAACAAAGGCTTCTAGTAAAACTGCCAAGACTTTAAAAGTTGTTACAAGTTGTGAAACTGTCCTTCAAAGAGCAACTTTTACCTCTGACTGGTTGCCTTTCTTGATAATGTGTTGCCCTGGCAATACCGTTGAAATGGCCACCTCTACATTTCTGCAACCATATATGCCCTTGCAAATATTTTAGGTTTTGTGAGTCATGTGGTCTATGTTGCATTTATTCAACTCTGCCCTTGTAGCACCAAAGCAGCCAGTTAGCAAATGGGCATGGCTGTGTTCCAATACAACTTTATTTATGTACACTGAAATTTGAATTTTATATAGCTTTCACATGTCATAAAATATTATTATTCTTTTGATTTTTCAACCATTTAAAAATATAAAAACCATTCTTATCTTGGTTTTTTTTTTTTTGAGTACTCCATCTAGAAATCTCTTTCCCCAGATATTTGTGTGGCTAACTTCCTTACCTCCTTCTAGGCTTTCCTTACACTTCACTGTCTCAATGAGGCCCAACCTGACCATCTTGTCTAAAACTGCAACACCCATTATATCCCCACCGCTATTTGTTGCCCCCCTTACCTTGTTATAATTTTCCTATAGTACTTAGAACCTTCTGAATAGTAAATAATGTATTTATTTATTATTGTACTGTTTGTCTTCCCTTGCCCAATGATAAGCTCCCTGAGGTCAGGGTTGTTGTGTTTAAGCTCTCAGATGACTCCAAAATGCCTACAAGATTGCCTGGCATGTAATTGACACTCTAAACACTTTACTGAACAATTCAACAGATGAATTAATAGCCTGTCAAACCTATGATCAACCATTAGATTGGAGTTCAGGTCATTTGATAATAAAAGTTGATTTCCAGATCCTTCCACCAAAAAGACACATGCATTCTCATGTTCATTGCAGCACTGTTCACAATAGCAAAGACGTGGAATCAACCTAGATGCCCATCAGAGGCTGACTGGATAAAGAAAATATGGTACATATACCCCATGGAATACTATGCAGCCATAAAAAGAACAAATATTATGTCCAAATTTGCAGCAATATGGATGCAGCTGGAGGCCGTTATCCTAAGCAAATTAACACAGGAACAGACAACCAAATACCACAGGTTCTCACTTATAAGTGGGAGCTAAACACTGGGTACTTATGAAAACACACACACACAAAAGTTGGTTTCCTTTTCTTGAAGTATACAGAGGGCTTGGTCTTCAGAAATGGAATTATGTAAGATTCACTTACTGTTGGACACTCCATTCAGAATAGGTCAAAGAACTCCTTCAAATTCAGAGAAAAAAAAAGATAACTGGGTTTTAACATAAAAAATGGATTAATATTTATTTTATACTTCTTTCCCAAAGTTTGCTTTATCCCCTGCTCAAGTATCCCCTGACACTTTAGCATTCTGCATCATCTGAATCTTCCTCCAACCTCCCCACTCCTGGTGGTGGCCGGGGCTGATGACTAGGGACAGTCTTAAGTTGCTGACAATGGGGACCCTGAAGTGGAAAGACTAGGCCAGGAGCAAACAACTTCATTTTTTGCCTTGAAAGGTCAATTTCAGAAAACAAATGGTAAGAGATGTTTTTCCTTATTTTTTTAAAGAAATTCATGGTCTGCAATTGTATTTTTCCCCCTTTTTAATTTATTATTTATATGTAAGTATTTATTATTTTCCCTTCCATGATTGGTTCATTTTTTCATTTTTTGGTTAGTATTTCATTAATTATACAACTAGCATGCACTACAATATGAGATTATAGCCATATCTTTGATCAAATTTTGTTGGAAATGAGACACTCTTGAACTGATTTTCTTGATTCACTCTATAAGCACCTTAATTGAAAAATACAGATTATCTTACAGTGCCCCCTTAAAACTAAAGCTGTATTCTAGCCTCTGTACTTCTTTTTATTATTATTATTTTTGAGATGGGGTCTTACATGTTGCACAGGTTGGTGTGATCATGGCTCACTGCAGCCTCAACCTTGCAGGCTCAAGTGATCCTCCCACCTCAGCCTCCTGAGTAGCTGGGTCCACAGGCACACACGAGCATGCCAGGCTAATTTTTCTTTCTTCTTTTTTTTTTTTTTTTAGTTTTAATAGAGACAAAGTCTCACTATGTTGCCTAGGCTGGTCTCAAACTCCTGGGCTTGAACTATCCTCCCACCTCAGCCTCCCAAAGTGCTGGGACTACAGGCATGAGCTTCTGCACCTGGCCTGTACTTCTTTGTAGTACATTTTATATTTCTTGTAATTCACTTACTCTTTCTAACTCCAGATTATAAGTATTTATTTACACATCTATATTTGTCATTATACTTAAACTTCCTGAAAATAGAGACTGTAGTTTACTCATTTGTATGCTCCTCAGATCCTAAGTGTTTAATTAAAATCTTAATTAATGAAATGAAATGAAACGTACATAGTTGGCTTACCCCCAAGAATTTCAATAGCTCCCCTTAGCTTGCCATGAGAGGCTTTTCCTTATCAGAGCCCTGCCTTTGTCTATAGTCTTATCAGCTGTCATTCCCTCTCACCCTCCAGCCCCTATAAGCTCTAGTCCCTCTGGGCCATGCTGTTGCTCATTTCTTGCCTTTATACATCCTCTTCCCTCAAACTAGGTTACCCTTTTGACTGCATGGTGAATGCCTCACCATCTTCAAGCCTTAGTTTATACTTATCTGTTTATTGTTTCCCTCATTAGCCTTTTAAACTCCATGAAAATAGGGGCCTGGTCTGTCTTGTTCACTGCTCTCTCTCCACTGTCTGAAAAGCAAGTAGAGACTGGATCAGGAAAGATCTTAAATACAATAAGGAGTTTTGATTATTTCTAGGGGGTAACCAGGAACCACTAAAACATAAGCAGAGAAAGTTATGTACAGGTTTTTGCTTTAGAAAAATCTCTCTCATCGCTGTATGGAGGAATGGTTTGGAGAACGCAGGACTGGCCCTAAGAAATCAATCAGATAATTAGAGTAAGCAAAAGTGATGAGGATCTGATCTGTGGCTGTATCAGTGGGGTCCGAAAGGAGGTGAGGGATTTGAGAGTTAGGAGAGACAGAATGGCAGGAATTGGTGACCTACTGGATGCTGTGACCGAGGGTGAGGGGGAGTGAGGGACGATCTCGGCTTCAGATTTCACTCTGGCTGAGGATATCTGGAACGATCGCATCGTATTAACAATTGTATGTTTACCTGTGGATCACTCCCAATTAGTCTGAAAGCATCTTACTATAGGGACCTTGCTTTGTAGTCTTTGTATTACCAGTGTTAGAAGAGCACCTGTTATGTAGGAGGAGTAATAAAATGAATGAATGCACTCAAAACACTAAACAGTAATTCTGTAATCCAACGGGAGGTACAGCGAATACCAAAAGCCTACATATACTATTCTCTGCATGCTATAGCAAGAAAGAAAGGAAAGTGGCTTCCCGGTGGTTTTCTGCCTATTGTACAACCAGGAAGCTGACAATAAAGTTTATTTGAGCGTCGACGTGCGCCGACGTGGCCCCGCCTCCCCAGCCGGAGCCGCGATTGGTGGGCATTTGCCGGCGGCCACCGCTTTTAAGCCACGATTGGCGAAGGCCGCCGTCATTTCGGAGCGACTCAGCGCCTGCCCGCCCTCTCGCCGCGTCGCCGGTGCCTGCGCCTCCCGCTCCACCTCGCTTCTTCTCTCCCGGCCGAGGCCCGGGGGACCAGAGCGAGAAGCGGGGACCATGTTCCGACGCAAGTTGACGGCTCTCGACTACCACAACCCCGCCGGCTTCAACTGCAAAGGTGAGGCGGCGGCCTCAGCCCGGCCGCGTGTCCCTGACCTGGGCGGAGGTCCCAGCCTCAGTGCCCGCACCCCACCTCCCCGTCGGGACCCTCGGCGGCCTGGTTTCCGCCGGCAGCCTCCGGGCCCCTCTCCTCTGGGTCGCCACGTACCTCGGCTCTTCGCCGCCCCTTCCCGCCTTTAAAGCCCTCTCACCTACTCCTGTCTCGGCATGTTACTTTCTGCACTTGCTTAACTCCAAGCATCACGTAACTACCTTCTCTGTACATAAAAGGGAGAGCATTCGTCTTTCTCACTCACTATTCAACTCCATGGTTCCCTGGGTAATTAGGCGATACCTTGAGCACCTGCTAATTATGGGCCAGCGCGGTGCTGGATTCTGAGGAAGGTGCTGAGTAACTTGAAGACTAGTTCACTGCCTGCCAGGAGCTAAAGGGACGAGGGGTGGAAGCAATCAGAACCCACTGAGCAGTTTGAGACAGTACACAATGAAATCAGGACCGATCACAGTGGGAGGGTAAGCGCGTGTAGTAACGGGCTAGTTGTGTTATGTGGTGTTGCAAAAAAGTTAATAGCAGATGAGTGGGAAGGTTGAATTGTGAATACAAAGGTATTTGGGATTTTACAGCATTAGAATTTTAAAAAGTAATAACGTTGCTACTCACTGTAACTAAACTGCTACCCACCACTACTCGTTTCCTTTGTATAGTTGTGGCCTGTGATAGACTGGTAAGTTTGAAAGTGATCAAGTATAACTTGTGATACTCAGACCACTGTGTAATTCTCAAGACCTTATAATGGAAGCTTGAATTTGACTCACAAATTGAAAATAATTTCTAAGCAGGATGACAGTGTTTTGTTGATCGCCTGTAGAAGCATATCAAATTATAATCTATTGTTTTTCTACTTTAACAAAAAAGTATCAGTGACAATAGAGCCTTGTTCTGGATTGGAATCTTTGAGTCTCAATGTTCTTATCTGTAAAATGGGATATTACCTACCTCAAAAGAGGTATGGGGAGGATTAAACGAAACAATTATGCACTTAATGTGCAGTTAACATTCCATGACAACAGTTGTCACAGTGTCTTTTTTGTCATTTAATTTCTTTTACTTATTATTTTGTTGTATATTTTACTTTATTACTTTGCTATAAATTTAACCTTGCCCTCCTTCCCCTTTCTGTCCGCAAAGGAACTGGAATATTAATATGTAACACTTAAATAGCAAAACTATGTGCCAGGCACTGTTTTTATCCGTATTTATTTTATTTAAGAAACTTCTTAAATAAAACAACTTCTTTTAATCTTCATAACTCTATGAGGTAAGTTCTATTAGCACCCTCATTTTGTAGCTGAAGAGTCTGAGGCACAGAAAATGTGGGTGATTATCCCAAGTTCACACAACCAGTAAGTATCTGGACCCAGGATTTGAACAGATCATTGTTAATCTGTACTTTCAACTCCAGAATCTGTACTTTCAACTCCCTCTTTTGGTTCAATTAATTTAGTATTTTGAAGTTAAGAAAATTCCACAAGAACATATATCTGAACATATACCTGAGAAGGAGGTATTTTATGTAGTGCTTCTAGTTATTTATGTGATATTTTTTATTGCAGATGAAACAGAATTTAGAAACTTCATCGTTTGGCTTGAAGACCAGAAAATCAGGCACTACAAGATTGAAGACAGAGGGAATTTAAGAAACATCCACAGCAGCGACTGGCCCAAGTTCTTTGAAAAGGTAATGAATTAGGAAGTAAAGTAAAAATACAGAGAGTTTGTCTGAAAAATCATGAAGATGAGCTTAAAATTACTTTCTTCTTTTAAGAAAAAAATGATAATGATCAGTGTTAGGAAAGCTGGATTTCAGGGATTTTGCTTTTTTCTTAGATGTGTCTTTTGCTTTTAGAGCAAATTATTTTATGTCTTCCTACCAAGCTTTCAGTATTAGGTAGAAATAGTTTTCTCTAGAAACATGAAGTTTCTTAAATAAATAATGATGTAAATATTTCGCTTTCCCTTTATGGCCCAAATCAGAATTTTTGTTAAACACAGTACTATTTCTTATATTAAAAGAAGACATTGGCTAGGTGTGATGGCTAACACCTATAATGCCAGCACTTTGGGAGGCTGAGGTGGCAGATCATTTGAGCTCAGGAGTTCTGACAGCAGCCTGGGCAACATGATGAAACCCTGTCTCTACAAGAAAATAGAAAGTTATCTGGGTGTGCTGGCCTGTGTCTGTAGTGTCAGCTAATTGGGAGGCTGAGGTTCTCCAGCCTGGGCGACAGAGTGACACCTTGTCTCAAAAAAAGACATTATTGAGATGCTTGAAAACCAAGACTGTCGTGTTTATGCTTATATTTAATGTAAACAGATATCCCTTGTTGTATGCTAGGGAAATAGTCCTTAAATGATCTCTGGTATATCATATTTTTGTGCCTTGAATCATTTTCCCATTGATTTAGTTTTAGTAACACTTTTGCATAAAAAAGAATTCTCAGATTAGAATAAAAATGCTTTTAGTGTCATTTCTTACATTAAACATTTTCATCAGTTATATTTGATGAGTGAGATATTTTTCTTGAAAAAGGCTAAGTTTTTCATTTGCGAGAGCAGTGTGATTAGGCACTTTCTCCCTAGAATCAGTGATTTTATAAATTAGGGATTGTATAAATTACATCATTGTTATTAACCTTTCCGTGTCTCAATTTTTTCATCAATAAGTGAGGGTAACAATGATACCTATCTCATAAGTGTGGCTTTGTTTTTAATGAGTAATTGTTCACAGAAGTCCCTGGCGCATAGCAAGTGTGATAAGCTTATTACTGCCAATGCCTCTATACTACTACTATTAATACTACTGTATTCTTTTCCTTTGCTCTTAGAAAATATTTTTAAAATTTTCAGTGGACTTCTTAAAACTTTGAAATATATTTTTAGGATTTTATGTTTGTTTATATTACATTTTATGGTCTATTCATGTGTACAAGACAGTACAGAATTCTGCATGTAGAAAGGTATCTGGAGAATATAAAAAATTGTCTAGGCTGGGCACGGTGGCTCATGCCTATAATCCAAGCAGTTTGGGAAGCCAAGATGGGTGGATCACCTGAGGTCAGGGGTTCGAGACCAGCCGGGCCAACGTGGCGAAACCCCGTCTCTACTAAAAACACAAAATTAGCCAGGTGTGGTGGCGCATGTGTGTAATCTCAGCTGCCCAGGGGGCTGAGCCAGGAGAATCATTTGAACTCAGGAGGCGGAGGTTGCAGTGAGCCAAGATTGTGCCATTGCACTCCAGCCTGGGCAACAGAACAAGACTCTGTCTCAAAAAAAAGAAATATGTATGTATGTGTGTGTATATATGTACATATACACACACGTATTTCTGATGTGAAACACCTGGAATGACAGTAAGAATAATTTCAACATATCAGAACCTAAACAGTTATTATCCTTCAAGTTGATTTTATTATAATCTTATATTACATATAATTAATGTTACATATAATACTATTATATGCAACATTTATTTGAATATACAGCTTCTGACATTTATTTAAATTACTTGGTTACACCCTACATGTATGTTACATGGCTACTCTTTTCAGTGGCATTTCCATAATATGAAAGTTAAGGTTTAGATAGATAATGATTTATTGTATATCCTTTTTAAAGTTATTCTTTTTAGTTAATTGCTCTATGTGTATTGAGACTAGGAATCAGAAAGCTTAGATTCTAGTCCCAGGTGTAAGTTGTGTAACCCTTGGCAAGTGTCAATCTCTAGGCCTCAGCTTTCTCATCTATAAAATGAGGAAGTTGTCGTATTCTATTTTTTTTCTTAAGATGATACACTTAAATGTTCCCTTCTGTTGGGTTATATAATTGCATCAAAAGTGTAGTAATGTTATTAAAAAATTGTTAGAGATCCAAACTAAGGTCTCTTTCAACTCTCCCATTCTTTTTTCTGTGACTTTATGGTAATAATGAAACTGGTGGTTTTCTTTTCTTCCCCCTCACAGTATCTCAGAGATGTTAACTGTCCTTTCAAGATTCAAGATCGACAAGAAGCTATTGACTGGCTTCTTGGTTTAGCTGTTAGACTTGAATATGGAGATAATGGTACGTTTTGTGGGGAATGTGTATTTTAAAGAGAGAGGAAAGATGGGAAAGGGAGTGTGAAAATGTAGGGAACTTTGCAGTTTGTTTTGTCTAGTACTATTTTACCTTTGGTTTATTCTTATCACAAGTTAAAAGCACTTTTATTGTCTTTCATTGGTGTTTATATATTTCTGTTAGAATTTGGAAATGGTGCCCTCTGGAGAAGGCTAATTGACTGTCTTCTCACAGAGTAACACTACTTTGATAATATGGTCTGCACCTTAGCCTTTCAAATTAAATTGTTTTTAGTGTCCCAGAATTGATGGGACTTTGAAGTGTTGTTGCAGTAGGTAATTTCTCAAAAGACTGAAACATGTCTAATGCCAATATACATTAATACTCTATAGGCCAGAATATATTACTTATGTTTACTGTCTTAGCACAGATACTTCTATGGTTGGAAGCTTCTGAATGTTAGTACCTATAGTAAAAACAATTTTTCTTTAAACGGGTGTTTTCTCTTATTAGACCATTTCATTTTGAAAGGCCTGCCAACATCTAAATGCAAGATTTGATTATCTTATCTGCATCCCCTGCATTTTGTGTTTTTCGGTTAGTTACAGTCTTCTTAATTATTTACTTTGGAAGCCTTTTTATATCTTGGCTTATCCCTTTCCCTTCATCCCACCTACACTGACTTTTTCTCATGTTTGTTGTATCTTCATTCCCATTGGCATAATCCTAATTCAGGCTCTTGTCACTTTCTGCCAGGAGTATTATAATATCTCCCATTAGTGTCACCTTCTGTTCTTAACTGCATGGCCAACCAAGCTAACTTTCTGAAACGTTAATCTATTTTAGGATGCCACTTACTCCTTGTTTCCAAAGAACAGTTCCAGTTACATATTCATATTAATAAACATACATATCCATAAACACTAATTTCCCATTTTCTATAAAAAGAATTTTAAGCTCCTTAGCATGGTAGTTAATGATGACTGATATCCAACCTGTATTCACATCTTGACATCCCAGCTAAATTAGAATAATAGTGCTTCCTGTTTATATCCCATTTCCCCCTCTGTTTCTTTGTTCACACTTTTCCCTTGGCTAATATACCATTTCATTCTATCTACACATCTAAATCCTACCCATCTTTTTAAGATCCATCTCATATGCTGTCTTATGTCTTAGCAGCAGTATAATTTCCCTCTGAACTTCCATAGCTTTTAACCCTATACATTTTAAGTCATTAACCACTTTCCATTTTGCTTCTATGTCTTATTCGTCCCAGTAATTTGTAAACTGATACTCAGCTTTGATTCCTACATGGTACCTCTCTTAGCTTCCAATTGATGCTGTAACAAATTACTACAAACTCAGTGACTGAAAACACAATTTATTATTTTAGAATGAGAAGGCCAACATTAGCCTCACTGGGTTCATGTCAAGTTGTCAGCAAGGCAGGTTCCTTTTGGAGGCTCTCGGGGGAATCTGTTTCTTTCCTTTTTTAACTTCTAGAGGCTGCCTGAATTCCTTGACTCTGGCCCCTTCTTCCTTCTTCAAGTCTAGCAGCATAGCATTTTCCAGTCTCTTATCTGATTCTGCTTCCATTGTCATAACTTTGTCTCTGGCTCTGATCCTCCTGAGCCCACCTGGATAATCCAGGATAATCCCCTATCTCAAGATCCTTAATTTTATCATATTTGCAAATCTTGCCATGTAAGGTAACACATACACAGGTTCCAGGGATCAGGACATGGACATCTTGGGGGGTACAGGTCAATATTGTGTCTGTCACAGTACCTGACATAGTTTCTTGCACACAACAGGTGCTTATCAATTTCAGTAATGTGTGGCGAATGCAGTATATGTGAGTGTTTACATACACTGATTTGGAGCATCAGCCAATTTTTTGCTGATGCCTCAGACTTAAATTTCAGAAGCCTTATGGCAAAAATCTTAAGGAAAGCTCAATTTGAGACTTCGTTTACTTTTCCATTTAATTTAAAAAAAAAAAACTTTTCTTTCTTTAGAAAATACATGTATTCATAAGCCTTATGGCTTTAGTGTAGTATTGATTTTAGGGCCTTTAACAAGGTCTTTTTATCTACCCTGCTCTGGATTGGTAGGAATTGTATATGAGCCAATTTGTAGCTTATCAAAACTGTTTTTCATTTATTCCCAAATTCTTACATCTCAGTTTATTTGTTTTATTCTATTTGTTCCATTTTTATAACCCGTTAACCTTCAATGGTAGATGCATATGGTCATGTATACCTGCAGTTGACTTTAGTAAGTACATGTATTTCTCAGTAATAGCATGTTCTTTTAGTGAATAAAAGAAGCTTGTGTGTGGAATGTAAATTTTTCAATATTGAAAAAGGAAGTCAACATATACTTGAAGGTGAATGGTATCAAAAGTATATTAAAAGTCTAAGCTAGAAAACAAGTTTTGTTTATTAAAATTCAGAATTGCAAAAACAGACTTGAAAATTGGTCAAATAATACTGTCTCTAATCGGTAGGAGGCGCTGATGTTCTTTTGTGGTTTTACATTGATATGTTGCCTCCTTGACTTTTAAGTTACTTATTTTAAAATTTGCTGAAACCATTGTGAGTTTTTATTATTTGCGCTCTACTATTTTTTGAAGCCTTTTGGTAGCTTGTCAACATGATCAATAACTGAAATTTTTTAAATGTATAATTTCAGATGTATAGAAAAATTACAAAATAGTACAAAGATTTTCATATACCTCAAGTCTACAAATGTAGCGTGTTACCTCATTTGCTTCATCCTTCTCTCTACACAGAGGCACACACCATTTTTTTCCAAACCATTTGATAGTAAATTATAGATGATTCCTTTTTACTCTTAAACACTTTAAAGTGCATTTCCTAAAAACAACTTTGTCTTATATAACCACAGTACAGTGATCAAAATCAGGAAGTTATCTTTGATATACTATTATTTATTCACATTTTACCAAACCCCCCACTTCTCTCGAAAGAAAAAAATAACCCAGAGCAATCCTGGATTATGCACCGCATTAGTTGTTACATCTGTCTTAGTATCTTAAAATCTGGAACAGTTCCTGTCTTTATTTGTGCTTCATGACCCTGACATTTATTTTGTAGAGTGTCCCTCAATTTGGATTTATATGATGTTTCCTCATGATTAGATTTGGGGTTTATACTTTTGTTAGGAGTAACACAGAAGTGATGTGTTCTTTTTAGTGCATCATATTAGGAGATACGTGATAGCGATATGTCCCATTACTAGTTATGTTACTTTGATCACTAGGTTATGGTTTCTCCACTGTAAAGTTACTATTTTCCTCTTTGTAATAAATATATCTTGTGGGGAGGTACTTTGAGACTGTATCAATTATGTTTTTGCGCCTCAAGTTTCCCCCACTAGTTTTAGCAACCATATGATGATTCTTGCCTCAGTCATTTATTATGTTAATCGACAAAAGGTGTTCTCTAATTTCATCATTTTTTCTACATTTATTTGTTGGCTTTCTCTTGTAAGTTTTCCCATCTCTAATTTACTTGTTTAAATCAGTATAGATACATGGATTTTTATTTTATTCAATGGATTATAATCCTTTCTGTCATCACGTATTTTGCTGTTGATACTGTTCCAGATTTGGCCAGTGGAAGCCTTTTTAACTCTGACTTAAATTTTATGCTTTTATTTTTTCCTCGTTTCATTAACAGATCCCATAAGCACTGTATAGCCTAAGATGCCATTTTGAACATTAAGTTTAGTGAATTATTAATAAGTGTTTTTATTTTTGAATTCCTTTGAAGTATTGTTTTTCAAATGAAAATAATAAAATCTACCTTTGGAATTCTGAATTTCAAGTTTCCATGAAATAAGTTTGAGGTTTGTATATGATGGTGTATTTGATGTATTGATTTTTTTGGGGAAAGCAAGGTTTTTGGATTTTATGTACAGCATTCAAAAGAAGATGGGGGGAAGCGTACTTTTTAATGAGTTTGTATTTAATCTTACGTAACCTATACTTAACCCTCCTCCCATTCTTCTACCCCAGATTTCAGAGGAAGCTGTAAAAGCAGATTTTTACCTTCCTAAAATTTACATGTTTGAAATGATTGCCTTTAGAAATGTTAATGAAAAGATATTTGTGTCACATAGTCCAGTAATTGCTTTAGCTTAATCAAAAAGATAGTTACATTGTCTTTTTACATTTTCTATAGCAAAAATTAAGCTTGATTGAATGAATTGTTTTATGCTTATACAGGTTAAGCATCCCTAATCCGAGAATCTGAAATCCTAAATGCTCCAAAATCCAAAACTTTTTGAGCACTGACATGAGGACACAAGTAGAAATTTCCACACATAAGCACTTAACACAAACTTTATTTCATGCACAAAATTATTAAAAATATTATATGAAATTACCTTCAGGCTATGTGTATAAGTTGTACATTGAACATAAAAATGAATTTTGTGTTTAGACTTCAGTCCCATCCCCAAAATATCCCATTTTATATATGCAGATAATCCGAAGTCTGAAAAAATTTAAAATTGGAAATTATTGGCATTTCCAGTAAGGGAAACTCAACCTGTAATCATTTTGGCTCAGTTAAATTTGGTAAATAGCAGTAGTCATTTTACCTTGAGTTGCAGTTGTACAAATTATATTTTTGCCTGTTTTTATAGCTGAAAAATACAAGGATTTAGTACCTGATAATTCAAAAACTGCTGACAATGCAACTAAAAATGCAGAACCATTGATCAATTTGGATGGTGAGTATATAAATGCATAACATTGAACATCAACATTTTTGGTTTTTTAAATGTTTTTTTCTTTGAAGAATGAAGTCCAGGTTTACTTGGTTTTAGTAAATTTAGAAGGATCCATGCAGACAGCATTTATGTTAACATTTTATTCTCTATAATGTTTTTATGATGTGCTTTCTCCTTCCCCTTGCATTTGAATATCTGAATGTTGATTTGATTTGCTTCTAGTAATTTGGAGTTTTGATTTGTATTTAATCATGGGGGTCATTGTTTGCCTTTTTGAATGTGTAAATTTCTTTTAATCCAATGACTCTATCAGACAAGTGGTAAAATTTTCCATTATTTTAAGTCCTGGATATCTTTTAGTAATTTCCCTTTTTAAAAATATGAAGAATCTAATTACCTAAATTATGATGTGTAAAATATTTGTTCACTGGCTAATTCATTGTGACCTATAATTTAGGAGTTAACCCTTTTGAATGAGTGAGCCTCTTGGACACTCCAGAGCTGCTGCTTAGAGAGAAGGTTTTGGGAAAACTATCCATGGAGGGGATCTATGTACTAAAATTAATGGCCTTGGGAAGAAATGTTAATTAAAAGTGCTGTATAATTTAGCCTTGCAGAAAAAGTTACAGGACAAATATAATGTGAGTTAAATTAGTCATTTATTGGATTATTCAGTTTGGCTGATGAAATACAGATACTCCTTGACTTAGGATGAGATCATGTCCCAAAGTCGAAAATATCATAAGTCAAAAATGCATTTAATACCCCGGAAGACCCATTGTAAAGCTGAAAAATTGTAGTTGGAACCACTGTAAGTTCAGATTTTCCTCATCTTGCACTAGGGTTACATCCCACTGAACTCATTGTAAGGTCAAAAAATTACAAGTCTAACCATCCTAAGTTGGGGACCGTCTCATACAGTAATAGGAAAACCATTTTATCTTACCAATTTATTTAATTGTTGATAGTCTACAGGGCTTTCTTTTTTCTCTTGTGAGTAGCAGTTTTAAAAACTAAGAGATTTGTTGCTACCGAAAAGTTAAAAATGTTTTTGTATGTTCACAAATATGTTTGTAATTATACGTTTGCAGGGTTGTAAGTTTTTGTTTGTTTTTAATCTTTTATAGTAAATAATCCTGATTTTAAGGCTGGTGTGATGGCTTTGGCTAACCTGCTTCAGATTCAGCGTCATGATGATTACCTGGTAATGCTTAAGGTCAGCTTCATGTTCTTGATTCTTGACAGAAACTGTGCACATAGAAAAATGTCTTTATTTTCTAAATATTAACTATTGATATTAAAATTATGGTTGAATGACTAAAATACACAGAAGAATATGAAACATAAAGTAGATTTCATGGTTTTATCTGATTTGGATTCTGTTTTCTGCCTGCACTATGCTAAATCCTTTGCAAAGATGTTCTCATTCAATCCTGCCAACAATCCTAGAGACAGCTGCTAATATCTTTTTAAAAATATATATCATATGAAGAAACTGAGACTCAATGAGGATAATGTCTAAGATGACACAGAAAATGACAGAGCCAGGATTTTAAGCACTATAACCCTGTGGTCCATTGTTTTTCCCACATTACCCTACTTCTGTTTAGTTAGTCTTTTTAATGATTCATAGTCTGCATTTGTTAAGATGGTCGAAAATGCCAAATGAGTAATGGTGAATTTGGTCAAAAATATATAACCCCAAAATCTCTTTGAGAAATGAATCTTTCTGTCCCCGATGCTAGATAGGCCACTCAGTTCATAACTATACTTCAGGAATCCCAGTAATCTGAAAGAGGTCTCTTGTTTCTGAGAGAAATCATAAACTTCAGAAGATTTATTCCTAGTAATCGTGAAAGTACAGTGGTGTGGATCAGGGGAGTGGTACTTAAGATACCAGACTTGGAAATTTTATAAGAGATTAAAAGCTTTTAACTAGACCTTGTGCATGTAAACTACTTTGTGATAAATATCACTCTACCCAGAAGAGATTAAGCCATAACTTACCATGCTTTTTAGATTTTTATTATTAAATGTCAGTTTTAACAAGACTGTTGTATTCCTAAGTTATTAAAATTTTCTATACTGAATCTGAATGTTAACTTGGATTTTCTCAATCCAGATTGCATGCCAAAAGACAAAAATGTTTTTAGTGAAATTTAGCTATTTCAAAGGCTTGTTCTTTATTCCGACAATTATGTAAATTGCCTTGGAACTGTTCTATAGTGATCATGTCAGCTTTAATCATAAAGTAAGTGAGAGGAGAGTCAGACAATGCATAGCGTATTTGGGATGCTTTTGTTAGACTTCAAAACCCAAGGGGATAAAGTATAAATCAACTACAACAAAATGCTATAAAATTCTAGTCCTGCTGCACATTTGTCCCTTTTGAGTTATTTTAAGAGGCATTCAAACAATAACATAATATGGAAAACATCTTAGTACGTTTGCCAAGTACAAGCATCAGTATATTAACTGTTTGGCAACCAGACTATTTAATAACATCTGCAATAACTGTTAAACATTGTTTGAATTCGGTTTTTCAAAGATAGCATTTGGTTTTTTATTTAAAAATTATAGTTTAAGTTTTCACACTTATTTTTGAGTTGTAATTGTCATCTTCCTAATTAAAATTCCATTTTTTTAAAATTTGATTTTTAAGTGTGTATGGATACTTGCATGCATGCCTACCATAATGAAATGCCTTGGTGATTAAAACCACCAACGGTGTCCTTTGAAAGGTTTGAAAATATTTTACTAGAGTGAAGTGATAAAAGCAAAGTGTAAGACAGTATGTATGATCTGCTACCCTTTGTGTCAAAAATGTGTATTCGTGCTAAGCATGCTCGTCATTTCGCAGTTTTAGTGAGGGTAAGGAATCTGTAGGGGATCGCAAGGCTCAGGTAGGAAGGAGACCTACTTTTTACCATGTGTCTTGCTGTATTTAAAGTTGTTTTTTACCAGTCACGTGCATTACCTATTCAAAAAATGGTTTTAATTGTTGCAAGCACCATTCAACATTATTAAAATACTAGAAGTGTGAAAGGTTACGTTATATTAGTGGGTTTTTTTTATTTTTAATTTAATGGGGAGTTTATTAATGAACTTAGGTAATTCTGACTTCATCAAAATGAGCATCCTTATTCTCTGGGCTCATAGAAGAAAGGATGACAGGTACACAGCCTATAAAAAGTAAAAATATTTTTGGGTTTCTTAGGCAATTCGGATTTTGGTTCAGGAGCGCCTGACACAGGATGCAGTTGCTAAGGCAAATCAAACAAAAGAGGTACGTTTCTATAAATCCTAAATAAGTTGTTAATGAACATTTCTTCTGGTATGGCCGTGATTTTAAACTTTGCATGTATCTGTTTAAGATATCCATTCTACGTTCTACAACTTAGAGAAAGGATAGCTTACTTCAGTGCTTCCTAAAGCAAATTGAATGTATTCAGTGGCTAGGGGGTCATTTTTGAGTGAAAAACTTCATGTTCCTCTCACTTTGTACCTTAAAAAAGCCACAAATAGCTCATGCACAGTCCACAAATCATGCTTGTGGCCCGTTGAAGTTTATTTAAAATGAGTTACCCATATGAAACTTACTGGATTATTTTGACTCATGCTGGAGAAGAAGGAACACACCTCACTACAAATTAGTTTTCTTTTTCTATCTAAATTCTATCCTTGCTCTTATTTCTTCAGAGTAAATTCTTGTTTTATTCAATTTCCTGGCATAAAACATGAGAAAGTAATTTGGCTAAGGTCACCTAGTTGGTAAGTGACTGAGCTCAGGCAGTCTGACTTGAGAGCCTGTGCTCTTACGGTAGGTGGGGAGAAGGGTCCATGCGTGGATGTCTGCATGAGCTTGTCAGTCTGCCCAGGTGAAGGGACAGGGGGTTCTGTTGGAGTGTAAGGTTCAAGGTACAGGTGACTGAAATGGTATCTTTCAGTCCTACCTTGTAGGCTGAGAAAAGCTATATCCCATGACTACCTTCCCCTTAAAGAGAAAATATGGAACATTTTTAGATTATATCAGAAATCCAAAGATGCCTAAAGTTTCACTGGCTGTGCAGCGGTGGAGAGACTGTCCTCAGGTCAGCAGCAGCAGTGTCTGATAACACCTGCCTCCTGCAGCAATGATGTTGTAGTGAATGCCTTGGGCACAACTATGTTGTTTGTCCTCCCTGCGCCCTTCCCCCATCTCCCAATGCCTTTTGTCCTCCAGCCCCTTTAGGCAGGCCAAGCAGTGTTAAAAGGTTACTAATGCCAGGGCAGTATCTCTGAAAGACACTGTTTTCTTTTAAAGGTTCTTACTGGCTCGTTGTATATGAATCGAGCCACTGGAAGTTGGGTTAAAGATCAGCTTATTTCACCCTCCCTATAGAACAGACAGTAAATTGTTCTGGTGTAATAAAGTCAATCATTCATTCATTCATTCCTTCAGCAAAACTATGCTTTGGAAGGCAGTGTAAGTAAAGGCTTAGCCAAATCTCTTTGCTCTTGTTTGTAAAGTAAAATTTAGTTTTATTTTTAATGCTCCCAATTTTAATTTTGGTGTCATCTCAAAAGATACCAGCCTATAACAATTTAGTGGAGTTCTTACAGTCTAGTGTACTTATAAGCATTTATAACTACTATTTGAGGCATATGGTAGTTTTCAGGGGTAGCTTGGTGGCCTGTTGGCAAAGGAAAAAAAAGTGGAGCCTCTGGTACTAGATGAACATATAAAGCCACTCAGTACAATTCTGCTCTTTAATTTTGCTCACTTGTGCTTTCGTACCCATTGGTTTCTTCAGACTTACATGTGTTAGCTGTTTTAAAGCAGACAGAGCCTACGTAGATTTACATTACTAGATAAGGCAAGAATTGAGCAGTGACTAAAGCATTTGAATAGTAACAGGTTGTAACATTGAAAGATTGAAAGTACGGGTAGTGTGTTTTTCTTGGCAGTGATTTTATATAATCAGCAGGAAGTACAGACTGTCCTCATTTTAGAATTTGTTTCTGTGAAGTTTGGCATCACCATAGTCACCATCTTTAGTATGTCCATAGGTGCTGAGTGGTTTAGTTTTTCATTTTCCTAGACTGTTTGTTTCAAAGTAACTTCCAAGTCAAGTCTTGAAAGTTAAATTATACATAATTATACATAATCTTGGCAAACACCATGCTGGCTGAAAGGTTCGTACAATTTGTAAAGACAAATTAATGTGCTCAGAAATGGAATATAAGGTACTATTTTTGCCGTTTATACTGTTGCTTACTGTCGCCAAAATAAGACAGTAACAGCCTGGCTCAACTTGCCTTCCATAGCAGTAATGACAAGGCACTGCTGCAATAAGGATATATTGTTTTGTATGCCTGGGCTAAAGGATTGGATGAGCTATAGAGCTTCCTGGTACATTTAAAGGTTAACTTTTCCCCCTAACCGGTTGAAATAGGGAAAACTCGCTAATCACAATCATCACAAAGCAAATATAAACAAAATTCCTAGTTCCCTTGCCCATGCAGCTAAAAGAGTTAAGACACCAGAATAGCTAGGTGCTTTTCAGTTTCAGTTGAGGAAAGGATGCTATTCTTAACCATAAATACTCTCATTTTGTCTTTCTTTTTTTAAAGGGCTTACCTGTTGCTTTAGACAAACATATTCTTGGTTTTGACACAGGAGGTAAGTGATTTTGTTTAAATTCAAACTATTTTTTTTACAGACTGAATACTTGGGAGGAAATAAATGGCCTTAAATGTAAAAATTATGTATTGAAGCAGTGTTCTTTTCTCATAAAACAGATGCAGTTCTTAATGAAGCTGCTCAAATTCTGCGATTGCTGCACATAGAGGAGCTCAGAGAGCTACAGACAAAAATCAACGAAGCCATAGTAGCTGTTCAGGCAATTATTGCTGATCCAAAGACAGACCACAGACTGGGAAAAGTTGGAAGATGAACACTTGAGGACTTCAGCTTCTCACCTACTTAGTACAGTTGGGAACCATACACTTCTGGCATGTTTGGAAATCAAAATGTCACATTCTCGGGGGAGGAAGCCCAGAAAATTGGGTATGTTCTAGAGATTTACCACCATTGCTTATTGCTTTTTTCTTTAATAAAGTTTAGGAAAGTAGAATTTTTATTATGTACTGTATGTTTGCATAAATCACCTTTCTCCTTTGTGGTTAAGGCATATATGCCAACCCCCAGCTTTGTCCTAGAGACAATATAGATCCTTAAGTCATAGGAAAACTTAAAACACTTTATTGGAGTAATCTAGAAAATTTTAAAATTGTTACATCTTTGGTATTTATAAATGTGATACTTTACTTTCTGTGGGTACTTCTATAGAGGCACTACAGGATCAGAAAATGCAAATTGAATCATTTTAGCACCTTTTGATATAAATAGAAATGCACTGATGCAGAGGTAAAAAATCTTAGAACTTTTGTTGGGAAACTATAAATAATTGGTCCTTTCCCATCAGTTCTGCATTGGCTTCTCCAACTGTCAAGGTTTAGGATTATATTGTTATATTGATCACATGTGCTTTAATTTCTTGGCCAGAAGGAATCCATGGCAAAAATCAGGTTTAGAGTCTTAAACTCTAATTCTTAGTTGAATGAATTTGATCTTTTAAATATTAATGATAAATGTTTACAAGAAGTTGCTTTAATAAGCAACAGTTAAAATTCTGTTACCTTTTTAAACTTGCAATAACAACCTTCATTTTTAAAAATACAGTAGTAAAGATTGAGGTATCAGCTTTTCACAAAAGTCTTTTTGCACTACAAAATGTTCATCTTGGATGCTCAGGAACGTCTAATGGCCAATTCCTTTTTTACTTTCTTTGCCTTTGCAGTCACTGTTCTTTAGGGTCCAGGTTCTGATTGTAAACTCCAAGTCTTCCTTTACATTACTGTACTTACTTTCTTCCTGTGAGAGAAGAGCAGGGGTGGGACAGGGTGGTGGGTGAGTATATTGTAACCAAGTTGCAACAGCAAGTCTTTGCATTTTGTGTATAAACTAGGTAGATTTAAGGTAGTAAAGACTGGCCCTCAGGGCAGGAAGAAGGCAATGGTGGCAGTGTCACAGGCAGCAGGGGTAATCAAATACCATATATATCCCTTCTCTACCCTGCTAATTTAAAGGAGCATCCTAAAGCATACTTTTTACCTGTTGGGCAGTAGGGGTAGACTGCAGTTATCCCGTAGAGGTGAGATCGTTGTTCTGGGAGATACTCATCAGTAAACTGGCCACTATGTTTATTTACTGATACAACACCATCCCTGGTAACAGAAAGGAAGAGTGAATTCAGGGACAGTCATTTACTAGATAAAGAAGTCAGTCAGCCACAGAAAATCAGTTGCAATAGAGGAAAATTTCTGGCAGCCTTCTCTGTCCCAGGGCTGGTGCTAAAGCCATACTGAAGTTTGAAGACCATTGCTCTAAATCCATTGCTCATCTCTAGCTGCATGTTAGAATCACATGATGAGCTATCAAATCAGAGTTGTAGGGCATGGTGTAAAGGGCTTAGACTTTAATGTTCCACAGTTCCTCATTTGAGAACTAGTCTAAATAGTATTTTTCGGTCCCTCAGACAATATGTCCACAGTGTCAAAAGCCAACTTAAGCCCTGTAATATAGCTCATGGTATCAAGGGTAGTCTTATTCTCTAAAGAACATATTTAGATTAATATGCTCCCTTTTGAGACATTATCCAATAGCTTTGCTACTTTTTAAGCTATATGTGAGCAATACCATTCGATTTCTGGGTGAAGTAAAAGGATGATTTCAAAAACATGAAAGGATGAAAAACATCCTTGAAGGATCTTATCTGCCAATGAGGAGGTGATGAAACAAAAGCCTCAGAGGGCTTAATGAGTCAAGTCAGGTACTGACTTTTGGTAAAACAAGTGGTGTGTCCTCTGGAACAGTTGGCCTTTTCAGGCTTGTCCAGAATTTGTGGGGCTCACCTCCTCCAGTCTGTGTGGTAGAAGTGATCTGCATAGCTTACGATGCTGAAGGGGTACTTGAGGTTGTTTTGAATGACACGCCGTCCAGTTCCATCAGGTAGTGTACACTCCAGTTTTTTGGTTCCTTTTAAAACAAAGGGGGAAAATGAGGTCCTTCAGCTGCTTTGCCAAAAATGATAGTGACATAGTGATAGTGACACAGTGATAGAATGGGGAAATAGGATATTTTACTTCCATTACAGTCATAGATTAGCAACTGTAAAATTACCTGTCCTATTACTAGTCTCCAGTTTTTAGTAGAGATTCAAACTTTCAATCCTTTTTTGGAAGACAGGATTGCATTTACTGAAATCTGGTAAGTTTCTGCCAAAGTAGGGCATTAAACATAATTATTTTTATAATTTGTGTGATTTCAAGCCTTAGCTTATAAATTATAACATCTGGGTAAATACTTGCCCTTTGTAAGCTATGTCTATAATTACTGAGGCAACCTTTTAACCAAAATCCTTAGTATTTTTAAAATATTTTCTAGGTAGGAGGAAAAAAGTGACTAAAATGGTAACATAACTCATATTTCAATGTAAAGGAATCAGTCTTAAAAATTTTTACAATAGCTAAACCATTCAAGAATTTCCAAGTTTCACATTTCTCATGGAGCCGATTTAAATTTCAAATCCTTTTAAGAAATGTAACTTGTTTTAAACAACTGGGTTATAAAAGTGACCTATGTACATTAGGCCCTTTTATTAGATTACAAATTCAAGAACAGTCTTTTTCATATTCTTTAGTATAGAACTAGACACACAGCATTTTTTCAGTTGTGCTGATAAAAGCAAACAAATGTAGGTTGCTAATACCCATGTTATTACTGAAGGAAGCTACCCTGCTACAATGCTTTCCAAAGAATGTCCTTAGCATTATAACAGATGTTTATAGGTAAGTTATAGTGACCCTCTCCCCGCATAAGAATAACTTCACTTAAGTTTGTCAATTCAACAATGGCTAATTCTTTTAACTGTTAAAAATATGCCAGGCACTCATGGTCAGGCAAGCAGTACAAACTTACTGCTTGATATATCCTTCCCTCCACCCAAACCCCAGAAAGTTCATTTTAAGACTCATTTACTAGTACTTAAATTTACTAGTACTTAAAAGTTTACAGACCAAAGAAAGGAGATCTAAGTGATGGGATTTCATTTTGTAGTAAAATCTGTTAGTGCTCACATTCACTGTGATGAGAGGTTATCTATTTGCATTCCATCAGTAGTATTACCTGCATCTGCCCAGCAGAGCAGTTTAGAGAAAGGGTCAAAGGTTAAGCCATTGGGCAATCCAATGTCTGTATTGATCAGAATTCTTCTGTTTTCTCCATCTAAAGATGACGTTTCAATTTTAGGAGCTTCTCTATTCCAGTCTGTCCAGTACAAGTTGCTGTAAGTTAAAAATCAAGATTGTAAAAGAATAGCCATGTAGCCTGTGGTAGGCAGCATCTAAGCAGCCCCCAGTGATCTCCATCTCCTCATGTATTATAGCCTTAAGCAATCCCCTTGAGTTTGGGCTGCATTAGTAGTGTCTTGCTTCTTCTAGTGCATAGAGTATAGCAGAAGTGATAGGCTATCACTGCCGATATTCGGTCTCAAAAAACTGGTTTCTGCCTTAGGGGCTCTCTCTTGCTCCCTTTGAGGGAAGCTGGATGCCATGTTGCAAGCTACCCTGTAAAGGGGAACATGTGCCAAGGAACTGATGTCCTTGAGGGCTGTTGGCCAGAGACATTAGTCTTGCCTGTAGCCCATGTGAGCATGCTTGGGCTGTGTCTTCCCCGAGCTGAGCCTTGTGATCACTGCAGTTTGGCCATTACCTGATTGCAGCCTTGTGAGAGACTCCATGCCTGAGGGAGCTCGGTGAAGACACACTTGGATTCCTGACTCACAGAAACTGTGAGACTAAATGTTATCTTACACTGCTGAGGGTTTGGGCAATTTCTTACACAGCAGTAGGTAACTAATACACAGCCATATTCCACTTTTACCTGTATCACAAGGTTTTCTGATTATTGTCACTATGTGGGAGAAGTCATTACTAAGTTACTATCAGAATCCCTGCCTCCAAGATACCCCTTGACTCAACTGCCCCAAAACCCTCCGTTTGTTGAAGTCTTGAATTGGATCTTGGGTTTTAGAATAGAAACAAATACAGCTGTTAGGAATGGCTTCGATACAAACTATGGAACTTGAAGAGATGTGGACCAGGGATTTGAGAAGGAAACTGTTCTTTCTTCTGCCAAAAATACAATTTGGTACTTGAAGGGGTACCTGGCACCCAGGGATGGAAACATTTTAAGTTAAGCACTTTACCTTTTAAATGCCACGTTAAAAATGAAATATATTCATAACAGATACTAACGAGGAAATATGGTCCTATTAAGTGGAAATAGGTTATAAGGAAACAAACAGGTTTATCGTTAGAGCAGAAATAATGTTGAAAGCACTTTTTATAAAATACTATTTTATAAAAGCTATAGAAGCTTTGAATAAATCAGTTGGGCTACAGAGAACCTCAGTGAGAGGAGAGGAAGAAACCATAGGTTTCCCCTGTTGCGAATTTCATCCCTTATGCCCAACAGATGAAGCAGAGAGAAGCTGAGAGCAAAAGCTAGAAAGCAGTTTCCACTTTGCGCTAAGGTGGAGGTGGCCAGAGGGTACAGCATGCATATCATTGCTTCATCGCTTCTGATCAGTCTCCTCCCCAAAATGATTTAATATCATCAACAACAATAAGTCTGAAACAAGCTCACACAGATATTTGGTGTAAATTATTTGGGGATTGCCAGAGGAAGAAAGTTGTAAAGGTGAAATCTATAGAAAGCAAATGAGAAATATGCAGGAAGGCTTGACAACCATTCTGTTACGCAGTTGAAGGAGATGTAATTACATGTGTTATATTGCAACCTGGTTCAAGGTGGGTTTTCTTTTTATTAAAAATTCAAGTCCTTTAGCATTTATATTTGCTGTCTGGATAAGAAAGTTCTACTTTCATATTTAAACTCATGGCTGTGATGTGGATTTCAGCTTAAAAGTATGCTTTTTCCCCAGACTCCAGAGACATGGCCAAAGTTTCATTGCCTACAAGATGGCAGCTCTCCCCAGTTTTCAGGTCAAGCACCAAGAAGGAATAAGGGGCCGGGCGCAGTGGCTCATACCTATAATCCCAGCACTTTGGGAGGCCAAGGCAGGTGGATCACCCAGGGTCAGGAGTTGGAGACCAAAATGGCGAAACCCTGTCTCGACTAAAAATACAAAAATTAGCTGGGCATGGTGGCACATGCCTGTAGTCCCAGCTACTTGGGAGGCTGAGGCAGGAGAATTGCTTGAACCCGGGAGATGGAGGTTGTAGTCAGCCGAGACTGTGCCACTGCACCCCAGCCTCGGCAACAAAGCAAGACCTTGTCTCAAAAAAAAGAAAAAAAAAAGAAAAAAGGACCTTCCAAATGTCCAAATGTCAGAAAGGCAAGCCTATGCAAAGAGTTTTTAAGAGGGCTATTAATTCCTGTTAAGTCAACTGGAATAGAGAAGGATACAGGTACTTTTCCTGTGTGTAGAACCCAAAGTTTGAAACCACCTTTGAGGCACTGCACTAAGTATTTCATAGTCAAAAAGCACTTACCTGAAAATTAAAGCTGAAGGTTTTCTTTACTGATTTGAAGGGCATCTGGGAATTTCATTTCGTAGAAACTCCACTTAAACATGGCAAGAGTTTCTCAAGATATAAAAATTCTCCCTGATTGTAACAAGTACTGAGACAGTGAACAAATCCTGTATGTCACATTTGATGACCTTAGCAATTATACAGACAGGGAAAATGTTTATCTTGATTTCTGCTACAGCAACACTGAAGCCAGAGGTGTCTGAGCTTTGGCTAATGTCACTTGATGTAGGTCAGCCCTACTGTGAGCGTCAACCCTGGTTTCTAAATGTGCTGCTGGAGGAATCCCACTTCACTTCCAGTTTAAGTGTCAGCTGAGGCCTCGCCTGATCATTTGATTCAGAGTAGCCCTAGTTCTCACAACACTATCTGAATTTTCTACATATCACATCACAGACTAATATTGTTTATACCAGTCTTGTTTCCTCCTAATAAAATATAAGTGCCATGAAAGAACAGACCTTGTCTTTTCCTAGAACAGGTCCTGACACCTCTTAGATCCTCAGTAAATCTTTGTTACATGAATGCATTTGAGCTTTCACTCTCTTGTTCTGACCTTCCCCACATTGTATTTAAAACCCAAGGGCTTCACATCAGGATCTACAGGTAAGAGAAGAATTAGGGAAGCCCAGCTGACCCTCGGATTGGATCCACAGCGATGGCACGGGGATTCACCAGATCTGTGTAGAAGAGGACCTTGCGCTCAGAGCCATCCAGCAGGGCGCTCTCTATCTTATCCAGGACACTGTCCGTCCAGTACATTGTTCTGCGGATGTGGTCTATGGCAAGTCCTTCAGGGCTTATCAGACCTGGAAATAAAGCAAAGTCAGGACTGGAGTGTTTGCAGGATATGGAGGGCAAACCTGAAGCCCTCCAACGGTCGGGTGGGCAGGGGGGTCAGCAGGGGAAAGCAAAGCCCAAGTGTCTCCAAGTCCCCAAGAACCAGGTTAATAGAGAAACAAGTACTTTTGTTACATATTCCACTACCTCTAGCTTCTAGACCAGCAGACCTACCAGTTTGATGACAACCGGCATCCACAGTGCCAGAGCCAGGCTGAATAAACGAAGGCGTCACCCTGAATTCTTACCATGAATTCTTTTAAGAAGTGCGCACAGTAGGAATCACCTATTTCATTCCGTATGTATGAAGGTGTTTGCTTACAGAGGGGGCTAGTCTTATACAGCTCAATAAAATGACTTGCCTAGAACTTAACCTCCCCTAATGGAGAAAAATCGAGGGGAGACTTCGGCGTAAAGTAGACAAGTGACTTTGTAGAATCAAATGAAATGCAGACTGCTGAGTGAAGCTGCTGACCTGAATTCACGATCGTCTCAGGCTCTGCTCCCAGTTCCAGACCAGCACGGCTGATTGTCCGTCCAGCAACATCTGTCCAGTACACCATCCTCTCCCGGCAGTCGTAATCAATTCCCACGATTATGGAGCCCTTTGTGCATCAAATCATAGAATTAGAAGAATTAGGTTACATTTCCCCTTTGTTCACACTCAGCTGCCTTGCTCATGCACAGCTGCAGTGAGCAACACTGCACTGTGATCCTGCAGGCAACAGAGCAGAGTAGCTGGACATGTGGGCACTCGGGTGAAATCTAGGCTCAGCCACTTAGTAGCCATGTGGCTTTGGGCATTTAACCTCTATGCGTTTGTCTCATTTGCAAAATGAGGCCAATAGTGTACCTGCCTCATATGGTTGCTATAAAAATTAATACTATAAGTGCTTGTAAAGTGTCCTAATCAGTAATTGGCATACAGTAAGCCCTTCAATAGGTGCTATTATGACTGATGATTTAAAAAAAAAAAAAAATCAGCCCCTTCAGTAATTAGAGGACATGGCCTTAAGCAAAATAAGTTTTTAATATTTTACTGGGTAAAAACTGAATCTTTTCCCAATGTCATCAGCACTTTTCCCAGAGCCTTAATAAAATTTGCCACTATATGCCAACAAAATCTACTCTCCCCTCCTCTGTGAATGAGATCTTTCCTCTACCTGAAGTACAATCACCTATACTCCTGCCCCTGACTCTTAGGAGGCAAGATGTTGGTTATATCCTGTACTAAAGAAAGTGTAGTCAGGCACAGTGACTCACGCCTGTAATCCCTGTCCGTTGGGAGGCCAAAGCAGGAGGATTGCTTGAGCCCAGGAGTTCGAGACTGAGCAACATAGTGAGACCCCGTCTAAAAAACAAAAAATAAATGAACTGGGCATGGTGGCACGCACCTGTAGTCCCAGCTACTCAGGAGACCGAGTTGGGAGGATCGCTTGAGCCCAGGAAGTCAAGGCTGCACCAAGCCGAGATGGTGCCACTGCACTGCAGCCTGGGCAACACAGAGCTACACCCTGTCTCAAAAGAAGGAAAAAATCTAATTTATTGGGTTAAGGAACTAGGGAGTAGTGGTTATCCAACCTCTGGCTAGTGAGGTCTCTCCTCCTCATTGCTAAATAAATGACAAGTCTTTTAAAAAAATAATAAAAATAAAAAAAATGCTGAGTCTGATATTTTTCCTCAACTCCATGCAGAACTTGCTTCATTCAGTTTCCAATCCAGGCTCCTGCTCTGAGAAGCCCAGCAGATGTGCAAAGCCAACATTCAGGGGTTAGCTGGCTGTCCCTGAGGTCATACAAGTTCCTGCCTTGCCTAACAGCCTCCTGGGGCTTGGCTTCACTTACGCCCCCTGGGAGCGTAGTCAGCCAAGAAAGATTGTACAAAACGGGATTTGGCTTCAGTGGAAAAACAGGCAGCTTATATGGGGGGCGGGCCTAAGGTCAACTACACTTTTATTTGAAAATTGAAAAGTCGTTTGTCCCAGGCAAGAGTACACATTCAAATGAGCTTCCATTAACCCGGGAATCATGGGATTCATAAACCCATGTCATAACCTCAGGTTAGAGAAAAAGTCCCAGTTTAAGTAAATTTCCTTAAAATGTGCAAATAACCCACGTCCCATTTCTTTCAGTTCCACTACCACTACCATCACCACCCTGTCCTGGTCAGGGGCATGTTCAGAAAGGCAATCAAGCTCTATGACTTGAATAAAAGAGGGTTAGCTTAAAGTGATGTCAACTTCTTAGTCTCTACCTCTTCCAGAGAAAGTTTTACAAAACAATGTGAGAGTTTTCTTGGGGGAGGGGACAGGACCCAACAAACTCGAATCTTAAAAAGAACACATCTCTTCCTAAACACTGGCTGCCTCTAAGCTTTTCTGGAACCAAATAAGTGTCGTTCATTAACAGAAGTAAATGTAAACTTGAATGCCGTACTATTCTTTCTCAGGGATGAGCAAGTGCCTGGAGTGTGAAGTTCAACAATGGAATCAGATGATTTTCCACTGTGTCGATGCCATTCGAGACAGCCACCCTTTTTTTTCCTCCATTTTTGAGAAAACCCGCTCCCCAAAATGGGGTGCCTTGCATTAGGGAGGCTGCTGGCTCAGGAAGCATCAAACATCCCCTGGGGAAGGCTCCATCCACTCCTCTCCCAGCATCACACACTCCTCAAGTTTTCATCTATGGAGTCAGGGAAGGTTAGGAAAGAAGTGGGTCAAAGGGACAGAACCAAAGTGAAAGGGAAGGGCTGCAACGGTGAGACAGTCATTAACTGACTTCCACTTGGAGTCCCCAACAAACCGCAGAGATCACACCTTGTGACTAGTTGTCCTGTCACTTTGATTTCCAGGATTTCCATGGAGATGTTATGACATACAACCCTGGGGACTTAGGGTAAGAGTCGGTCCATTTTCCCTTGGATCACCATACAGCCTCCATGTGCTGACAACTCTAAAGTTCCCTTTCCATATTATCTGAAACTCCATGAACGAACCAGAGAGCACAGCCTTGGTCAGTGACAGGTGACTCCCAGCAAGAGAGAGCCCTGGTCCTATGGTGGTGGCATCGGGCCCATGCCGATGGGCTGCAGCTCAGAAACCCTCCAGGACTTCCCTGCACCAGTCCACCTCACTGCAACAGGGCCTGTGAGGTGGCTCCCACTGGGAAAGCCACGCAGCCCTGCCCCCTACAGGAGAAATCCACTTTACATGCAGAGACAGCAGGGTCTTAGCTGCATCCTTCTGAAGCCTGGTGCCATTGAGGGGTAAGTAGCCAATCTGCTGGCCCTGAGTATAGAGCAGGAAGGTGCCCACAGATGGAGGGGTCACATCTGGCCGGGGCGTGGGCCGGACCATGGGTGGAGCGACGGTGGGTATACCTGTGGGAGAGAGGGTGGGAGAGCAGGAAGGGGAACAAGGGCAGGCAGGGAGATGGGAAGAAAAGTTACTTTACCACATACCAGAGCCTCCAAAAATATCAAAAGTTCTTCGCCCTACGCAGATGTGCTCCAGATGTTCTTCAAAAGAAATTCTAATTTCTAGGGTTTTTTTAAGGATCAATTATGTAAATCTGCCATTTACTAGGGAAGAAGACAGCAAAACACTTCCCTCAGAACAAAGCAGAACAGATTTTTTTTTCAAGAGAAAAAAAAAACAGAGCCAGCATTGTGTCAGCTTCCTTTTAGGACTCCAGAGTGACACGTGTCCCCTGTCACCCTGGGCTGGGGAGGGGGAGTAACTGCCTGCTGAACCGAGTTGCAGATGTTCCAATTATGGAAGCTGCTAATGACAAAAACCAGACACCAAACGCAAATTGGGATCTTGTGTGGACCAGATTATAAATCAACATAGCACATAGTGACTTCTTTCATTAGACCTGGTGACCCCACATGTCCCCCCACTTCACCACAGCAGGCACCATCCCTAGCAAAGGCCTTAGATACAGCTGAGGGGAGCGGGGGCGGCCAGGTGCTTACACGCAGGGGTGGTGCCTGGCTGGGAGCGGGTGCCCTGCACCTCTCTGCCATCTTTGTCCACACACCAGCAGAAGTCGCTCTTTCCGTGGCACTGCAGGGGGATGAAGTGGCCCAGGTCATCGCACTGGGGCACGTACTGGTCATCCCGGGGGGTGCCACCGTAGTGCTCCAGCAGGTTTTCCCTCCAGCGCTCACAGATGGTCGGGGGCCTCTGGGTGGGCTCTGAGCAGATGGGGAAGAGGGAAGAAGAAAAACCTTTGATTGTGAGTCAAGGACAGAATGCAAAATGTAGCTCAAGACCCCATGCCTGGCCTCCTGGCCTTCCTTCTCCTACTGTCCAGGTCTCAGCCAAGCCCGTGGACACCAAACTTGGGAAGCAAATGTGTTCTAAGTACTTCTCCACCATGGGAATCAGAAATAGATCATGTGATGCTTCTTTCTTGCCAGGAGGGTCTGTCATCAAGGCCCAGCCACATCAAGAAAGAACAAGAGGAGGTAAGATCAGCAGTGCAGCTCACTCAGCCTGGGAAGGGGCATGATCTCCTTCTGGCCAGGAGAGGCCCACAAGGCCCATCCTGCCTGTACCTCGGGCGCCTCTGCTGACAGAGCACTTGTGCAGGTGATCCTTGGGGACTCAGTAGCCGAGGTGATGCTTAAAGCCAATTTGTATTCATTCCCCACTTGCTTCAAGCTTCAAGCTCGAAGCTGCTGAGGAGAGGGCCATCTTGCGACTGGCCAGTGTGTGTCTTAGAAAGTATTACTGAAAGCCCAGCGCCACGGTGCCCTCTGTCTACCCACTGGAAAACTACATGGAGTAAAGGTAAAACTGAGTGGAATTAGTAGTAAAGCATAGCAGAGGTGGTGGCAAACAGCTTAAAAATGGTTCTTCCACAGCCCAGTTTCCAGAATTGCTTTAGCCACCCTGCGCCTGGGATTATCTCAAAGCTGAATCTTTTCCTGCAGGCTCTAGCTTCCTGCCGTGTTGCCCTTTCCCCCCCTTTCTCCAGCATCCTCTCCTCTTGTCCCCTCCCTCACAGCTCACTCCATGGTTGAAGTCCTGCTGGCTTTGGTTGCAAAGCAGTTTCCTCCCAGGCTGCTTCCACAGTGCCATTGAGGCTTTGTCCAAAATACAGGTTGTTCTGAGAAGACTCTGCTGCAGAAGGTTATTGAGATAACTTGTTCATTTATGTTAGGACTACCCAAAGGAACTTAAACAAGAGGAGGTGCTTCTCCTTCCTTTTTAATTCCTGCAACTTAAAGCACATGGTCTGCAGAATCACATAGCCAATAACCCTACTTGCTACCACCATTTAGATGTATAATAGAAATCAGAAACTAATAGAAACTGAGCCCCTGCCTTCACCATCAAACCAGCTGCTCCCCTGGTCTTTCCCATATGAGTAAATGGCACCTCCATTTTTCCACTGCTCAGACCTAATTATCCTTGACCCTCCTTTCTCTCACCATCCACATTTGATATGTCAAAAACTCTTTTTAGGGGTAACTTCAGAATCCACTTAGAATATCTTTACTTCTCACTACTGCACCCCCTCACCCTGGTCAAAAAGCCTCATCCTCTCCCTGCAATTTCTGCAACAGCCTTCCCACTGGTTTTCCTGCTTCCACCCTTCTATGCCCTCACTCTCTCCAAAACCAGTGTAAATTCAATTAGCAGCAGCCAGAATGGCCCATTTTAAACATAAAGGCATTTCATGTCACTCCGTTCAAAACCCTCCAGTGACTCTAAAGAACAAAGCTGGGAGCATTATGATCAGGTTCCAGCACCTACAATTCCTCTTGGAACACAAAAGACTGCGAATGAAGTTGTCAGAGCTCAAACCCAACTAGCTCTAGCTCAACTGCACGACTCACCAGAATTGGGGGAAGCGAATGCCGTTAAGTTGTCACTGTAGCTCATGACCCATGGGAGACAAAGCTCTTTTTAAGACCCCGTGGAGAAGGTAAGACTCTGACTTCTTCAGCCAAATGTGTCTCAAGGAACACAGAGAGGGAAATGCTACTTCCTCAAACACTGCAGGATTTCCTGGAGAAGTTCCCAATTCCACCCCTGCTCCACATTCAGAACTCCAAGGATCCATTTTTGCTTTAAGGGACCACCCTGTGCTATGTGTCTGCATTCCAAACAAAGAGACATGCCTAACTCCTGGGAAATGGGTGTCCCAAATCACTCATACATGGGCATCCCTTTCATTCGTTACTATTTGCTACTTTTCAACCCAACCATGAATTTCTTTCTCTTGTGCTTCTGGTTGGCAAGGGTTTAAGTATTTTGAAATTGTGGGCACAGAGCGTCCTTACCCTCCCTCAAGCTGACCCCATCAAACATGAGACCAGTCAGAGATAGCAGTTGGGGCCAAACCAGCGCCGAGAGAGTGTGGGCAGGAAAAAGTCCGCACAAGAGAACACGACCCTATTTTCGTCATTCACTTCTCAGTCTCTTGGTTCCCCCCCCTTTAAAATCTTGGTTCCCCCTTTAAAATCATTGTCCTTAACACATGCCTGTCTTAATAAATTTAATCGAATTCTGAACCATTCCCCAAAGGCACCTCCCAACCATTTGATTTCTTCAAATCCCAGATGGAGTTAGAACCAAGACATTTTCAAAGAGAAGGCATGAGGGAAATAGAATTTCTCTGTACCTTTTTTGGACCTTTAAAATCTTTTCCTAAAAATAGAAACAAAGAGCGACTATGGATCAAACCATTACCAATTTTTACCTATCTGAGAACCGCCAAGACCTGACCTTTTTTTAAAAAAACAAAAAAAACAGAGTCTCACTCTGTTGCCAGGCTGGAGGGCAGTGGCATGATCTTGGCCTACTGCAACCTCTGCCTCCTGGGTTCAAGTGATTCTCCTGCCTCAGCCTCCCGAGGAGCTGGGACTACAGGTGCGTGCCACCACGCCCAGCTAATTTTTGTATTTTTAGTAGAGACGGGGTTTCACTATGTTGGCCAGGATGGTCTCAATCTCTTGACCTCGTGATCCACCCGCCTCGGCCTCCCAAAGTGCTGGGATTACAGGCATGAGCCACCATACCCGGGCAACAGTTAACACCATTAAAAGGGAAAAAAACTATTGGTAATTCTCCAGTTCTTCTTACTTTCACACATTAAAAGCCAAGACTAGTATTTATGGAACCCTTCTCAATAGTAAAAATGGATCTTTGGATAGCAAGCTGTGTCGGAATCATTTTGGCTAAAACGGTATCAAGCCAATCCTATGCTCTTCATTAAATAAAGTTCTTCTGTAATGATTAAAGAAACAAGTTTTACCTATCCCTGAATAATTCAACAAGGAACAGAAAGTTGCCTTATCTGCCTGCTGTTGGAATCGACTGTGAGCACTTGATCACCATGCCCCACCCAGCTGGGGAATGCTCTAGATGGTAGCAGGCATGTTCTCAGGTTGTATGGGCTAACAGAAACCAGATGTCTGTGCCTCCTCTGAGATGTTGGGCTGGGTTACAGAGGGCTGGGATTGTCAGTTTAGAGAAAACTAACTGGCTCCACTAGCAGGTGTTATTTTTCTAATTTTTCCTATTGATACTAACAGAGCGTTCATACTGTTTCCTGCCATTCAGAAGGCAGAGGTAAGTGAGATAGTTACATAGGAAAGCAGTTTTCCTTCTGGTCAAAACGCCAGTCTGGCCAGATCTTCTAACTGTCAGATCTCCCTAAGCTGCTCTATAACAGGTCTAGGGTAGTGTTCTCAGTCTGACCTACATACACAATCTCAACTTTCAGTTTGTACTGGACAAGGGTCTAAGAGGCAAATGTGTAACAGATCATATGTGTCATGTATTGCATATCTCTATGTCCTTATGACACAAACATGCATATTTGTACGCACTATTATTCAAGTCTTCTCAGGAGGAAAGAGGCTATGAAGGATGGTGACTGGCCCCGTGCCTGCGTGGTCTGGGCAGGAATTATGATCTACCTACCACCAGTGCCATTCTGCTTCTTGAGCCCCAGGCCTAAGCTCACCTGGTGATGGTCCACAGTGAGGCGGGGTGGAGCCAGGTGGAGTCTGGGTACCAGGAACTTCATGACCATCAGGGTCCACGCACCAGCAGAAACCAGTGCTGCCATGACACTGTAGGGGCAGGAAGTTGCCCTGCTCGTCGCATTGGGGGATGTGGAACCGGGCCCCAGGGTAGGCATACTGGGCCTGGGCATGGCGCTGCTGTTGTTCACAGGGTGTCAGGCTTGAGGTGGAGTCTTCCAGGATCAAGGCAGAGGAAGACACAAAAGAGAAATAGAAGGCATTGCAACCCATCCACTTCACCAGCCCACAGCGTGGCATGGAAAAGCGCTGGGATTTTGGAGCCCGAGATTCTTATTTTATAATACCTTGCCACTATTTACCTCATTTCTCTCCAGTTCTTCTAGTTCATCCTATAGGTCCCTAGCTGGCTCTAAGTGTAAAGCAGCCCGGCCCCTCCCTATTGTCATCTGGGGAAAATGAGGGATAGCGGTGGCATCTGCCCAACATCCCAAGAGACTCTGGAGAAAACAAGCCAAAGCTCATTCATGCCCTGAGGCCCACAGGTTAAGTCTGAGAAGCTGCAAGCCAACGGCACTCACCACTCACGAGACTGCACCAAGCTAGCCAAGCTCCTCTAACACGGTCGCCACGGGCTTAACCCTGGCTACCGGCGCATAAGGCTCTGCTTAATAAGCTTGATCTCAACACTTCATCCAAATTGCACTCATCAAGGTCAAGCAGATCACTAGGGCAGTTAACCAGAGGGGCTATGAGGTAGGACGATGGGTGGGTCGTCTCCCGCAGGCCTCCAGAAATGTTACGAATCAGTGAACTATCAGTAAACTAGGCAGCAGGAGGTAACCAAGGAAAAAAATCCACAGCTTGGAAAATCCACCAAGGCTCCAGACCAGGCTAAATCAAGAGTGGGCTGTCATAGAAAAATATCCTTGAAGGAGCTAAGAGATTCATGTGCCTAATCTGGCCCTCTGAAACTTACCAGGTATGCACTGAAATCCATCCCCATAATATCCGGGTTGACAACGGCAGGAGAAGGAACCAGGAGTATTGTAGCAGGTAGCTGCAGGGTGACATCTGTTTTCTGAGCATTCATCTACATCTGCAGAGGTCAGAAACAGAAGAAAGAAGCAAAGAACACTATGACTTCACTCACACAATCTGTGCGACTGCATGGGCTTTGGATATGTGGATCAACACCCAGTGAGGTGTCAGCTTCAGAAGACCTTTGAGCATGAGCAGAAAAATGCTGACACCTAAAGGTAAGCTTAATAGAAAGGAAGAAAAAAAATCAAGGAACATGTGAGTTAACACACTAGACTAAACGTGTTCAGTGTAGAAATCAAATGGGTAGTCGCTCACAGAAAAAAACAACACATCTTACAGCATGTTTCATTGACAGTGAATTCAAGGAAGTTATTACCTTTGAACTAACCTTTAGACTATAAGTCATTAACTTCCTTTCAGCAATGCTGCAATAAAGACAAATATATCCAACAATGGTTTTTTTTTCTTTCGTTGTTGGCACCATCTCCCTGTAACATTCGTCTGTAGATGCAAAGGAGCCAGATGAGGCCCAAATATTTTTCAGCTAAGAAGCACATTCTGTCTTGACTAATTAGAATCTTACTATCTAGAACCACACCCCCATTAACCAGGTATTTTCTTTACTTTCCACTTTTAGAAGAAATAAGAAAAAAATATTATCTAGGGTTTTGAAATAATACTTACAAAATGGAAATCTAAATTTGCCAGGCATATCAGTACAAACAATTCAGGCCCCTACACTCTCCACATAGCACCATGAGGATTAATTTTCACCATCATATTTCTCAAAACAACAAAATCCTGACACTTCAAACAAAAGCCAACTTACATTCCTTTTATTTAATGAAATCCGCATATGCCGACAATAGCAAGTCACCCACCCCTCCCATCCCCAGCAGAAAAAAAGCAGCTCTGAGAATTGAATGGTTAAAACTAACGCCCAAGGGATGAGATAAGCTACTTTAAGAGACAGGAAGTCTTTCAGAGTAAAAGGAGGATAAACAAAGGGTGTAGGTCCGATTAAGGCTTGGCTGAAAATAAAACAAAGCAGTAGTTCCATCCATAGTAATAACCAAGTTTCTTTAAAATGTGTGAATAGAAAAAAAAAAAATGTGGGATGGTGTGATCAGTGTGAAACCTAGAAAATGAGAATGTGTTGCATCAATACGGTGCAGCCCATGGTAGAGACACATCAGCATGGGAAGACAGATATTTGAAGCCCTAAATTTGATGTGAATGGGTTGGGAACAGGGCTAGCTCCTCACCCAGGCTCCCATGACCCACATGGAACCTCTTCTAGAGTTACCTGCACCACCCTTTGTCCAGACCACACTGTCACTGGGTCATCCTCTAATAACTAATGTGCTTTCTCGAATACCATTAAGTACACACACTGGGCATTAAGCGTAGGTGTTCTGTTCCCTAGAGAGGAATCTCTTATGTTATAATTAGAAGGTAAGTATTCTGCTTATCTTCTGTCTCTGGGGAGTTTAGTCAGCATATATCAGTTCCTAGGAGTCCTCCCCCAAAAATTCTGAACTCAATGCAACCCATAGAGTCTCCACCCAGGTGAGTGGTTGGCCTCCCTGGATACCATCATTTCGCCTATAAAGGCAAGAAAGCAGATATCAATTCATCTGCAAGGGTAGAAACAAACCAGATTGGCTCCTCAGTTACCCTGAAATCAACCAATGTTGTCATAATTATCCCTGAGCTTGGCTCTGCCTCTTCAACAGGACAATTCAAATGCCCAGCTGGGCAAAACTGGTGACCATCCAATACCTTGGACCTGGAATAGGCTGTAAAACTGGCTGTAAAACTAAACCTGTAAAAATTAACATTCAGCCGAATGCAGGAAATTAAAGCTATTCACAATACGCATGCTAAAAGTACTTCTAATGGTAACAGGAACCCCAAGCAATGACAGGAAGCAGGAATTCCTGAGACACAGGGCCTATTTCTGGAGCCCATGGAGCAGTTTCTTATTGTTACTTTTGAACTCAAGAGAGAGGGGATTCCCCAGAGCTACCAAATAAATCAACGGTGTGCTTAGAACCTTCAGCCTAAGAATTCTGACTCAATCTGAAAGACCAGCCTTCCTCCCCACAGATACTGTTGGCATCATCAAAGATACTAAAGTTCTGGGTAGACAGAAACTATTAGAAATGACCAACAAGGAGGAGAAAGTCCCCAAAGAGACTGAAGATATCACAAGTGAGAAATTCCTGCCCCAAAGATTGAGACTCCCTGAATTCGCAGTCCTGACTCCTCCTTGGAGGGCCTCTCACACCATGATAGAGACTAGAGTCCCGGGACCTGGGCATGCACAGGACATCAGATGTCAAGAGAGAAAACATGGAAAGACTTTCAGCCCCCTGGCAAGGGAGGAACTTTATTGGAGAAGGAGAAGGAGGCCACTGCTTATGCTTAGTCATTACTAGCAGGGGCCTGTAGGGACTGCTATAAAGACAAAAACGTTCAAGAAGTCGTAGAGCCCCTTTATCACTCAGGTAATGAGAGGTAGCTTAATCTCAGTGCAATCCTACACTCTATTAAGCTAGTAAAGAACCTGTTTGGAAAATGTGTTAAAAATCCTTCGAGTTCATGCTTTCGTGCTTCAACATCCTTCTCACTGCCCAAGTACTGAGCAAAACCAGCAGGAACTGTTGGATGATAAACCTAACCCCTGGCCTCGAGTTCCCCCAGGCTCCCGCCCCTTCACCACTGCCCACTTGCCTTTGAGCCCAGTGAAATTTCTTGGCATCAATTAACCTCAAACCCATCCCAGATCCCAATAAAGGATTCAACCCACAGGTCCCACTCTCTCTCTACTGCACAATCTGTTCAATTGGGCACCCTGCTGATTGTACCCCTGTATGGCATGTGGTGAACCCACTCCAGACCTGTAAGTGTAATAAACTACTTCCTTTCAAGCTTCATCCTTGCCTCCTCCTATAACCACACTGATTTTACCATACCATACCCAACATCTACCTACATTCTTGGAACAGGAAACCTGGCCAGGCACATAATGGAGATCATGCTTTCGTTATCAAAGAAGAGAGAAGCTAGGCCGGGTGTGGTGGCTGACGCCTGTAATCCCAGCACTTTGGGAGGCTGAGGGGGGTAGATCGATTGAGCTCAGGAGTTTGAGACAAGCCTGGGCAACATGATGAAACCCCATCTCTACAAGAGATACCAAAATTAGCTGGGCATGCTACTTGGGGGGGCTGAGATGTGAGGATCACTTGAGCCTGGAAGGCTGAGGCTGCAGTGAGCTGTAATCACACCACTGCCCTCCAGCCTGGGTGATAAAGTAAGACCCTGCCTAAAAAAATAAATAAATAAATAAAAATTAAAAAAAAATAAGAAAAGAAAAAACGCCAGGAAACCCAAGAAAGAATAATGTCAGTATCTTCCCTCAGGCCCCTGAGTAATGATGGCTCTGGGTAATGGGCCATCTGTAACCCAGCTTCCTCCACTCACACTTGCTCCTCCTGGGAAGGTCCCAACTCAAGACAATCTGCTTTTGCACCTGGCCAAGTCACAACAATCCAAAAGGACAAACATGTCTGAGAAATATCCAGCTCACACCAACACAAGTTTGAAATCACTCCAGATTGAGGGAAGCTGCAGAGGATTTAACTCTACTTGGATAAAAGCCTCCTGGCTAGTGACTCAGACCAGACTGAGAACCCAAATCCAAGTGCAGCCTCTCCAGGGAGCCGGTTTTTTTAACAAACTATGGCTGGAGAAAAACTCCCACACCCCCTTATTGTTAGTTTGATGGAGTAAAAGAGCATGTGCTTTAACAATGCATAGCACCCACAAAATACAGCCTCTGTTCTTTGGTCACTGAGACACATGTACCCTATGGAATGCCTTTAAATATGCACACATACACATATATTTCAATATTTATTCTTCAAGTTACTTTCATGATTAGCCTAGCCTGATTTATGCATGGGTCTTTAGGAAAATGACCATTCATTCTCTACTACTCCACAATCTGAAAGTTTAGAAGACAACTACATGGTAAGTGGCTGTGGTAGGCAGCCTCTAAGATGGCCCCCAACAGTCCCTACCTAGTGGTATTCATGGTCTTGTGTAATCCCCACCCTTTCAGTAACTTGCTTTTAATTAATAAAGCAACATTGAAGGGATGTCATTTTTGTGATTATGACTTCCATCTTGCTAGCAGACTTTCTCTGGCATTAATAAAGTAAGCTGTAGTGTTAGAGAGGCCCAAGTGGCAAGAAACTGAAGGCAGCCAACAACCAGCAAGGAACCAAGGCTTTCAATCCAATGGTCCTCAAAGAACCGAATCCTGCCCATAACCACGAGTGGATCTTTCCCCAGTTAAGCCTTCAGATGAGACCACTGACCCACCAGACACTTTGACTGTGGCCTTGTGAGAGATCCTAAAGCACAGGACCCAGCTGAGCCATTCCCAGGTCCCTGGACCACTGATATTAAATGTCTATTGCTTGAAGCTGCTACATTTTAGGGTAATTTATTATACAGCAATAGATAACCAATACACTGGGGGAAGCACCTGATGGGTTTGGCATATTTTTAGTTTGTAGGCTTTGGAAAGAATCCTAAAAGCAGAGAACCAGAAATAAAATAGGGACAATTGAAAATGACAAAAATAGGGCAAATTAAAAAATGACAATACTTAAATTCCCAATATGGAAAAGTAGTCAATTTCAGAGCCCTAACATGACCCCAGAAGGTAATCAAAGTCTTGCAGGACAAGTAGAAGAAAAAAGGAGGGAGAGAATCATTGTAGAAGTGATCAAAGCATGCAGCATCTAATCTAAATTAATATTCTGATTAACACTCATCATATCTAGGCTGAAATTAATTTCAACTTCTTTGCTTTAAACCAGAGAGCTAAGGAACTAAATATTTTAAAAGCACCATCTCTGCTGATCTGAGCAGCCAGATGTTTAAATAAATTCTACAGACAAGATTTTTCTCAGTGGATTCACATTTCTTAGAGCTGGTACTAGGGTTAAACCAAACAAACGATGTGTTCCACACGAAGGAAAAGCATCATTCCCACTGTCAGGCTTTGGCACCTCACCCTGAACTCCATACCTGTAGAGGGTATCTGTAAAGAGTGTATCTATTATAGATATACTCAATGTTTTCTCACCAGTATATCTATGACAGATGGAGCTCCTGGCTGGTTAAGTGGGACAAACATCTGTGAATTACAAATCTACCTCATTCTAATTGGGAAATACTCTTTATCTAGAGCTAGGGGTGTTTATTCAAGAGGTCCATAGTCTTCTTACATTACTGGGCCTAATACCAAGACACACAGGAATCCCAACTGAGGGTTACCATCTGTATTAGTCAATTTCCTGTTGTTTATAATAGAATATCTGAAACTGAGTCATTTCTAAAGGAAAGGAATTTATTTCTTATAGTTCTAAAGGCTGAGAAGTCTAAGGTCAAGGGTTGAAATCTGGTGATGGCCTTCCTGCTGGTTGGGACTCTCAGTAGAGGGCTGAGGTGGTGCAGGACATCACATGGTGAGGGGGCTGAGTGTGCTAACATGTTATTTTAGGCAGGCCTCCCTTCTTATCAAGCCTCTAGTTCCATTCCCAAGATAACCCATTAATCCATTGATAGGGGCAGAGCTCTCATGATCCAATCACCTTTTAAAGGCCCTACCTCTCAATACTGCCACAGTGGAATGTAAGTTTCAACATGAGTTTTGAAGAAGACGAATATTCAAGCCATAGCTTCAACTTTCAATACCACCACCAAAAGTATCTATTTAGTGAAAGAAAAAAATAAAAGGGCTGAACTGAGCCACGGCTTTGGGTTAGTTCAGCATAAATTGTTCGAGAAAACCATGCAGCAGAGCTTCTGTACAGCACAAGTGGAAAGAGTAAGAATGAGGCTCAGAAACCACCATGTGCACTTGCCCCATCCAGAGAGAAGTGGAGGGCTGAGCTGCTGTCACAGTGACCTTTGTTCTGTCAGTAACACATGGCCTCAGCCTGCTGTCCACTCAGCCCATCCTGCTGAAACCAAAGGGGAAAAAGGAATGGGAGAAGGATGAGAATCAAACATCTGGTGAGGAGGAGGGAGGCCCGTGCTATTCGGATCTGGTATAAAGCTCCCAGGAATTGCAAAGCTGTTCTTAGCACATCAGCTCGGTGGGCCTGGGCGGATGGAGGCAGATGCACACAGCAACACCAGGAGCAGGGGAAAGTCTGCCTTTTAAGGTTCATGTTCCCCAGCAGGCCCTTTCCCATTCTAAACACGTTTCCCACCATTCTCTCATCCCCAGTGTGTCGTTTTACCCTAACTGTGTGTGTGTGACTCACGTGAAACTGAGTTTCAATCTGATCACATACCACAGGGTATGTTTGGAAAACCTTTTGTGATTTAAGATTTATTTAATGATTTCTATTTTAAAGTACTCCTAATCCTAGTTTCATGGACATTTATACTCAGAGAGTTATGTCGAGCCTTTAAATAACAACCTCACACATTCTTTCTAAGTTAAATTCCAATGGCTAGCCTTGCAAATGGTTTGGTGCTTTTATAAAATACTGCATTAAGTCTTAAAGATAGATTTCTGGGAGAAAAGTTTTGATATGTGTCTTTTTATATATGTGGAGTTCTCTCTTTTGAAAGAGGAGAAAAATTAGAAATTACATATGTGTTTAGAGATTGCTTAAAATATCACTTAAAGCAGAAGAGCACAACCATAAGTGTTGAATTAAGGTGGAGACCGCCTAACAGGAAGGTATGCAACTTTCCCTAAATTCCTCCAGCCTGCGCTGGCTCCAAGGAACCAAGGTTAGAAGCTCCCGAGTGCTACAGGAACGTCTCCGCCAAGGAAGCCATATATGCTCGCCCATCTAGTCCAGAGGAAATCACCCTTGGCTCCCCTTTCTAACTCAAAGGACGCTTTTTTCTCACTATTTTGGCAGCCACAAGGCTGTTAGAGTCAAAGGAAGTCCTTTGTCTTTTCTGGGAGAGCTCCATCTATGTGGGGATGTGCATCCAAAGCAACTTTCCAGTCATTGAGGCTGACCTGCAGTTACTCACCAGTGCACTGGTGCCCATCGCCGGCATAACCAGGCAGGCAGGCACAGCTGAACGTGCTGCCTCCATGGTGAACACACCGGGCCTGCCCAGCAGGAGCACAGGTATGACTGCCATCCTCACAGGGGTTGGCAGGTGGGGTGATCACTGAAAAGAGAAGAAGATAAGGGCATCCAGAGTTTAGGCCTGCAAAGGATGAGCCTCACTCCTCATGGCATGATCCACAGACCAACAGCAACAGACCAGGGAATGCAGGTTCTCAGACCCTACCCAAGGTCCAGTGATTCAGAATCTGGATTTTAATAAGATTCCTAGATGGTTTGTATGCTATTAAAGTTCAAGTACTGGTATGAATTTGCTGTTAAAATACTAAGCACAAAAACCCATCACCTAAGCAGTCCTCAATTAAAGTTTATAACACTCCAGAGCAATTGCTACACACACACACACACACACACACACACACACACGCAGTTTCTCCTGTCACTTTTACCCTCATCCCACTGAATTAAAGAGTGCATTTTCTTTCTTTTTTTTTTTTTTTTGAGATGGAGTCTCACTCTGTCGCCAGGCTGGAGTACAGTGGCGTGATCTCGGCTCACTGCAACCTCCAACTCCCTGGTTCAAGTGATTCTCCTGCCTCAGCCTCCTGAGTAGCTGGGATTACAGGCGTGAGCCACCATGCCTGGCTAAAGAGTGCATTTTCTTTACTCTCATCCATCTTTATCAATGGGATGAATTGGGATAGTTCTTTTGATCCATTTTTAGGTCTGTAGTATTTTCTGGAAATACAGAAGAGGTAATTTGTTACAGAAGGAGCTCTTTAGCCAGTCAAGTAGGACATGCATCAGTGAATTATAAATCCATCTCTTCTAATTTGAAAAATACTTTAGGCTCTATCTAAAGAGCTGGAGGTGTTTACTAGTGAAGTTCATCATCTTGTTACATGACTGGGCCAGAAATCCCAACTGAGGTGGGCATCCTTCAATAACTCAACACCAAAAATATCTATTTAGGGAAAAACAGTGAAAATAAACAGGGCTGAAACTGAGCCATAGCTTTGAGAGATTTTGTTGTTTTTTTTTTTGTTTTTTTGAGACAGAGTCTCACTCTATTACCTAGGCTGGAATGCACTAGCATGCTGTCAGTTCACTGCAACCTCTGCCTCCTGCGCTCAAGCAATCCTCCTATCTCAGCCTCCTGAGTAGCTGGGACTACAGGCGTGTGCCACCACACCTGGCTAATGTTTTGTATTGTTTGTAGAGACGGGGTTTTGCTATGTTGCCCAGGCTGGTCTCGAACTTCTGAACTCAAGCGATCCACCTGCCTCAGCCTTCCAAAGCGATGATTACAGGCGTGAGCCACCACATCCAGCCAGCTTTGGGTTATTTTGATGTAAACTGTCTTCTTAAGAAAACCATATAGCAGAGCCTCTGAATAGCAGAAGTCAAAACACTGACAGATTAAAGAGCAAGATTAAAGAGCACCATTTTGGCCACACAGGAAAATGATTTTGGAACTCACAGATGCAAGTATGCCGGTCATCTGCAAACTCATAACCACTCCGGCACTCACACCTGTAGCTTCCAGGCAAGTTGATACATACAGAGTTGGGGCCACAGCGATGAAAGCCAGTTGCACATTCATTTTCATCTAAGAAGAAATGAGAAGAGAAAAATTCTGCTTAATTCAAGGGTCCCAGAAGTGGAGGGTCTAAAAACTCAATGTTTTCTCACTAGTATGATGCTTCAATGGGACAAATGGTTGGCAGATGTAGAATTTTTAAAAATCAGATATGAATGCATGTTGCAGATAATCAGAAATAGTAAAAATTTCATGCCATTCAAGTAAACACCACAGGAAGATAAATTTTTAAGTGAATATTCTAAGAATTCTTTAACTGTTTTAAAAAGAATGGATACTTGGAAGAAAACCAACAATTTTTTTTAATATCAAGAAATTTCTACCGTTGCCTTTTGGGGATATAAGACACACAATGTCTGTCTAAAATTTAAAGAAAATCAGAAAATGTGCTTTTTGGTAAGTCTAAGAACTACTTACTACAAAAGCTCAAAATTACAAAACTTAACTCAAAACATCCAGGAACTGCAACAGATGTTTTCTTTTCACAGCCCCGGTGCAAAATCCACTCCACTCCAAACCATCTTTTCAAACATAAACAGCTATGCTTTAATTTTTAAATAACTATATTCAGATTAACAGCTGCTAAAATCATTGACAATGGAGGTTGTAAAGGTGACAGATACTTGTCTTCTACAGACATAAGGCTGGGGAGGGCAGAGGAAAAACAAGGGCTACAAGAAGGAGACACGAGAACATGGCTCTTACCCACACAGTTCCGTCCATCTCCCTGGTACCCAGATGCGCACTCACAGGTGTAATCTACACCTGTCCCTGGATGGCACCGTGCTGTTGTGTCACACATGTGGCTCCCATCATAGCAAGGATTCCCCGGAGTGGGGTCTGAATCCTCTGCATGAGTAGAGGGGAAATAAAAGCACAATCTGGCTATTGGTAAGCAAATGTCACGGAGATAGAGGAGTCCTCGGAACTGACTGCATGTCTGTGTTTTGTGACACACCGGAAGACCTTACTAAATTATCCATATCTGAAGCTAGGGTGGATTTTCTGCACTTCAGTTTTAAACTCCAGCATGGCTTCCTATTGCCTACCCTATAGACAACTAGTACCTTTACTTGCTTTCAGTAGGTTTGCATCCAGGGAATAAAAACGCCCAAAACATCTGTTTAAAAGTGCTTTTGCTCTATTATTTCCTGTGATTCTTGGGATGATTCTATGTGGTGAGTTGTTTTCCCCATTATGTGTAATTTTCACAGATAAGGAAATCAAGTGAGACATGGGAAAAATTGCCCAAGCTCACAAAGTCAGGAAGTGGCACAGCAAAGACTCAGACTCCAACTTCCTGGTTCTAAATCTGTTGATCTCTTACTAAAATTCCCAATTTTTATAGGTAAATCCAATTAATTTTAAAAATCTTGTTTTTTAAAGATTTCTAAGACTAAACAGGAATGACTTTCCCAGTATTTACTCTTCAGGAGTAGCCTTACCAAGGATCCATCTACTCACTAGGTAGCGATTACTTAACGACTGAAATCTCCCCTAGAGAAATCTATTTTGGCTGAGCATGGTGGCTCATGCCTGTAATCCCAGCACTTTGGGAGGCTGAGGTAGGAGGATAGTTTGAAGCCAGGAGTTCAAGACCAGCCTGGGCAATATGCCAAGACCTTATCTCGAGAGAAAGAAAAGAAAGAAAGAAAGAAAGAGAAAGAAAGAAAGAAAAGAAAGAAAGAAAGAAAGAAAGAAAGAAAGAAAGAAAGAAAGAAAGAAAGGAAGGAAGGGAAAGAAAGAAAGAAAGAAAGAAAGAAAGAGAAAGAAAAAGAAAGAAAGAGAAAGAAAGAGAAAGAAAAAGAGAAAGAAAGAAAGAAAAAGAAAAGAAAGAAAAGGAAAAGAAAAGAAAGAAAATTAGCCGAGCATGGTGGCCCATGCTTGTAGTCCCAGCTACTCCAGAGGGTGAGGCAGGAGGATGACTTGAGCCCAGGAGCTTAAGCTTGCAGTGAGCCATGATTGTGCCACTGCACTCCAGCCTAGGTGACAGAACAGGACCATGTCTTAAAATATATATATTTATTTCTACATAATAGTCAATGCTCATTGAGCATTTATGTGTGAGGCATTGTTCTAAACAGATAGGAGGATGCCTGATTACATCCTTCTAACTACATGGTGAGGAAAATACTATCTCCACTTCTGCTGCATCACAGAGAGGCCAAATAACCTGCCCAGGGTTACACAGTCAGAAGAGGTGGATGGAGCTGGAATAAAAGTCTAGCAGTCTGGTTCCATAGCTCATGCTTTCCACCGCTTTGCTGCAACCCTCACTGAAGGAACTTCATGAAGTTATCTAGTCTAAGCCAATGGCACAGAGGTATTGGAAGGAGTGTCAGATGCTCAGGTAGAATGAATCTATCAACTCTGGCACTTCTGTGTACTTCTGAGTCTGCCATGTAAAATGGAAATAGGAACATGTACATCTGCCAATCCTGCTAAAGAAAATTAAGAAAACCCAACAGAACATATTTGAAAGGCAATTCCCCATTGGCAGGTCTACCCAGTCTCTACTGACTGCACTCCTTCTGCCTTCTCAGTGGGGCCACTGTTCATCATTATTTGAGGTTCTAGCTCAACCTCAGTCCCTAGAATTAACTCTAATCTTAGACTCAAAAGATTTCCAGAGCCCCAGCTAAGCCTGTCAGGTTCTACATTGAGCCATCTCTGCTACAAAGGGAGATCCATCTAAGTTGTAATAACTCAGGCTTCTGCCTCATACTTCTGTGCCTGAGGCCCTGTCTTGATAGCCAGCTTAGCATCCTCTGAGTCCCATCCTGCTCACCAGTTCTCACTACTCACAGACACCAGCATCATGGCATCTGTAGGCAGACACTGGCAGTACCACCCATTTTACCACCTCCTCCTGGATTCTCTATCATTTCACTCTTTCTGACCCGTGTCTCCCACCCCACTTTGTACAGAATCTTCTATTAAAATGGAGAAATAACAACAGGAGAGAATCAGGTTCTTGTCTTATACTGAGCCTTCAATGAGGACATGACCCTGTTGTTCTCCATTGTAACAGATGCTGACTCAGGAACCTGGTCTATACTCTCAAGTTAACTTGGCAACCACAACCCCACTGCTATGGGGGGAGACTTGCCCAGAGTGACTCCTAATCTAGATCCCAAGTGCTGACTGCTGCAGCTGACCTCATAGACTGGACTCGCTCCCAAGTCCTTCAGGGTGTCTGGCATTCTCCCCCGTGCCTGCCCTACTGCCCACGTTATGGCTCTTCCAGTGCCCTGTCATAGCCTGCTGTGAGCTGGGATGCCTTGGCTGAGACAGCCTTGTTTTCTGGTAAACTCTTTCCATCCCACTTTATAAGAAACACCACAGTGCATTCTTGTAGTGGAATATTCCCGTATTATTGATTCCCGTATTATTGGCTGAAAATAAGGAGGGCTATGGGTTTATCCTCAGTTCACCACAATGTTGTCGGCTGGAGTAACAGAATCTTTGCCAAAACAAAGGACCAATAAATAATTCCAGCACTTTTTAAACCTGATGAACTATGTCAGCATAAGCCTAGCTCCCTGAAGCATGCAGACATCCTTGGAGGTCCGTTCCTCTGGATCTCTTGGCTGACAGGAAAGAGGCACCGCACTGGGGTTGTGGTTGCCGAGTTAACTTGAGCCTAGACCAGGTTCCTGAGTCAGTCCTCAATAGGTTATAACTAAGGACAAGGTCATGTCTTCATCCATTAGGACCCAATGTAAGACAAGAACGTGATCATCTCCCATCATTTCTCCATTTTAGGAAGATTCTGTACAAAATGCCTGGCATACCCCACCAAAGCAGGAAGTAATTGTCAACATGTTTTGATTTATAAATACTAATGCTTAGCCTTCTTATTCAGTACTTTCCAGCATCAAAATTTCACCATGGCACATTCCAGCAAAGATTAGTGTGTTCACATGGACATCAAGAGCTTACCACCCTGCTAGGCATTAAAAGAAAAAAAAAAAATCTCAGCTCAAAAGTTGACTTGCAAACTTGGACAGGATATATTATCCTACCTAAAATTGAGAAGAAAGTGTCCCTAATTACTCAATACTGATTTAAAATGTATGTCACTGACAGGATTAGTTCCATAATTTGCAATCCCCAGTGCAAAATGAAAATGTGGAGCCCATGGTTCAAAGCAAAGCGTTAAACCAAGCATGGGGCTCTTCTGAGCACAGGGCCCCATTCACTGAACTTGGCTTCCCAAAACATTTTTAAAATACATTTCTAAAACCATTTCACGACTCATTCTCTATGACTTGTAAGCTTTTCTCCTATTATAGTAAGTAAAGAACACAGTATCCTTCTTAAGACATTTTCTATTTCGCCCTCACCCTCTTAAACTGCCTGACTCTCTTAACAGAGGATCTGGAACTAATTTACTCATTTAATCAAGGGGAAGAGCGGTTTTCCTTAAAGGAACAGTCCCTTCAGCTTCACTGCACAGCCCTCTGCCCAGAGCCTCCTCAACTCGCCAAAAGGACCCGTGAAGTGGAAGGACAGGAAGCATTTTTGGATCGTGTTTTATGACCCCACAAAACAACCAACCAACCAACAACAACAAAAAACAGCTGACTCACACTTAAAGCTTAAAGCTCAAACAACTGGTGGGGGGTGGCACTGCTGGTTGAGAAGTCACCGAGGGACAGAGGCTCCAATTACTCACTGGGAAAGACACCCCAGTTCTGCATCCTCGCCCTGGGAAGTCGCACCACACCCACATCAGGTGTGGACAGCTGCGCTGTTTCACATGAATTCCAACAACTATCGTTCCCTCTGGAAAAACTGAGCAGTTCTTAGGAAGATACTGCTGTGTACCAAGAGGGGAAAGAAAAAACTTTTGGGTGTTTCTTTTTTGTTTTTCTTTTTTTCCCTCCTATTCAGGTAGAATGAACAGTACTGCTGTGTGTGGATGAAGTAGGGTTCAAACACAAAGGGTTTAAAAGACACACATTGCCTCTTTCAAAGTTTGGTCTAAATTATGAGGCAGTCATGAGGCCACTGTGGAACAGCAGAGCCATGAGGGGTAAGGGTGTGCGTACTGGAGCCAGTGCCTGAGTTTGAGTCCCAGCTCACCCAGGTCACTTACTATGACCAGGCAAATTACTTCATTTCTATACCTCAGTCTCATCATCTGTAAAATGGGATAACAAATAACCCCACCCCCACCCCACCATTGGGTAGAGGTCATTGTGGGGATTAAATGAGTTAATTCATGTAAGGTGCTTAGAACAGTACTTGGCACCAAGTAAACCATCCTTTGATATTATTATTTGACTGGGGTGGGAGGGAAAATCATAAAATTCTAAAGAAAACAAGCAACTTGGTACCTGCCAGTTTGCTTTCTCTGATCCTTTCTTACTCTCATTTGGTATGTCTCTAGGAAAAATATACCCAGAGACACATCTTTTTCCTAAATGGTTCCAGAATCTGAATGGGACTCCATAGCCTGGGAAATTTCACTAACAGTTGCTTTTACAGATCAGATGCCTACACCCAACACAGGGCTGACCTGGACATTTAAAGGTAAAGACCATTCTCCCCAGTAGGTTTAAATCTCTCTTTGAGAAATCTACTACAGCAATCTTTCCCTTTCTAATTTACATGTTCCTCTAAAATCAACTCACATTTTCATGTGTTCATTTGCTACCTTACAATCCAATATCTGGGCACCTAATGCCTACATTCCCAACCAAGTTTCTTAAAACCAAAGCACCTCGGGATTCTCATTACAAGTCACTTTCGCATCCTAGAAAAGAGTCTAGTCCTTGTACCTTAATCTTGTCATATTGCTGAAGCAACACTTCTTTATTGAGCCTGCTGAGGCTTAAGGAGCCCTCAGCTCCAATAACAAAGCACAGAACCGCGTATCACTTACAGATTCACCTCACTGAGGAGCTAACTCTGGGCTCAACAGTTTCAATACAGTGGCTGAATTGAGGAAGATGGTTTTTTTCTCCTGGTGTGGCTCTTACATTCTAGGGGAAAACATGACCTGGTTTTCAGAATTAAAATGTCCCCTTGATCTGACAAAGCCACTTCCCATCTGTAGAGTTCCCTGACTTCACAAGCTCATCCTCTGGCTTGCTTGAAACATTTTTTAATAATTAAGACCTTGCTTTTTAGGATGGTTTTACATTTAGAGAAAAATGGAGCAGAAAGTACGAGCTCCCATATCCCCCCACCCAAAATGTGCAGTTTCCCCTATTATCAACATTGTGCATTAGTGTGGTGCATTTGTTATCCCCAATCAATACTGACACATTATTAACTAATGCCCATAGTCTGCAGTAGGGCTCACTCTTGGTGTTGGACAGTTCTATAGACTGACAAACGCATAATGGCCTATAACCAACATTACAATATCATACAGAATAGTTTCACTGCCCTAAAAATCCCATGTTCCACCTATGCATCCTTCTCCTTCTTCCTCCTGAACCACTGGCAACCACTGATCTTTTTACTGTCTCTATAGTGTAACCTTTTCCAGAATGTCATGGTTAGAATGATTCTGTATGTAGCCTTTTCAGACTAGCTGCTTTCACAGAGCAACATGCTTTTAAGTTTCCTGCATGTCTTTCTGTGACATGATATGCCTAGAACATTTTAAAATCAGTCTTCACAGGTGAGGCTAATGGTCATTAAAATTTGAGAACCACTGCTTACTTTGAGACGGGGTCTTGTTATGTGGCCAACTCTGGCCTCAAACTCCTGGGCTCAGGTGATCCTCCCACCTCAGCCTCCAGAGTAGCTGGGATTACAGGTGTAAGCCACTGTACCCGATGAGAATGGTTTTAGAGTTTTGTTTCTACTACTATTTGCTTCCATTTATTTTTATTTTTTGAGACGGAGTCTCACTCTGTTGCACAGGCTGGAATGCGATGGCACAATCTTGGCTCACTGCAACCTCCGCCTCCTGGGTTCAATCAGTTCTCCTGTTTCAGCCTCCTGAGTAGCTGGGACTACAGACACATGCCACCACACCTGGCTAAATTTTTTTGTGTATATATATATATATATATATATGTTTTATTTTGTAGAGACAGGGTTTCACCATGTTGGCCAGGCTGGTCTTGAACTCCTGACCTCAGGTGATCCACCC